>NC_000002.12:62311564-62614594 GCF_000001405.40 Homo sapiens
AATGGCGTGAACCCGAGAGGCGGAGCTTGCAGTGAGCGGAGACCGCACCACTGCACTCCAGACTGGGAGACAGAGCGAGACTCCGTCTCAAAAAAAAAAAAAAAAGTAATTAATTGATATGTTTTAAAGGTATATGTCAACATAATGTTTTATTAAGATTATGAGTGAAATTTTTTCTTCTATGAAGAATCAATGTGAAGTTATGGTTAAAATATCAATCGCTATATCATATTAGGAGATAAAAGAGGAACTATTCAATAACTGAAGCTAGGAAAACATCCATATGGAGAAAAATGAAACTGGGCAATGTCAAAGCATGTCTTCATTGTTTATCTTGGTAGAAAAGATAGAGGACTGTCTTTCTTGGACTAAAGAAGGGAAGAGGCCAGGCACGGTGGCTCACACCTGTAATTCTAACATTCTTGGAGGCCAAGGTAGAGGGATCACTTGAGGCCAGGATTTTGAGACTAGTCTGGGCAACAAAGCAGACCCTGTCTCTATAAAAAAATGTTTTAAATTGTCTGGGTGTGGTGGCATGTGCCTGTAGTCCCAGCTACTCAGGAGACTGAGGTAGGAGGATTGCTTGAGCCCAGGAGTTCCAGGCTGCAGTGAGCTACGATTGAGCCACTGCACTGAAGCCTGAGTAAGAGAACAAGACCTGTCGCTAAAAAATATTTAAAAAGAGGGGAAGAATTCTTAAATTAGGTACAAAAAAGTACCAACCAAAAAGAGAACAGATTGATACATTTTATTATTATTATTGACTATTATTGACTATATTAACTATATTATAAAATTGAATATTCACATTCTCTATGACCCAATGTGTGCATCAAGATATATCTATTAGAATACCCTTAGGAGCTCTGTAGATATCAGCAAAAACAAACAAAATCAAACCAGAAACATCCCAAATGTCCACTGACAGGTAAATGAATAAGCAAATTGAAATATTCACACTGTAGAATATTACACAATTAAAGCAATGAACTATAACTACATGCTACACTGTTCTTACAATATAATTATATATAGACTACCTATAACATAATACCTTTCTATCAAGTGTTCTTCATTTATTTATTTTTTGAGACAGGGTCTAACTCTGTCACCCAGGCTGGAGTGAAGTGGTACAACCTCGGCTCACTGCAACCTCCACTTCCCAGGCTCAAGTGATCCTCCCGCCTCAGCCTTCTGAGCAGCTGGGACAGCAGGCACATGCCACCATGCCCAGCTAATTTTTGTATTTTTTTGTAAAGATGGGTTCTTGCCATGTTGCCCAGGCTAGTCTCTAACTCCTGGGCTCAAGCGATCCTCCCACCTTGGCCCCCAAAAGTGCTGGGATTATAGGTGTGAGCCTCTGTGGCTGGCCCTCTAACAAGTTTAAAAACAACTAAAACTAAACATTTATTAAGCATTACGTTAATCAAATATAATTTAACATTAATTAAACATTAATTAAGGATAACACTAATTTAACTATTTTTTAAAGGAAGAAAATTATTAGGACAAAATGGAAGTAAAGGGGTAAAGGGAAGCACACAGGTAAATGTAAGTTATTGTTGATATTTTAGGCCAGGTGCAGTGGCTCATGCCTGTAATCCCAGCATTTGGGAGGCCAAGGCTGGTAGATCACTTGAGCCCAGGAGTTTGAGACCAGCCTGGGCAACACAGGGAGACCTCGTCTCTACAAAAATAATAAAAATTTAAAAAATTAGTTGAGCTTGGTGCACCTGTTACAGGTGCACCTATAGTCCCAGCTATAGCTACTTGAGGTGGGAGGATCACCTGAACCTGAAGAGGTCAAGGTTGCAGTGAGCCGTGATTGTGCCACTCCCCTTGGTACCAGTGAAACCCTGTCTCAAAAAAAAAAAAATTAGATCTTGGGTTGACAGATGTGTTCACAGGTGTTCAGATACATATAATTTTGAAATAAATTAATAAAATAAAAGAAAGCCATGCTAGGAAAAAAGGAAATATCAATGGTCAAGTTGCTAGGCTGTATGCCATGAAGAGCAGTTAGTCAAAGAGAATCACCTTTTCAGATGTGCCCTATCGCCCACCAGCCAGTAGTGGACAGCTCCCTGTCATGGGATAACCTGGCTGTGCTTCTCCTGGAACTTGGGCCTTACCATCTGGGAGTCCCCATTTAGTTGAGAAGCTGCAGAGGGAGTTTATTTCTGTGGCCTTGTAATGGGGCACACCTTCTGTTTGGGGGGGAAGTTCCCTCCTGTTCCAGGGAGATCATGAAGCAGCAGCTGCGTTGGCAAGGGCAGAGAAGATGTCCTAGTGATGGCTATTAAGGGGTCCCTCCCTTGCAGAAAAGGATTAGTGTCCAGCTAGCAGAGAAACACTTGCCAGGTACTTAATAGGTTCTATTTGATGGTAGTAGAAGCTCTCCCCAACACACATGCCCACTCAGCCAGGGAGAAGGTAGCAGGAAGGAAGGAGGCCCCCTGAGTATTGTGACCACAGAGATAGCCTGCCCCTGCAACCACACCCACACACTGAGGTTTCACCAGGGTGTAGGGGAGTGGTGGTTAAAAGACAAGAGAAGAGTCAGATACTATTATCTCCAAGTTTTGCTCCAAAATATGAGCTCTGAAAGTGAACGTGAGGACCCATTTCCATCTGTCCCCTACCCCATTCTACTCCCAGGTATAAGTTGCTTACCAAGATGAATAATGAGGGTTCTTTACAGCTTGTAAAATACTTTTTTAAAACATCATCACATTTGGTCCTCCTTAAAAAAAACCCAGTGGGGGTGGTTATCGTGCTTACCTTTATTTTTTAGATGAAAAAAAAAACTGAGGCTTGGAGAGGATCAGCGACTTGTCTAAGGTGATAGACTTGGAGGCAGAGATGAGAGGAAGGCTTCTGACTCCCTCTTATGCCATGTTCCCAGAGGGAGTGCCCAAAAACATGCTGTCTCAGCAGGAAGCAGCCACTACCCAAAAGCAGAATGGGAGGAAAGGAACAGGGGCCACATTTGGTCCTTACTAGCCAGTGCAGAAATGATGGTACTGGAAGGAGATATTTAGAGAGTGGCCCTTCTGTCACCTGATCCAAAGGCCAGGAATTGAAGGAGCTATGTCCTAGAGCAGCAGAGTTCTGTTAATTTGTTGTCTGTGCCTTCTGTATAATATCACTTTGTGCCCCTGGATATGCTGTTTTCTCCAGTGAGTCTAGGGAAGGAACTCTGAGGGATCATTTCACTGTCACTAAAAAACAAAACAAAACAAAACAAAAAAAAGTTTAAAAGGGATGCTTCAAAGTTTGATGCTCTAGTTGTTTTTAATCAAGCAGGGATTGCTCATTGTAAAAGTAATTTGGGATAATATAATCAAATAAAAAGTAGAAAAAAGAGTCACACCACCCAGGGATAATCACTTGTCCATCACCAACTTATCCCTGGCAGGGAATCTGCAGACAACATAGCACTGTTACCTCCCTTTGAGGCCTCAAATAATTTCTAACAGAAAGAGGCTGTTTTTGCTTAGGATGCAGATGAATAAAGAACAGAACTCCTCAGGCCGGGTGCAGTGGCTCACGCCTGTAATCCCAGCACTTTGGGAGGCCGAGGCAGGTGGATCACAAGGTCAGGAGATCGAGACCATCCCGGCTAACACGGTGAAACCCCGTCTCTACTAAAAATATAAAAAATTAGCTGGGCATGGTGGCGGGCGCCTGTAGTCCAAGCTACTTGGGAGGCTGAGGCAGGAGAATGGCATGAACCCGGGAGGCGGAGCTTGCAGTGAGCTGAGATCGTGCCACTGCACTCCAGCCTGGGTGACAGAGCAAGACTCCACCTCAAAAAAAAAAAAAAAAAAAAAAAAAGAACAGAACTCCCATCCAAACGGTGAGAAAAAGACGTATAATCTACAAATCATACCTTTTCTTGAACTCGTCAGAGAGCTGAGGTCGCAAGGCAATGAAATGAACTGAATTCCAAAGAGTAACTATCCCCCGTGAGAAGAAATAGGGAACAGGGGCTATTTTACCTTTGCCCAGGACTGGCTACATCATTTACAGATTTATAGGACCCAGTGAAAAATATGGGGAACTTCTGAGCACAGGGCACTGTGTGACTGCACAGCTTGGATACCATGAGGGGGGTCCTGTCTTTGGCAGAGAACAGAAGGAAGTGGCCACCACCGGTGTTGGTAAAAAGGAAGGAACTCAAATGTCTTGGATTCCCGAAGACTAAGTATGGATTAGCATTCAGTTTATTTATTAATTTATTTTTGAGACAGAGTCTTGCTCTGTCACCCAGGCTGGAATGCAGTGGTGCAATCTTGGCTCACTGCAACCTCCTCCTCCCAGGTTCTAGTCATTCTCATGCCTCAGCCTCCCAAGTAGCTGGGATTACAGGCCTGCACCACCATGCCTGGCTAATTTTTGTATTTTTAGTAGAAACAGGGTTTCACCATGTTGGCCAGGCTGGTCTCAAGACTCCTGACCTCAAGTGATCTGCCTGCCTCAGCCTCCCAAGGTGCTGGGATTACAGGCGTGAGACACTGCACCCGGCGCGTATCAGTTTAGAATGACTGGGAGCCCCAGAGAGAAGGGGAGTTTGTCACTACAAGCCCTTTTCCATGGGCCTCCACTAGGTGCTCATGAGAAAAAATGGGGATAGGGCAAGAGCCCCATGCTTGATGGTGCAGGCATTCAAGATGATGCAGGCAACCCTACGCCAGGGTGTAGCCAAGAAGTGGGTGGGGACTCACTTCCAAAGACTCCTCTTTCATCAAGTAAAAGCATCAAGCAGCTAGAAGAATGGCAGCAAACAGTTTCCACCCCAGAGCCACAGGTGTAGAAGCAGAGTCTGGCTGCCTTTGGGAAACAGTAGGAAACTCTCATTCTACACTGGCAAGGGCAAAGATCCACTGCTTCTGGGATAAGAGTCAAAGCAAAAGCTGACTTCTCCTGGGAAAACAGGGGTAGGAAAACCTTCTGGGCCTAGGATTCTGCACCAATATACAGTGGAGACGTGTGAGTCTGGAGGAGGGACTCTTGCTATGTTGCTCAGGCTGGTCTTGAACTCCTGGCCTCAAGCAATCCTCACACCTCAGCCTCCCAAAGTGCTGGAATTATAGGCATAAACCACTATGACTGGCCGGAGGGGCTCTTTTACACCCAAGACCCAGCACAGATTCCAGGACAGAGTTTGGTTGCCATGGGGATGGGAAAGGAGCAGAAACTCTGAGAAGGCCTCAACCACAGGGCTCAGGCTCACAGCCTCTGCCTAAGACTGAGGCTGGACCAGGAGAAGCAAGAATGCCCTTAGACCCTACCATGAGCCTAACATCAAGTAACAAAATAACAGCAATCTATATTAATCAAAACTTAACTGGGCGTGGTGGTGCGCACCTGTAATCCCAGCTACTGGGGAGGCTGAGGCACGAGAATCACTTGAACCCGGGAGGCAGAGGTTGCAGTGAGCCGAGATCATGCCACTGCACTCCAGCCTGGGCGACAGAGTGAAATTCTGTCTCAAAAAACAAACAAACAAACATATTGGCTGTATTAGTAAGCTTTTGCTAGATTGTGCTATGGAAACAACCAACCCCAGAAGCTCCGCGGCTTATGAAAACAAAGGTTTGCTTCTTTGTCATATCACATGGCCTTCATGAGTGGGTTTGGCCCTGCCTCATATCTTGTTCATTTTAGGATTCAAGTTCAAGGAACAGCACCCTCCTATCTGAAAGACAGAAAAAGGGACATCAGAACCACATGAAGACTCTTTTTTTTTTTTTTTTTTTGAGACAGTCTCATTCTGTTGCCCAGGCTGGAGTGCAATGGCGCGATCTCGGCTCGCTGCAACCTCCGCCTCCCTGGTTCAAGAGATTTTCCTGCCTCAGCTTCCCAAGTAGCTGGGATTACAGGTGCCTGCCACCATCCCCGGCTAATTTTTGTATTTTTTAAAGTAGAGATGGGGTTTCATCATGCTGGCCAGGCTGGTCTCAAACTCCCGACCTCAGGCAATCCACCCACCTCAGCCTCCCAAAGTGCTGAGATTACAGGCGTGAGCCACCGTGCCCGGCCCACATGAAGACTCTTAAAGCTTCTCAGAAATGGCCTGTGTTGCTTCTGCTCACATTTCATTGGCTAAAGCAAGTCACTCGCCAAGCCCGATGTTAGCAGGGTAGAAAAGTGTAAGCATCTTGCAGAGAGGAGCAGTAAATAACTGAGGATAATGATACAGTCTACCTCCTGAGCATTTAAGAAGCCTTAAATATAGCATCAAAACATTTTTCCTGGAACTAAAAACGTGATTTTCTGATTAAAAACTCAGTAGATGTATTCAAAGAGCTCATGGGCAAAGTGGTGATAAAAGAAAAACTTCAGCCAAATTAAATTTAAAGGAGTTTAATTGAGCAGGGAACAATTTGTAATTCAGGCAGCCCCCAGAATCACAGCAGATTCACAGAGACTCTCGGGGTGCCTCGTGGTCAGGACAAATTTTTAGACAAAAAAGGGTAAAGTGAAGCGGCCGGGCACGGTGGCTCACGCCTGTAATCCCAGCACTTTGGGAGGCCGAGGTGGCCGGATCATGAGGTCAGGAGCTCGAGACCATCCTGGCTAACAAGGTGAAACCCGTGTCTACTAAAAATACAAAAAATTAGCTGGGCGTGGTGGCGGGCGCCTGTAGTCCCAGCTACTCGGGAGGCTGAGGCAGGAGAATGGCTGAACCCGGGAGGCGGAGCTTGCAGTGAGCCGAGATTGTGCCACTGCACTCCAGCCTGGGCGACAGAGCAAGACTCTGTTTCAAAAAAAAAAAAAAAAAAGGTAAAGTGACGTACAGGAATCAGAAGTGAGGTACAGAAACAGTGAGATTGGTTACAGCTCTGCGTTTGCCTTATTTGTGCGTAGTTTGAACATTCAGCAGTCTATGAGTGGTTGAAGTATGACCACTGGGATTGTCCAACACTCAGTTATTGTTACAGGTACATACTATTAAGTTAGGTTTTCAATTTTGTCTGACTATTAAGCTAGGTTACAGTTCATCCACAAGGACTCAAATATAGGAGTACAGAGTCCTTCTCAGGCCATATTTAGTTTGCTTTAACAGTAGAAATATTAATCAGTAGCCTGGAAGATCAAATGGAAGAAAATCTCAAATCATAGCACAGAACTTCAAAAAGATGAGGGAATATAATCACTATATTATTATCAAAACTTACATACATTAATATACTTAATTTATACTAACACCTATGAGTTAGCTATTATTACTCACCAACCCATGTCACAGCTGAGGAAACTGAGGCTCAGAGGGGTAAGGAACAATCCCAGGGTTGCACAGCTGGTGTTCAGACCCAGGTAGTTGCGCTTCTGTCACTGTGCTGTGAAGTGCTGGTTTGTTGTTGTTGTTGTTGTTGTTTTAAATTTAACTTAATTTTATTTTAAGTTCCAGGATACATGTGAAGGATGTGTAGGTTTGTTACATAGGTAAACATGTGCCGTGGTGGTTTGCTGTGCTGTTGTTAATCACATGTTTTTGCTTCTTAATGCCCATGCAATTTTGCCATGATAAAAGGCTTAGAGGATTGATCCAGGAGACCTAATTTAAGAAACAGAAATTCAAGAAGGAGAAAAGGAATTGTTGGAGGAAGTACAGGGATTAAATAAATGATGAAGTTGAGGTGGGAGGAACACTTGAGTCGGAGGTCAAGGCTGCAGTGAGCTGTGATCATGCCACTGCACTCCAGCTTGGGCAACAGAGTGAGACTCTGTCAAAACAAAGAAAGAGAGAGAGAGAAAGAGAAAGAGAAAATGCTTCTGTGATTAAAAAAGACTTGTTATTTAAAAGGGCTCATTGAATTCCAGCCTGGATTGAGAAAAAAAGGCACACATCTAGAAATATCCTGTAAAAAGCCCTCAACTTCCAGGATAAAGAGAAATTTCTGTAAGTTTCCAGGCAAAAAGAACAAATGACTTATAAAGGAGTATCAGACCTTCCTCAGGCTTTTCATCTACAACAATGGAAGCTAGAAGATTGCAGAATAAAATCTAATGACAATGAGAGTAAAAAGACCTTGAAAAATTAGCCAGGCATGGTGGCTGGCGCCTGTAGTCCCAGGTACTCGGGAGGCTGAGGCAGGAGGATCGCTTGAACCCGGCAGGTGGAGGTTGCAGTGAGATCACGCCACTGCGCTCCAGCCTGGTAACAGAGCAAGACTCCGTCTCAAAAAAAAAAAAAAAAAAAAAAAAAAAAAAGACCTTGGCCTAAGGATCTGACACCCAGGCTGACTGACAGGCCTCACTTATCAGGGTGAGAGAATGTTTTCTGTGGATATGATATGGGTCAGAGAGTACTGCACCCACACACTCTACTTGGGGAATTTATTCAAGAAAAGCCTCCATCCAAGCAACATGTGAATCAATCCCAAAGGTGGTATGTGCTTAAAAAATAATAAATAAAGGCCAGGCACAGTGGCAGTGGCTCACACCCGTAATCCTATCACTTTGGGAGGCTGAGGCGGGTGGATTGCCTGAGTTCAGGAGTTCGAGACCAGCCTGAGCAACACAATGAACTGTCTCTACTAAACTACAAAAAAATGAGCTGGGTGTGGTGGTGTCCGCCTGTAATCCCAGCTACTTGGGAGGTTGAGGCAGAAGAATCACTTGAACCTGGGTGGTGCAGGTTGCAGTGAGCCAAGATTGTGCCATTACACTCCAGCCTGGGTGACAGAGCAAGACTCCATCTCAAAAATAAATAAAAATAAATAAATAAATAAATAAATAAATAAATAAACCAAATGAATCAAAGCAAAAATCTCAGCGTAGTGGAATATGATAAAAAGAGGAAACAATAATAGTGAGACATAAGCCTAATACATATCTATTTATCTAAATTTAAATGAATACTGATAGAGCTACTAGGAAATTATTCTATAAATTTGGTTTTATGATTGTGGTGGGAGATTTAAAAACTCTCCTTTTAATCAAATCTAAACAGGCCAAAAAATAGTGAAATCATAAAGAAATGAAATATTTCATTAAAGGCCCAATTATAGTAAGTGTTAACTCAATTATAGTAAATGTAAATGTTAATGTTTACAATGATAATAAAGGTTACAATGGTAGGAAATGTACTCTATGTGTGGCAGAGGCACCTGGCAGCCTTAACTTACGCATACGCTGAGAATGACTACGGTCCAAGAAGAAACTGTTTTTGGAGTTACAACCTAAGGAATCCCGGAGTGGCCAACCTGGAGATTCACTCCCTGTGGTTTGAAGGACATCAGAGCTTCTGGCCCATCCTGTGGAATGCAGGCCACACAGGGGATCTAGGCATTTTGTTTTGGGTTAAATGGAGGCTGCTAGGTGCTTGCTTTTCACAAAGGGTAGCAGTCTTTCTGTTCAGCCCACTGCCACTGGACTGTCCCTATTTTTAAATGCCCCCAGTAAACCCTTTGTCTCGTTCACTCTCTCTGGATCTCTTTTTGTCCCCTCAGACACAGTGCCATTCCTACTGGAGTCAACTGGGGTCTGGCACAACAGCCTATGAATAGAGAGAGTGAGAATAAGGCTGCTTTCCTGCGTAGAGACCCCACCATCTCAGGGACACTAAATGCTCCTCTCAGGGAACATTCTTCTGCTCACTGACCTTTAAATCAAGATGAGAAATGACTCCTTTGGTTTGAGGTTTTGTTCTCTGTTCAGAGATCTCCCAGGGAAGTCTTTATTTTAATCTATGGCCATCACCTTCCCTTCAACAGAAATCTGCTTGTTAAATTCTATCCTGAGAAGAGATTTAATAAGGGATAAATGGGGAGAGTATAAATTCAAGGGAAGGGTATCTAAGGGAGTGAGACAGGTGGGGAAAAGACCCTGAAGCTATTAAAAAGGGTAGTTCTGACCCACCTCAAGCCCACCTTGCCTGTCTCCCAGGCTGGGATACATACTCCCGGCCCTTCTCTCTCTGCTCCCATCTCTTCCTGTTCTTCCCTATCATCTCTCCGTGCCTACATTTCAATTGTTAAATTAATGGGGGATGGGACAAAACATTTCTCGTTCCTTCAACCTAATTCCTGAGAGAAGCAGCTGCTACTTAAGGAATTTCTCAAGCTCAGAGCATAATTAAGTGTGACTTTTAGCCCTGAAAAAAAAAAAAAATCTGAATTTCAATTTGGGAGCTCCTGAGCGAGCAGTCTCCTTGACATTTGAAAGCTTAAACCTTATCTGGAGCAGCCCTTTGGAGGCTGACAGACCTTGCTGAACTTGAGCCATTTCAGAACCCACCATAGGGTTATTTTTCATTCCTGTTTTTCAATTACACAGCAGCAGAAG
Source organism: Homo sapiens (assembly GCF_000001405.40). Taxonomy (NCBI): domain Eukaryota; kingdom Metazoa; phylum Chordata; class Mammalia; order Primates; family Hominidae; genus Homo; species Homo sapiens. The sequence continues at coordinate 62,321,861 of NC_000002.12, forward strand.
ATTCAATTAGACTGTGAGGGCTTTTCTTCATTAATCCATAGAAGCTTAAGTGACCATATTTTACAGAGAATACCATAAAATAAATATTGCACTGGATTTCTTTCTTATGTTAGTTTCCTCTTGCTATTATTAAAATGCGAGGAACATCAAAACCCAGAAGCCTCAGGGTTCACTCAGGTGTCAAAACCTCCACAAGCATCTCTTCCCACTGCTCCTCTGCTCTGCCGTGACCTTTGAGAGCCTCGGTTTTTACTCAGCTGTATCTGTTTCTAGCCTCTTCCCCTAGCACATTTGTATATGTATTACAAGAATAATCTCACTGTGGATGTCAGTATTTTTCCATTATAACAATTGCTCCACTTGGGTGCGTTTACACAGACATACCATTTTTAAAGTACAAAAGCATTGTGTCAGATATCTTATACACGTTTTTCTCTATCCTCACGCAACCATGTAAGCTTGGTATTATTATTCCCATTTCTCAGATGATGTTCTGGTTATCCATTGTATCTGTATGTACCATGTTTTGTTTATCCATTCATCTGTTGATAGATATTTGGGTTTGAGAAAGAAAACAACATTTTTTGCTGGGCGTGGTGGCTCACACCTGTAATCCCGGCACTTTGGGAAGCTGAGGCAGGCAGACCACCTGAGGTCAGGTGTCCAAGACCAGCCTGGCCAACATGGTGAAACCCCGTCTCTAGTAAAAATACAAAAATTAGCCAGGCGTGGTGGTGCATGCCTGTAATCTCAGCTGCTTGGGAGGCTGAGGCAGGAGAATTGCTTGAACCTGGGAGGCAGAAGTTGCTGTGAGCCGAGATCACACCACTGCACTCTAGCCTGGGCAACAGAGCGAGGCTCTGTCTCAAAAAAAAAAAAAAGGAAAATATTTTTATATGGGGAATGGGAGCCCCCTTTAACTACCAGGCCCAGAGAGCACTGAAATGTGACAGTGTGTGACAGCAATCATTCTCACTCCCCCCGTAAGCCAAATAATTACCTCTTGAAGCCACTTACTATGCAGGCTCTAGACTAACTAATGCCAAGTAGCCATAAAATGCCCCATGCTAAACACCATAACTCATACTCTACATTTCAACTACGCACAGGCAATTGCTAATCAATGTTGTTTCTGCAAACCAGTGAGAATTCCTGTCAAACAATTTTGTATCAGCCCATTTCTTGTTCTCTTTTGCCTTTAAAAACCTGCTTGTAACCTATGCTGAATGGACCACTCCCCAAACCAACTTGGAAGCCAGTTGCCCTCAACCTTGGCCCAAATAAACTGTCTACATTCATTTTGCCTCAGATTCTTCAGGTCAACGTTTTGTTTCCATCTCTTGGCTATTGCAAATAATTCTGCTGTGAACATGGATGTACGTATATCTGTTCAAGTCCCTGCTTTTAATTCTTTCGGATATATACCTAATAGTAGAATTGCTGGATCCTAACAGTAATTCTGTCTAATTTTTTGAGGACCACCATGCTGTTTTCCACGGTAGCTGGACCATTTGACATTCCCACCAACGATGCTCAAGGATTCCAACTTCTATGCATCCTTGCTATCCTAGTGGGTATGATGTGGTATCATCTGCCACTTTTGAATGGTAAATGCCTAAGAGAAAAAGCAGCCCCCAATGTGAGTCTCACCTCCCTGGGCTTCCCTTCTCCCTGGGATCTTGGCCCATCAAGTCCTCACTGCCTTTGGTAGTTCTCTAGTACATTCACACCTATTTCAAGAACATTTTGTCCAGCTTAGAGTTGTACTCACTAGGAGGTTGGTTGAAACAAGCCATTGCTGCCCCTTCCACACTTCTGGAAAAAAAAAAGATTACTCTCTAACTCCTTGCATTATGGGGTTGTAGGAAAACCTATAAGGTCATTTTCTTGTGTGTGGGTTTTTTTATTGTTGTTGCTGCTTATTGTTTGTTTTACATAGAGATGGGTTCGATTCCCAGGCTGGTCTCAAACTCCTGGGCTCCAGTGATCCTCCTGCCTTGGTCTCCCAAAGTGCTGGGATTATAGGCATGAGCCACCATGCCTGGCCCTATACGGTCATTTATATGTGGTAATCATCAATGCTTTTGCCAAATATCCATTTTAGTTTTATCCCCTTCTGGGCATATGTCAGGATTGCATTTCTTGGTGTCTTTGTGATACGGTAGAGCCACATAGCCAGCCCTGGCTGGTGATTTTCTTTGGCGGATGATGTTGGAGCAGCAGTGTAACTGAAACACGTACCAGTCACTTGCCACCTGCAGGGTCCAATTCACAAAAGTGAGGTCTGGTCTAAAGAAAGTGACTTTATTCCAATGTTTAGCTTAGGGGAAGTACAGGCTCTTGCCTTTAAGGGTATTGCTTCACTTTTGGGGCAGAAAGCAGGGAATTTTAAAGGGGATTTGGCATGAATGGCATGCATGGGAGGGAATGAGCAGGTGCAAGGTCTAAGTGACTGACTTTGGTGCCGTATCTACCAAGTGGTCAAGCTGATGCCATTGCAAGTCGTAAAGTGGCCATTGCCTCAAGATCCCCTCCGGGTGGGAGACAGTTCTCTCGCGGGCGTACTTTAGGTTGTAAATTGACTGTTGTCTCTCAGGTGATCTCTTGATGGAAGAGAGCTCCCGCTCTGGAGCTTCTAAGTCAGCACATAGATAAGCTTGCTGTGCAGGGAGTGTCTTAAGGTCTGTGTCCTTCTGCACACTCAGGGAAATCCATTTACCTTTTGCAGCTCCTGGAGGCCGCCACATTCCCTGGCTCATAGCCCCTTCCTTCTTCAAAGCCAGCCACGGCTGGCTGAGCCTTCCTCAGATCACATCACTCTGACACCCACTCTTGTTAACAAAAGACCATGAGGTACACAGAGAAAGGAAAGGAGAAGACTTTATTTTCAGAGGGAGAAGCAATCGTGGATTGAGGAACATAGCTTCCAGGGACAACCGAAAGTACACGCCCTACAGAAGGAAGGGGGAGCTGGTATATGTGTCTTATAGGGCAAGACTTACATGCGTATTGAGCAGGGTTGGGGACATTCTATGAATATTCATGAGGGATGGCTGGCACGTGCACAGTGGGTAAATGTCTATAACATACATTCCATTCACTTTGGGATGGGGTTTCAGGAATTAAAATGAGGTAGAATTTGGCTCTTGATCTCAAAAGGTAAACAGACACTTTGTGCACAGTCTCTATAAGCTAAATGGCTGTGACTGGCTTGAGGTCTGCAGCCATTTATCAGTAAAGAAAGTTTATAAGACCAGTCCTCTGTCCAATCAGAGTTGTGGTGGGGAGGGAGGGGAGATTGGAGACTGGGTATGCAGGAGGCAAGAGGGGGGCGTTGGGTCGGCTAGAATCTTGGGGTCATTTGGGAAATTTTCCAGCTATAGTTGTTTGGGCAATGCTTTTCAGGAAGTGGTTTCTGCTTAATTACAGGAAATAAACCTTATGGCCATTAACGACACTGGGATTCGTGACTAATCCTCCATCCTGCTGGCCATGAGATTCTGTTTTCGGTGTGTCTCATTTTAGCCACAAGGAGTCCACTTTGTTTGTTGGGGGTATATTTTAACACTCTTTTGCCTCCCTCTTCCACATTTAAGGATCTGTTAGGAATGCAAAATGCTTGTTCCCTGGTGCCATAAAGAAATAGCACTTGAACATAAATTTAATTCTCTCAACAAGGCAATTTTTACTTTCTGCAGAAAGGGTACACTCGCCAGCCATCTTGCCACGAGAGTATACTGAACAAAGGAAAAGCAGACATATTTATCTCTTACGCATTTGGGTCGTTCTTACTGCTGTGTCCTGCATCCACTAGCTGGAGCCAAACCTCATAGTCTAAACTGATACCCGATTTGCTAACAAGCTAAAACTTTCTTAAATAGGTGAAGGCAAGGGAGAACAAAGGAAAGGAGGAAGTTGCTTACAAAAGATTTAAAGAAGCAATAACATTTCCAAATAAGGAAGGGGCATAGGCTGTGAGCTGGAACGTGCCTGTGAGCATGTCCAACAGCTATATGGGATAGGGCTTAACAAAGAGTTATTAGCACAGATCAAAGAGGTTTGAAGAAAGTCTTTAAAAGAAACTATTATTTCTAACACTTATGATTTATTTTTTAACAAGAAGGGAAACTTTGAAGAGGAAACTTTTTACTTTCTATAGATCTATATGATTACATTGGGCCTACCTGCATAATCTAGGGTGCCCTTTCTATTTTAAGGTCAAGGGATTGGCAACCTTAATTCCCCTTTGCTATGTACTGTAACATATTTTCAGGTTTTGAGGATTAGGACTTGGGCGTCTTTGGGGGGCCATTATTCTGCCTACCAGGGTCACTCAGCTTTGCCCTGTGGTAGGAGATGGTGGTAATAACCATGATGGTAGTGGTGGTGAGGCTCATAGTCCTGATGAGTCTTGCTTGAAGCTATAGGTTAGTACCTTCCTGATTTTTACGTAGTGGGTGTCCTACATTTTCCAACCTTCCAGAATTACCCTTTACTTAAATAATCAAAGAAAAGAACATGCTCTGCAGCCAGAGGAATTCTAACCCCTTTCCAAATTGCCAAGAATTCCTGGAAGTACATCCACCCTCACAGTCACTGGTCTCCTGCCACTCTGCTGCTTCCAGCTTCTCCTGGATCTCTCTGGCTCCTCCATCACAGGCTCTGCATACCTTCCACTTCCTCTGAGGTTTTTCCTCCCAAACAGGGACCTTCCCGTCATTCTGGAGACAGGGCTACCTGGAGAGATCAAGGTTAGAAGGTTTTATTAACTCCACCGAAGGCCTGAAGATCCTTGTAAGGACTTTAAAGTACGGGAGGGGAGAACTTCATTTAGTACTTAGTACAGAGAAGTTCCTGAGTCCTTTGGTTACACCAGTGTCAAGGGAGGCCTTTACTTAAAGTCTCCCTCCTTGAGCCAAGCTTAAATTCTCTTCCCTGAAGCCCCAGGCCTCAAATTGCTCCTTCTAGGACCACCAAAGGAAACAGAAACCCTTAAATATTGACTTTATTATGCAGAGCATTATAGCTCCTTTGGTCTGCAAGAGCTTACTTCAGCCTGATCTCAGGGCCTTACCTTTGCATAACCACAGGGCCCATTAAGACGTTTTTCCCAAACAAAAGATACATTCTTTCCCAAGATGAATTCTTCTCCCACTCTTGGAATGCACAAATGCTGCAGTTGAAAAGTACAGCAAAGCAAAAACAGCTCCATTTATTTTTACTTCCATTATTTACCACAGAAACAAGTAGTGTTAGTATGTGTGCTGTGGTGGAAAAGACTTAGATTTTATATCACAACACGCATATCAATTGTATTAGTCCATTTTCACGCTGCTGATAGAGACATACCTGAGACTGGGCAATTTACAAAAGAAAGAGGTTTGATAGATGCACAGTTCCACTTGGCTGGGGAGGGGTCACAATCATGGTGGAAGGCAAGGTGAAGCAAGTCACATCTTCCATGGATGGCAGCAGGCCAAGAGAGAGAGCTTGTGCAGGGAAATTCCTCTTTATTAAGCCAACAGATCTTGTGAGACTTATTCACCATCACGAAAATAGCATGGGAAAGACCTGCCCCCATGATTCAATTACCTCCCATGGGGTCCCTCCCATGACACGTGGAAATTCAAGATGAGATTTGGGTGGGGACACAGCCAAACCATATCACCCATGCACACACATGACTTAAATAAAAGAAAAAATACCTATTCCTACTATTTGGGATACACACCTTGATATTTTCCATTCTGTTCAAATTTTAAAATGCTAAACATGATTTATGGAGGAGAACAAAATATGCCACCCTAAAATATGACCGTATGAAACCAGATTATGCCACTGTAGGGGAGTGAAAATGATTTCCTTCCACCCTTCTAGGTCCCTTGGCTGGGCTATGAATTAAATTGGCATAAGACAGATTAACAGGAGAAAAATCATATTTAATTATGATCATACGCACAGAGACCCACAAAATATGACTCAAAGAAAGACTGATGATTGGAGCTTATATGGCATCCTGAGCTACAGAAGGGAACAGGGGCTTGCAGCTTCTGCGGGTGTGGTGGCCACACAAGTTATGAGAGAATGAGGGGAGGAAATGTATGGTGAACAAAGGTCTTCCTGTTATGCAGGTAAAAGTCTCCCAGGTTGACTGGTTGGTGGCTCACTCCTGTAATCCCAGCACTTTGGGATGCCAAGGTGGGCAGATCACCTGAGGTCACGAGTTTGAGACAAGCCTGGCCAACGTGGTGAAACCCTGTCTCTACTAAAAATAAAAAATTAGCCAGGTGTGGTGGCATGTGCCTGTAGTCCCAGCTACTTGGGAGGCTGAGGCAGGAGAATCTCCTGAACCCTGGGGGCAGAGGTTGCAGTGAGCCGAGATCACACCACTCCACTCCAGCCTGGGTGACAGGGTGAAACTCCGTCTCAAAAAAAAAAAAGTCTCCCGGGTAACAAAAGTTGGCTGGAGCAGCCCTTAGGAGAATAAGTGGTTTCTGTCTGGATGTGACACCCAGGCTCTCTTGTGTGATCCCAGTTAATCTTCCCTGGTGGATGAGATTCCTGGGGAAGGGAATTCCTGGGATTCAGGACCATTGAGTTCCCTTTGGAGGATGGTCTTTAGGTAAGGGGAACTCAGAGAAAGCCTCTGCCTGATTTTCTGTTCCTCTATTCACCATGTACCCTCAGTTCAATGTAATCAGCACACCAAGGCATCATATTCTGGGGGTGGCAGTCCCTGAATTCCCTCACCTCCCCCAATAAATATGCCATTTTGGCATAAGGATTATTTGAGCTTGAGCCTTTTTTGTTTTTTTTCTTGAAAGGGTCTTGCTCTGTCACCCAAGCTGGAGTGCAGTGATGCGATCATAGCTCACTGCAGCGTCAAATTCCTGGGCTCAAGTGATCCTCCTGCCTCAGCCTTCTGAGTAGCTGGGACTACAAGTGCATGCTACTGCACATTTCTTCTATTTTTCTGTAGAGATGAGTCCTTGTTATGTTGCCCAGGTTGATCTCACACTCTTGGACTCAAGCGATCTTCTTGCCTTGGCCTCCCAAAGTGCTGGAATTACAGGTGTCAGCCACCGTGCCTAGCCCTAAGCTGATTATTTTGAGGAATAGCAGACACAGGAGAGGCTCCAAAACCAGTATAAGTTTCCCTTTGGTTAGGGAAATTTACATTTCTAAAGTAACTCCCCATTTGTAAGGATGTCTCCCTCTCTGCACCAGGAAGAAAAAGAAGACTCTAAATCACAAGACTTTTATCAGTGGAGAAAGCACTGACTTAAATCTGCACAGCAAATCTTACCCTTGTTTACTGTACTTTTCCTGGTCACCTTCCCATAACTTTCCTTGCCCACATCCTTCTGCCTTTGTTAGCTAAAGAGTGTATTTTAGCTCAAGTTTTAGCCACTACTCTTCCCTGAGTTTCTCCCATTTGTATATAAGATCTACATATTAATAAACTTCTGTTTGCCCTTCTCTTGCTAGTTATCTTTTGTAACAGGAGCTTGAGCTGAGAACATAGAAGAATAGAAGGAAATATTTTATTCTTCCCTTACACTCACTAAATATTTTTCATGACCTGCTGATAGCTCATAACCTGCACATTTAAAAGCATTGCACTAAGCAGAATACCCTTTTATCTCCCCTCCCAGGGCTAAATATTTGTGTAATGCTTTAGTGTCTACAAAGCATGTTTTAAAGCGTACATTATCCCATTTAATCCTTGCACAATCCCAAAATGGGAATAATAACTTTCCTTTTATAAATGGGGGGAAATGAGGTCTAAAATGTTGGAGCAGCTTGCCAAAGTCATGCACCCAGAAATGCAGAGTTTGGATATTAATCTCTGAATCTAAATCCAGGGCTCTTTCACCAAAACCAGACGCCTAGTCCCACTTTATCAATACCTTCAACTCTTATGGTTTAGGTTAAACTAGACAAAGTAAACTCTTTTTGCGTAAACTGGATTCTTAGCGCTCACAAAACCTCAGAATTCTTTGTGAGCCTGGAGTTTGCATACCTGTCCTGCCTTCCCTTTCCTTAGCCCGGGTGGTCTGGCAGAGCTGGGAAGGTCGTTGCAGAGTATAAGGTGTACCACTTTCCCCCCAGGGCAAGAGGCCTCTACACCCACCTGGGGCTTCACTGTGGCTGGCCTTGGGTTTGAGCCCTGCCTTTGAACACAGCAGGGGGACACAGTCCCTGCCCTGGGCTGGAAGTAGTTGATTCACGCTGCTGTAACAAAATACCATACACTGGGCAGCTTATAAACAACAGAAATGTATTTCTCATAGTTGTAGAGGCTGGGAAATCCCAAGATGAAAGTTCTGGCAGATTCAGTGTCTGTTGAAGGTCTGCTTCCTGGTTCATAGATGGCGCCGTCTCAATGTGTCCTCACTTGGTAGAAGGAGTGTCGATGAAAAGAGTCCAACTCTGTAAAATATTTGAAGAGATTTATTCCGAGCTAAATATGAGTGACCCATGGCCCATGACACAGCCCTCAGGAGGGCCTGAGAACATGCGCCCAAGGTGGTCAGGGCACAGTTTGGTTTTATACATTTTAGGAAAACATTAGTGTATTAGTCCTTTTTCATACTGCTATAAAGAATGGCTTGAGACCAGGTAATTTATAAAGAAAAGAGGTTTAATTGACTCACAGTTCAGCATGGCTGGGGAGGCCTCAGGAAACTTATAATCATGGCAGAAGGTGAAGCAAGGCACCTTCTTCACAAGGCAGCAGGAAGGAGAAGTGTTGAGCGGAGGGGGAAGAGTCCCTTATAAAACCATCAGATCTCATGAGAACTCACTCACTATCACAAGAACAGCATGGAGGGAACTATCCCTTGATTCAATTACCTCCACCTGGTTTCTCCCTTGACATGTGGGGATTATGGGGATTACTCTTCTAGATGAGATTTAGGTGGGGACACAGAACCTAACCATATCAATGAGACATCAATCTAATACACATAAATGTACATTGGTTTGGTCCAGAAAGGTAGGACAACAGGAAGGAGTGGGGGACTTCCAGGTCATAGGTAGATTCAAAAATTTTTCTGATTGGCAATTGGTTGAAAGAGTTAAGTTATTGTCTAAAGACTTAGGAATGCCTGGGATAAGATAAGGGGTTGTAGAGGCAAGGTTTTCTCATGCAGGTAAAGCCTCTAGGTAGTGGGCTTCAGAGAGAATAGATTGTAAATGTTTCTTATCAGACTTAAAGAGTCTGTTCTATCAGTAATTCCAAAAAGGAGGAGGGTATAGGGAGGCAGTCTGACCCCTCCTTTCCATCATGGCCTGAACTAGTTTTTCAGGTTAGCTTTGGAATGCCCTTGCCAAGAGGAGGGGTCTGTGCAGATGGTGCGGGGCTTAGAATTTTATTTTTGGTTTACAGGAGCAAGGCAGCTCCCTGGGCTTTTTCTACAAAGGCTCTAATCCCACTCATGAGGGCACAGCCCTCACAACCTAATCACCCCCAAAGGCCCCCCCAACCCACCTCCTAACACCATTACCTTGGGGGTTAGGATTTTAACCAGAGAGGAGGAATTTTGGGGGAACACAAACATTCAGACCTTGGCACTCAGGAAGCTGGGAAATGATACCAGGTATTGGAGAGGAAAAATGGCTTTCCTCTATCCTTCTGGTTCATTGGCTAGGCTACTAATTACATTGACATTAGACAGATTAACAGGGGGAAAAACATGTTTAATTCCATGCATACACATGGGAGACCCACAGAAACAGGAGAGTCACAGAAGGGCCAAATGATTGGAGGTTATATAGCATCCTGAGCTACAGAAAGGAACAGGGGCTTGGGGCTTCTGGGGGGTTACCTTACACAGATGAAAAGTCTCTCAGGTAATAAAGCTTGTCTAAGCAGCCTTCTTCCTAATACAGATACTTTTACTAAGGTAAACTTCCTTTATAGATGTGTTTTTTTTTTTTTATAAAAAGAAAGCTTTTCAGAGCTACCCCTGTCTGCAGTTTCTCAGAATAACCAGCTCAAAATATACCAATGAAGTGTATTTTGGGGTGGCATATTTGGGTCTCCTACAGTAATATTTTTGGGTGGTGTGTCCTGAGCCCCAACACAGAAAGACAAACGATGGGGTCTGAGGACAGGTGAGCCAGCCTGAGGGTGAGTGGCTTTGGGTGGGGGACTGGGGAAAGGTCAACTGAATGAGCTGAGGATAGGGATGGGGTATCACATATTCAGGAAATGCTGAACACCCTGGGGGAGGGAAAGAAAACCTGGGGGTTAGAAAGCATGTCTACCAGGTGGGGCATGGTGGCTCAAGCACTTTGGGAGGCCGAGGCAGGTGGATCACCTGAGGCCAGGAGTTTGAGACCAGCCTGGCCAACATGGTGAAACCCCATCTCCACTAAAAATACAAAAAAGTTAGCCAGGGGTATTGGTGTGCACCTGTAATCCTAGCTACTTAGGAGGCTGAAGCAGGAGAATCTCTTGAACTCGAAAGGCAGAGGGTTGCTGTGAGCTGAGATCACGCCACTGCACTCCAGCCTGGGCGACAGAGCAAGACTCCGTCTCAAAAAAAAAAAAAAAAAAAAAAAAAAAAAAAAAAAAAAGCATGTCTACCAGTTTTCAAGTTGAAACACTGCCTCTCCTTCTTATTCTCCTACAATTCTGCTTCCATGGGTTTTCTACATGTGGCAGTGGTTAGGAGGAGTTTTGCAACATTTCAAACAAATGAGCTTTGTGTTTGTAGGGAAGGAAGGCTATCTAAACACTGATATGTCTAGAGAGACTGGTGAAGAACTTTTCCAAATGGGCTGCCAGGCTCTGCAAGCCAGTGAGCTCAGAGAAAAGCTCATCAGGGCCAAGAGAGAACTCTTTCTATATCCTCAGGATCCAGCCCTAGGTACCCGGGACAGCATTCTCTTCCCACCCAGAGAAGCCAGGGTTCCACAGAACTGAGCCTCCTTCCAGCACTAGCGGCTGGTGGGGGTTGAGGATTACCCGTATTTCATCCAACTGGAGACACCATCCACTGTAAGCTGCACTGTTATTTTATGTACCATTATGCAAGAAAAAAAAAAGCCAAATATGGAGACACCACTTAAAAGCTGGGATGCTGTAAGAAAATAAGTCTTCCCACAGGAGTGGCAGGCTGGAAATGCGCACGTCTCAATCCTGACACTGTGGAGGGAGGAACAACAATTCTCTCCTGACAATTTGAACCACGAGCCTGTGCTCATGCAGATTTGAGGTCTGAATTCATGCTGTCAGTGTGGTCTGAAAAAGTCAAGCTGAAAATTAATTTAATGTGGTCTCAGGTTGGTGGTGACCTAGAAGTGACTGGCAGCTGTGCATCATTTCCAGGAGAACTCAGCTTCGCATTGCAGGACGCCACTCATTTTAAAACACATCCTGGTTTCAGTGATGTTAAATATGAAGAAATGTGTTGCTTAAAATTAATGATGAAGGGGGCCAGGTGCGGTGGCTCACGCCTGTAATCCCAGCACTTTGGGAGGCTGAGGTGGGTGGATCATGAGGTCAAGAGATTGAGACTATCCTGGCCAACACGGTGAAACCCCATCTCTACTAAAAATACAAAAATTAGCTGGGCATGGTGGCGCGTGCCTGTAGTCCCAGCTACTCGGGAGGCTGAGGCAGGAGAATCACTTGAATCCGGGAGGCAGAGGCTGCAGTGAGCCAAGATTCCACCACTGCACTCCAGCCTGGCAACACAGCGAGACTCCATCTCAAAAAAAAAAAAAAAATTAATGATGTATGGGCATGAAACGGATGTGACGTTGGCTGAACTTATTACTAACTTTTCCAGGTTTGTCTGGAACGTTCCTGGTTTTAGCTCTAAAAGCCATGCTCCCTATGAAATCCCTCAGTCCCAGATGAACCACAAAGGTTGATCACTCCACCCATCTGGTTGTCTTTTGGAGTTATCTCCTCTGGCCTAGGGGGCCTTGTTTTTACAGGGGTGGGATGATTGTACCGCAGCACGGACACCTGACCTGGGGGGAGAATAGGGGAATATGGAAATTTAAACTCAGGAATCTGAAGAAATGAGAACACTTTCGGAGAACACTAGGCCTGGCCTAGTTATTCAGTTTCTCTTGGGTTCCTGTGCATTGAAATAATTTCAATAAATTCTCCCTTTTATTTACGTGCTCTTTGAGGGGTGGGGTAATTTCAGTATATCTCTGGCCTTTATAGCTAATGGGGCCCTGACTGAGGTAGGGAGGCAGCCCTGAAAGGCTTTTTAGAGGCTCCAAGACTAGCCTAGGCGCCAGGCTTGCCACTTGGAAAGCTTCCAAGAGAAACCAGCGATGCCTGTCAGCGGGTCTGTGTATGTAGGGGATGGGCTCTCCTTAGGCAGATTTGTCTAAATGAAGCAGAAGTACCATGAGCTCCATCCAACACTGTTGTTATTCTCACAACCCTGTAATTAGAATGATGTGAATTATTCCCTAAACAAAGGCCTAGAGAATAGTTTAACCATCTCTGTTTTATTTGTGTACTAAATAACTGTACTTGGAGTCATGTTTGTTTCCAAGCTCCTTATCACGTGTTTTCCTTTTTCTCTTCCCTGCCTCCTATACCAGTAAACTTCTTGAGGGAAGAGTAAGGTTCTCCTGCTCATACCTGCCTCTCCCAGGGCCCAGCATAGCTGCTTGTTTTCCTGTAAGCTCCTCGAGGACAGGGAGTGGGCCTCTGTGTGTTCCTAACGCCGAGCACCATCGTGACACCTAATAAGTTCTCAGTGAGTGAGTGCTGAACTGAGCTGCCACTTGTAGACTCACCAATAAATACCTGAGCCAAGGATGACGGATTTCCTCATCCAGTCATTCACTGAGTAGTTAATGAATTTGTATTATACGCCTCCATGCAGCTTACATTCTACTGAAAGGCAGACCAAAACCTAGTAAACAGACAAATAAAGTCAGAATAAGGTATGGTAAATGCTGTGGGAAACAAAAAGGAGAAAGAGGCCTAGTTGAGATAGAATAGCCAGGGAAAAACCCCTCTGAGGAGGTGACAGCTGTGAGAAAGGAAACACTTTCTCCCCACTCTCTTAGGTTCAGTGTTGGAGGCCTGTGAATTAAACTGACAAAAGACAGATTGGCAAAACAAAAACAGAATTTTACTCACATACATACATGGGAATTCACAGAAAAATGTGGCTCAAAGAGGTGATTAGGATTGGGGGCTTATATATCTTTTTCACAGGCTCTCAGATGAAAGACCTTTGTCTTTTGGCGGTAGCTCTGACATTTTATGACACAATATACACCCTTAATAGGAGAAGGGGATGGAGAGAAAGGAGACTGGAAAACCAGCGACTTCTAGAAAAGATAAATGGGCCCTAAGGCAAATAGATATGAGGGAGATATGATAGTTTTGTGACCATGTCTATTTAGGAGAGTTTTTATAGCCTTGTGGCTTCCCCTCTGGTGAAGGGAGTCACTCTTCCATGGTTGGGAAACCTCTGGGAAGGGGATCTATGATGGTTGCATTCTTTTGGGAGGCTCTGCTTTTAGGCAGAAAGGGGAGTTTAGGAAAGAAACTCTCTTCACCATGGTATGTTCTGGATCCTTTTGCTAGAAAGTTGGTTTCTTTTTTTTTTTTTTCTTGAAACAGAGTCTTGCTCTGTCACCCAGGCTGGAGTGCAATGGCTTGTGGATGTCCTTCTGCAGCTTTCTCTGTATTCATTGTTATGGACTGAATTGTGTCCCTCCAGATTCATACGGCGAAGCCCTAAACCCCTAATTCGACTGTATTTGGAGGCAGGGCCTACAAGGAGCTAATTAAGATTTAGTGAGGTCACAAGGGTGCAGCCTAAAGCCAAAAGGACCGCTGTCCTTATAAGAAGGGAAAGAGACACGAGAGAGCTCCCACTTCTCTCCTAAGCAAGCACAAAGAAGGGGCCATATGAGGACATAGGAGAAGGCAGCTGTCTACAGGACAGGAAGAAAGGCCTCACCAGAAAGCAGCCCTGACAGCATTTTGATCTTGGACTTCCGGCCTCCAGAACTGAGAAAATAAATCTCTGTTGCTGAAGCCACCCAGTCTGTGGTATTTTGTGATGGCAGCCCTAGCCAACTAATAGACTCGGATTAGTATACACAAAGATCCGTGCACAGGGAGTGTGTCTTATTTGATGTTTATTTGAGCAAAAATGGGATTGGGCTATACTCTCTTTCCTCTGAAACTAGCCTTAGTCATTAACACTATTAAATGGCCGTCTGGCTTCTTGCTGACACCCCACATCCAGTTCCATCAGGACGTCCTGCAGGCTCCACCTTCAAAATCCATCTGGAATCAGACTGCATCCCCCCACCTCGTGGCTTCCACTTGGTGCAAGCCCAATCCTGTCTCTCTCACTTAGCTACAGCAGCCTCTACACCCCTCTCTGCTTCCACCCTTGTCCCTTCAGTCCATTCCCCTCACAGCAGCCAGAGGAACCCTTTGAAATCTGTCAGATCACGTTGCTCCTCAGCTTAGAAATCTTAACTGGTTTCCATTCTACTCAGAGTAAAAACCTATCTTAGCCAGGTGGGGGGAGTGCATTCATTGTCTGTTACTCGGGAGGCTGAGGCAGGAGGATTGCTTGAGTCCAGGAGTTCAAATGCAGCCTGAGCAACACAGTGAGACCCCATCAGTAAAAAACCAAAAAAACCAAAACCAAAGTCTTCACCAGGAGCTGCCAGGCCCTACGTGGTCTACAACATGCATATACATCCCCCGCCCCCCAACATCCCTGCTCTGCTCTCTGACCTTCCCTCCCATCCCCATCTCCTGCTACCCTGGCCTCCTTGATGCTACTAGATCACACTAAGCACATTCCCAAATCAGGGCCTTGGCACTCAGTCTGGAATGCCCGTCCTCCTGATGGCCACAATGTTCCTTCCCTCACTTCCTCCCGGGCTCCATCCCCCAACCCACCACCATTATTCTTCATAGCATTTCTCACCAGCTGATACTATATACTTATTTATTTGTTTATGGCCTGTCTTCCTCCACTAAGATGTGAAATGCATGAGCAAAAAACCTTGTCTTATTCCCTGCTATATCCCTAGCATTTAAACAGTACTAGGTTCATAGATGATGCTCAGTAAATATTCAATAAAGAAATCTCTCCAAGTCACTAAACATAAATATAACAACCTTTTCAATGGTTTTATAACATGTGCTAATATGAATAGATCACAATTCACGAAACCATCTCCCGTTAATGATGTATATGTTGTTTTTCACTTTTTGCTACATTAAGCGATGCTTGTGACAGACATTTTTACGTACCCTTCTCTATTAGTCCTTTTGTTTCTATAGGATATCTTCTCTAAAGCTGGATTGGTGTGTCAAGAGATAGGCATCGGCTGGGTGTGGTGTCTCACACCTGTAATCCCAGCACTTTGGGAGGCCGAGGTGGGCAGATCATGAAGTCAGGAGTTCGAGACCAGCCTGACTAACATGGTGAAACCCCATCTCTACTAAAAATACAAAAATTAGCCGGGCATGGTGGCGTGTGCCTGTAATCCCAGCTACTCAGGAGGGTGAGGTAGGAGAATCTCTTAAACCTGGGAGGCAGAGGTTGTGGTGAGCCAAGATCACGCCACTGGACTCCAGCTTGGTCATGACAGAGTGAGACTGCATCTCAAAAAAAGAAAAAAAAAATGAGAGAGATAGACATCAAGTTTGAATAGCCATTAGTGCTTTTCCTTAGTCACTGTTCATAGACAAATCCCCAAGCAAGGCCTCCATCATTTCCTGGAATCTGGGGCCAGTGCAATATTGCCCTTAGACCAGGCAAGAGGCCCTCTACCCTTTGGAGGGCCTTGCATGTCACAAACACAAAAATTAAATTTATTGAAGACCACATGGGAGCTTTTGTCACCTGGGATGCTGGACATATCACTGGCACAGTGTGACCCGTAATCGTGAGCACCGATGAGTGAGATGAACACCCTTAGTCTCCACATTTCCCTCCTATGTTCTCAAAACAAAAGGCTGCTGAGCCCAAACACTGCGAAGGTCTACAGGTTGTGCCCCTGCTGACACTGGAGACAGACACTGCTTTGGAGGGAGAAGGAATGTAATTGCCTCATATGTGTGTCCCTTCTCTCAGAGAGCATGAATTCAAGAGGTCCTGGCATAACCAAATATTATTTCTCAATAGTGCCAAGGGCCTATTTTTTTCTTAATTTGTCCTAATCCGTGATTCTGGAGGCATTCACAAATTAGCTTAGTGTTTACAGGAGTCGCACGTGGTGGCTGTGTCAGTTATCTATTCCTGCGTAACAAACCACACCGAAACTGGGTGGCTTAAAACGACAAAAATTTATTTGCTCATAATTCTAGGTTGGGCTCAGCTGGGCAATTTTTCTGCTGATCTCCTTTGGGGTCACTTATACAGCTGCAGTCAGCCAGCAGCTCAGCTGGCACTGGATGTTCCCAGATGGCTTTGTTTATGTGCTTGATATTTACGCTGGCTATTGGCTGGGGTGCCCTAGTTCTCCTTCAAATAGCCTTTCCTCCTTTAGGAAAGAACTGGGCATTTTCACATAATGGCAGAAATGTGTAATGTAATTAAGGCCTAGCTGTGGGAGTTGCAACATGTTACTTCTGTCTCAGTCTATGGAGCAAATGAAGCCTTAAGGGATGCCCAGATCCAGGGGTTGGAAGGATATAGACTCTATGTCTCCATGAGAAACATGGCAGAAATTATATTGCAAAGGGGCTGGATGCAGGGAGGTAAGACGTGTTGGGGACCATTATGTAACAATATACCACAGTGCCTGAGGAACATTTTGCCAGGCTGAAGAATTGATATTTTTTGGCGAGGCACAGTGGCTCACATGTGTAATTCTAGCACTTTGGGAGGCCAAGGTGGGTGAATCGCTTGAGCTCAGGAGTTCAAGACCAGCCTGGGCAACATGGTGAAACCCTGTCTCTACCAAAAATACAAAAAATTAGCCAGGTGTGATGGTGTGCACCTGTGGTCCCAGCTACTTGGGAACCTGAGGTGGGAGAATCGCTTGAGCCTGGGAGGTGGAGAGCCATGATCGCACCACTGTACTCCAGCCTGAGTGACAGAGTTAGATCCTGTCTTAAAAAAAGGAAAAAAAAAAGAATTCATATTTGTCTTACATTTATATACATGTAGTTGTAAGATATTTGAAGCATGATACAGATTCTTTGCTTTGCTTATTAAGCAGACATTAAAACCCAGAATTGTGAAGTTTTATTTATTAATTTTGAGATGGAGTCTCGCTCTGTTGCCAGGCTGGAGTGCAGTGGCACGATCTTGGCTCACTGCAACAACCTCTGCTTCCCTGGTTCAAGTGATTCTCCTGCCTCAGCCTCCCGAGTAGCTAGAACTACAGGTACGCACCACCACACCCAGCTAATTTTTGTATTTTTAGTACAGATGGGGTTTCACCATGTTGGCCAGGATGGTCTCAATCTCTTGACCTCATGATCTACCAGCCTTGGCCTCCCAAAGTTTTGGGATTACAGGCGTGAGCCACTGTGCCTGGCTGAAGTTTTATTTTTATAATAATATTGAATAAGATTTAATTATCAAGTATAAAAAAATTTAGCCTTACTTAAATAACTTTATTTTTTAAATTTACTAAATTTTTGTATTTTGCTTTGTAATATTAATAATTTGGACAGGCGTGGTGGCTCATGCCTGTAATCCCAGCACCTTGGGAGGCTAAGGTGAGAGGATCACTTGAGCCCAGGAGTTTGAGACCAGCCTGGGCAACATAGTGAGACCCCTGGTGGAGCTGGGGAAAGAGCCACAGAGAGAGCTCAAAAAATTAGCTGGGCATGGTAGTGAGCACCTGTAGTCCCAGCTACTTGGAAGGCTTAGGTGGGAAGATTGCTTAAGTTTGGGAGGTCGAGGCTACTGTTGCCCAGGATGGAGTGCAGTGAACTGTGATCATACCACTGCACTCCAGCCTGGGCAACAGAGCAAGACACTGTCTCAAAAAAAAAAAAAAAAGTTGAATGTTTTAGAAGAAAAACAACTTTATTTTGTAAACTCTTAGATCACTAGGAATGAATACAAGTTGAGTTGGGATCAATTTAGAAAATATGACAGTGGAGCTCAAAAAAAAAAAAAAGCCAAAAAAGGAAAAGTATTCAGAAGCGCATCAGCTTAAATTTTTTAAAACTGGCAACACTGAAAATGAACAGTTTTCTGTTGAGGTCTCTCATAAAATTTGTAAGCAAGAGAACTTCACAAACTCTTTTTCTTTTCCCTTCCCTCCTTCCCTCCCTCCCTCCCTCCCTGCCTCCCTCCCTCCCTTCCTTCCTTCCATTTTTGAGCCAGGGTCTTGCTCTATTGCCCAGGCTAGAGTACCGTGGCATTATCATAGCTCACTGCAGCCTGGA
Organism: Homo sapiens; assembly: GCF_000001405.40. Taxonomy (NCBI): domain Eukaryota; kingdom Metazoa; phylum Chordata; class Mammalia; order Primates; family Hominidae; genus Homo; species Homo sapiens. The sequence goes on from NC_000002.12 coordinate 62,340,237, forward strand.
ACTCCTGGGCTCAAGCATATCTCCTGCCTCAGCCTCCCAAGCTAAGACTACAAATGCATACACCTCACATGGCTAATTTTTTATCTTTTGTAGAGATGAGGTCCAGCTATGTTGCCCAGTCTGGTCTTCAGCTCCTGGCCTCAAGTGATTCTGCTGCTGCCCAGGCTGGAGTGCAGTGAGCTGTCATCACAGCCTCCTAAAGTGTTGGGATTACAGGTGCGAGTCACAATGCCCAGCCACAGATTCTTTTTTAATGAGATTTTAATGCTGATGAAACTGTAAAAATAAGCAAGAAAATTATTCTCATTAAATTCATAACTTGAAGAGGTTGAATGCAATTCCTGCAACTTCTTTTTTTTTTTTTTTTTGAGACAGAGTCTCGCTGGAGTGCAGTGGTGCGATCTCGGCTCACTGCAACCTCCCCTCCTGGGTTCAAGCAATTCTCCTGCCTCAGCCTCCCAAGTAGCTGGGATTACAGGCGCCCGCCACCATGCCACCTAATTTTTGTATTTTTAGTAGAGACGAGGGTTTCTCCATGTTGGTCAGGCTGGTCTCGAACTCCTGACCTCAGGTGATCCACCCACCTCAGCCTCCAAAAGTGTTAGGCCTGGCCGCAACTTCATATTTTTTTTTTTACCAAATGAGGATCTGATTACAGATCCAAAGAATAAGAAGGTATGTGGCCTCTGTTTGCACTTGCAAGTGTTGGGGGCAATGAAACTGTGTCAATCAGCTTCCTTCTCCCCAGAGTCTGTTTTCAGGTTAGGCAGGAGAACAGGGCAGAGTCATTCCCAGAAGCCTGGGCCTTGTCAGATTCTTCAGAAGAGACGGCCTCCTGGGACACTCTGGATCCCTGGCAGAGAGCTCAACCCTGACAGCCTCCCTGAGTCATACCAGAGCAGTCACTGGGTCCTGATGTCCCTGTTTCAGATGCTCTGCTCCCTGCCCCCGCATCTCTGGAGTCATCGGGCTGCTGCATGCCCATCAACCTGAGTAGTTGCAGGCTATTGGTGTCATTTCTGGAAAAGAAGGCAGCTGCTTCTCTGTTTGTTTTTCTCTTCCAACACAGTGCCGTATTTACCTACAGAACCACCACAAAGTGACAGCCCTGGCAGATCTGCTACCATTCAGCAGCTGCCTCAAGTCACCCAACATAGTGTTTGAGTCTCCAGTGAGAGGGAGGGAGACAAAGGCTGCATTCCACAGACCTGGTGATGGAGGCCCAGAGGAGAGAAGTGATTTCCTCAAGGTCACCCTGCTTCTCGGTAGCAGACCCAGGATTCTCAATCTTTAGTTCAGATGTTTCCCATTGTATGAATTAGGAATACTGAACTGTCTTCACTTTTTGTTTGTTTGTTTGTCTTTGAGACAGGGTCTCACTCCCCTTGCCCAGGCTAGATTGCAGTGGTGCAATCACAGCTCACTGCAGCCTCAACTTTCTGGGCTTAGGTGATTTTCCCTTCTCAGCCTCCTGGGTATCTGGGACTACAGGTGTGTGCCACCATGCCTGGCTCATTTTTTGTATTTTAGTAGAGATGGGGTTTCGCTATGTTGCTCAGGCTGGTCTTGAACTCCTGGGCTCAAGTGATCCACCTGCCTTGGTCTCCCAAAGTGCTGGGATTACAGGCGTGAGCCACATCTTGGTTAGAAGTTTGTTCTTTTGTTTTTTTGCCCTCCTTTGTAAGACAGCCCTATCCTGATAAATTATCAGGATACAGGCTTAGGGATTGGGTGAGTTTACCAATGAGATTGCAAGAATGCTAATTAAATTATCCCTTTCCCAGGAGCCTCTGCTTCCTGAGGCTGCCCCACTCCCAGCCAGCAAATGCAAATGGACTTAACTGCAGTAAACTTTTGTTTACTTGGGGATGTTGGTTACATTTTCAACTGCAAAGATTTATAACCAAAGTTAAGGGGTTATAAAAAGACCTCAGTGTCCTATTTATTATAACGTGAAAAGTAAATATCCAGACTACTTTATTTGCAATAGCAAAAGTTTGGAAATAACTAACTTGCCCATTAAAATAGGATTGATGAAATGACTTCTAGTACATCCACAGGACAGCATACTATGGAGATATGAAAAAGGAATGATACAGAAGCTTTCCTTTTTACTTTTAAGTTATATTTTTTGCATAATAATCTACAAATAGAATACTGTATAATGAAAAGCCTCCCTTCTATTCTGTCTCCCAGCCACCAAGTTCACCTTCTGACAGGCAACCAGCATGACCTATTTCTTCTGTAACCTTTTAAAGACATTTCATTCACATAGAAGCATTTATAAGGATAGTCAGCCCAGTATTTTGAGGCTGGGCTCAAATGCCTCTGGCTTTTTTCATTTACTGTTTTCATTTGTTCAGGAAACACTTACCGAGCACCTACTATGTGTCAAGCACTCTTTTAGGCATTTGGAATTTGGTAGTGAACAAAACAAATACATTTCTTGCCCTCCTGGAGCTTACATTTAAAAAAATTTTTTTTTTTTCCAAGACAAGGTCTTGCTCTGTCACCCAGGCTGGAGTGCAGTGATGTGAACACTGCTTGCTTCAGCCTCGGCCTCCTGGGCTCAAGTGATCCTTCTGCCTCAGCCTTCCAAGTAGGTGGGACTACAGGCACCCACCACTACCCCCAGCCAGTTTTTAAATTTTCTGTAGAGACGGGGTCTCACCATGTTGCCCAGGCTGGTCTCAAACTCCTGGGCTCAAGCAATCCTCCCTTCTTGCCCTCCCAAAGTGCTAGCATTACAAGTGAGCCACTGAGCTGGCCACACTTACATTTTTGTGGGATATAAATAAACAAGTGATATATAGTGATAAGTGGTAAGTGCTATGGAGCAAAACAGGGTAAGGGGATAGATGTGTGTGCATGTATGCATGTGTGTGTGGCGAGGGTGGTGGTGAATGGGATGTGGATATTTTATGATAGGGTGGTGTGGAAGACCAGAATATGCCACCCCAAAATATGAAGGATTTTTGAGCTAAAGACAATTAAGAAGAAGCAGATACAGGAAAGCTCTCTGCCCTCCTTCTATTTGCCTAAAAGCAGGACATAGATTTACAAAGGCAAAAGATATCCTACCCTGCTACCCTTCTTCCAGGGAAAACAAAGATTAGCACTGAAGGTCTAACTTTGGACCCTTATCAGCCTGGAGATGTCACCAGAGGAAGCCACATGAACAGGCCTTACTAGCCAGGCTGTTTCTGCCATTTATTGGCTTTCTCACAAGTTGCTGCCCCTAGAGACTCAAAATCCTTTTCCTTTGCCTTGTCACTTCTCTAAATATTCATTGTTCTTTGTTGACAATGCCACATAAGCTAGAATTCAAAGCCACCTTTTTGAGAACTACTCATTCTCTGGGTGTGTTCCATGTATACATTAAATATACATGTTAAACTTCAGTTTGTTTTTATCTCATCTTTTGCTACAAGGGTCTTTTCCAATCAAAAACCTATGAGGGTTGAAGAAAAAATTATTTTTATTCTCCTATAGTGGTCAGTGAAAGATTTGCCAAGGCCTGAAGAAAGTGAGAGAGTGAGCCAGGTTTCTTCTGCTTTGAATCCAGATATCTGGATTTGAACCTTCAAAGCCTTCAAACCCTCCACGTGGAGCGGAAGGAACTTGCTCTGAGGAACAAAGCAGTTATGGTTGAAACTGAGTGAATATATCTTGGAGATCTTCTGTATCATGAGAACTTGCTCATTCTTTTTACACCTGCATCTTATTCCATTGTATGTGTGCACCACGGCTGAATTAAGCAGGCTGTTACTAATGGAGATTTCTAAGACATCTGTTCTTTTGTGATTGCAAACAATATTGCAGTGAGTAACCTTATCAGGTGGTTCTTTGCAATATGCAAATTTCTGTGGAATTAATTCCCAGAAGTGGAATTGCTAGGTCAAAGGTATGTGTGCCTGTATTTTCATATAGATTTTGCCAAACTGTAACTAACAAAGAAGGTGAACTATTTTTGGTCTGCTGCCAACTATATATTGATTTTTTTTTTTTTTATTTGAGACAGAGTTTTGCTCTTGTTGCCCAGGCTGGAGTGCAATGGCGCAAACTTGGCTCACTGCAACCTCCGCCTTCTGGGTTCAAGCAATTCTCCTGCCTCAGCCTCTCGAGTAGGTGGGATTACAGGCCCCCGCCACCATGCCCGGCTAATTTTTTGTATTTCTAGTAGAGATGGGGTTTCACCATGTTGGCCAGGCTGGTCTCGAACTCCTGGCCTCAAGTGATCTGCCCGTCTCAGTCTCCCAAAGTGCTGGGATTACAAACATGAGCCACCGCACCTGGCCAATTCATTATTCTTTAAGTAAATACGTATTGAGCACCTACCATGAACCAGGTACTAGTCTAAATGCTGACAGTTGAGAATTGGAACAGAAACCACAACTTGCCAAGCATATCCTGACTCACAGAACAGATTGACTGTGCCAGACCAGTCATGCCAGAAGCTATGACGTGCTTCATACACTATCAAAACTCAATACTCAACACCGATTTGTTCAGACCCATGATCCCAAGGTGAGACCACTGACAATTCCATTAATTATCTAGTTTTCAAAATCTAACCAATCCTTGCAAAGAGCACCCTCTAAATAACATCTGGGACAAAATATACCCATTAGTGAAGACCATTTGACTTTGGGTAGTGCAATAGGAAGAACATTCATTAATGAGAAAGGTCTCAAAAAAGAGGAAACAAACTTGCATTTTTTTTTTTTTTTTTGAGATGGAATCTCGCTCTTTCACCCAGGCTGGAGTGTAGTGGTGCCATCTTGGCTCACTGCAACCTCTGCCTCCTGGGTTCAACTGATTCTCTTGCCTCAGTCTCCCGAGTAGCTGGGACTACAGGCGCCCACCAGCATGCCCAGCTGATTTTCGTATTTTTAGTAGGGATGGGGTTTCAGCATGTTGGCCAGGCTGGTCTCAAACTCCTGACCTGAGGTGATCCACCCACCCGGACTTCCCAAAATGGTGGGATTACAGGCATGAGCCACTGTGCCCAGCCCAAACTTGCATTTTGATAAAACAAGGGTGTCATTGAGGAAGAGTGGAGGCAAGTCTCATCTTGGACATGTCAGGTGAGGTGGTCCTTTGTAGTTAGCCTTTTCTCTGAACATAAGGGTGGTGGGATTTCCTAACCATTAAAAAGGTGCTATCTCGGCCGGGCATGGTGGCTCATGCCTGTAATCCCAGCACTTTGGGAGGCCTAGGCAGGCAGATCACGAGGTCAGGAGTTCGAGACCAGCCTGGCCAACATGCTGAAACCTTGTCTCTACTAAAAACACAAAAAAAATTAGTCGAGTATGGTGGTACGCTCCTGTAGTTCCAGCTACTCGGGAGGCTGAGGCAGGAGAATCGCTTGAACCTGGGAGGGGGAGGTTGCAGTGAGCCTAGATCGCACTACTGCACTCCGGCCTGGCAACAGAGCAAGATTCTGCCTCAAAAAAAAAAAAAAAAAAAGGTGCTATATAGCTTTGGGCTTTGGAGTTTTTTTTTTTTTAATGACAGCTTGACATATGATTCACATATTATACAATTAACTCATTTAGAGTGTACAATTCAATGGTTTTTGGTATATTCTTGGTAAATTTATGCGACCATCACTAGGATTAATTGTAGAACTTTTTTCTTTTGTGTCTTTCTTTCTTTTTTTTTTTTTTTTTTTTAGACAGAGTCTGCAACATGTGCCTCCCGAGTTCATGCCATTCTCCTGCCTCAGTCTCCGGAGTAGCTGGGATTACAGGTGCCCGCCACCACGCCTGGCTGATTTTTGTATTTTTAGTAGAGACAGGGTTTCACCATGTTGGCCAGGCTGGTCTCAAACTGCTGACCTCATGATCTGCCTGCCTTGGCCTCCCAAAGTGCTGGGAATACAGATGTGAGCCACTGCGCCCGGCCAATTGTAGAACATTTTCATTACCCTCAAAAGAAACCTCATACCAATTAACTGTCATTTTCCATTTTCCCATTGCCTATTCCTAGGCAATTGCTAATCTGTTCTTGCCTCTATAGATTTGCCTCTTCTGGACATTTCATATAAATTGAATTATTCATTATGTGATCATCTTTTGTGACTGATTTCTTTCACTTTGCATAATGTTGTCAAGGTCTATCCATTCTAGCATGCATCAATACTTCATTTCTTTTTATTGCTGAATTATACTCCATTGTATACCATATTTTGTTTATCCATTCATCAGTTGGTGGACATTTGGGTTGTTTCTACTTTTTCGTTATAATGAATAATATTGCTAATAAACATTCAGGTAAAAATTTTTGTGTGAACATATGTTTTCAATTCTTTTGGCCATGGACCTAGGAGTGGAATTGATAGATCCAATAGTAACTCTATGTTTAATCTTTTGAGGAACTGCCGAACTATTTTCCAAAGCAGCTGCACCATTTTACATTTCCACCAGCAATATGAGGGTTGCAATTTCTCCATATTTTTTGCCAACACTTGGGTTTTTAAACATTTTTTATTACAGTGTAGGGGCAGAAAGGTGTGATACTTTTCCTCACCCATCATAAGGCACATGGCCAACACTCTGATAACAAAAGACAGGTTAACAAGAGAAAAGCATAACAAATTTATTTAATCAAAGTTTTATGTGACACAGGAGCCTTCAGAAATGAAGGCCCAACAACTTAGGGAAAACCGTTTATTTTTTGCTTAGGTTTGATTAAGAAGGGACTGCCTTATAGAAATGTGATTGGACAAAGAGGTACAAGTGAATAGGAATAGACTGAGGGGGAAAACCCAGCAAGGCCTGTCCAGATTCATCTTGGCCTCTCTGTGGAGCATCACTCTACCCTTCCCAGGTGCGGGACAAGACTCCCCTGAAATAAGGGCCTTCACGGGAGAAGGGAGAGAGTGACCTTTCTAGGTTTTATGGCTTGCTTTTGGAGAGAGGGTCTCTGGTTTCTATGACTCACCTTAGAAGAATTCTTATTTCTATGAGGAGAAAGAAGGGTGGGAGACAGGAGGACGGGAGAAGGTCAGAGAGATCTTGCTTCTGAGATCCTTCCAAGCTCTTTTAGTTCAAAGTACTTGCCATGCTGTTGAGACTCAGAAAACAATACCCCAAGAAGAAGACCTTAGCAGTGAAGGGGCATTGTTGTCTGGGGTAAATACCTAGGGTCTGTCGTCTGGCGTCAAGAAGATAAAGGACACAGACACACACGAAGAGTGAGTTTAGGAGCAGAGGTTTAACAGGCAAAAGAAAGAGAAGGGAGAGCAGCTCTTTCTCTTGTGAGGAAGAGGGGACATCCGAAAGGGAAAAGTCGGCCCATGGGGGACTAAGCCAGATTTTATAGGCAGGCTTGAGGAGGTGGTGTCTGATTTACGTAGGGCCCACAGATTGGTTGGACCAGGTGTGACGTTTGCATAGCTTGAGGGGAAGGCTGGTCACCCCACCCTTATTTTATTATGCAAATGAAGTCTTTCCCTGGCTGGTGCCATATTGTCTTTTCCTTACTGTACACATGGTTTGGCAAAGAGAAGCCGCCATTTTGAACATGGCTAGTCCCAGGTAGCCTTTTCCTATTAGCACGACTGCTAGCATTCACCTGTACAAGCTTCCAGCTTGTCTATGTCTGCAGCTCGATTTTACAGGTTGCTCTTCGTTAGAAAAGAGAATGATTTGGGGGCTGCTTTTCATTAAAAGGAAAACCTTACTGTGGTCTCCTGTACCCTCACTATCTACCTAAGTAATTTCTTCTTAACTCCTGTATCAGCAGCAGCCTCAGAAACAAAAAGTTTCCTCTGACCTTCTCATGCTCTCCTGTCTCTCAGTCCCATTCTCCCCAGAGGCCAGCCATAGAAACTAGAATCTCTCTTCCCCAAGGCAGGTCATCGAAACCAGAACCCTTTTTCCCCAGAGCTAGTCATAAAACCTAAAAATATTACTCTAATTTACTCCAATTATCACCAAAATAATTAGATAATATGTAAATTATCTAAATATTACTCTAATTTCCTCCACCTTTCCATGTAAAAACTGGACATAAAGAAATTATCTGGGCCAGGTGTGGTGGCTAACACCTATAATCCAAGCAGTTTAGGAGGCTGAGGTAGGAGGATTCCTTGAGGCCAGGAGTTCAAGACCAGCCTGGGCAACATAACAAGACCCCATCTCTATTTTAAAAATTAAAATAAAATAAGAAATTACCCTGACCTACCTTGTTTGACTGTAGGTCATAAGAGTCCCTTTCCAGACAGGACTCTGTCTCATACTCAGAAGGAAGGAATAAGTGGTCAGAGGCCAAGAAAAATCTAGACAGAGAGGCCTTGATGGGTTTTCCCACTTATTTAGATCATACCTTCTTGTCCAATCATATTTCTATACAGCTGTCCATACTTTTTTAAATCTAAGCATAAAAATTATAATTGTCCTTGTATCTTTGGGTCTTCATGCTAACAGCTCCCATGTAGACATGTTAAATAAATGTGCATGCCTTTTCTCCTATTAATCTGCCTCATATCAGTGATTTTTTGGTGAATCTTCAGAGGGCCAAGGGAAACCTTCAAAGGGCCAATGGGTTCCCCTTGGCCCCTACAATGCTAAAGCACCATAATTGGAGATATTGTGTTCTGAGCCCCAATAATAGCTATTCTAGTGGGCACGAAATGAGATCTCATTGTGGTTTTTCTGGGTTTTGTTATTTAAGGTAAAATGTCACATGAAGTCTTATACTATCTATCCTCCACCATAACCACCACACAGATTGTCTCTCATGGTAGCCTTTAATCTCCCTCTGGGAAACACACCTTTCTTCTTTTTGGCTTTGCTTTTCTTGCTTCTGTTTTTCACTGCAAGTCATCAATTTCTGATGAAATACACTCATCCCAAACTGAGGCTTGAAAAAACTGGTGTAATATAGTTACTTTTCATACTGTGTAATTTTTGTCTTTAGTAACTTTCCAAACTCTGAAGTTATCTCTTAAAGAGGTTCGTAGCTATCTATTTCATAAACTGTGTTATTAACACCAAAGGTTTATTTTGCTAATTCGAGATCTGACTTCTTCTGTGATTTCTTTAGTTGCGATTTATCTGCTGTTTTTTCTGGTGTTAGCACTTTAGGTTTTTCACGTTCTTCTAACTTCTTCTTGATTTCTTATTATCTTTTCTTCTGTTGCCGTTCTTTGTCTTTTATTGAAGCCATCCTTACAGGGTTAACAAGAATTTTGGCCAGAAATATAGTTATAATTAAGCATTATCGGGTGTGGTGGTTCATGTCTGTAATCCCAGCACTTTGGTGAAGCTAAGGCAAGTGGATCACCTGAGGTCAGGAGTTCGAGACCAGCCTGGCCAACATAGTGAAACCCTGTCTGCACTAAAAAAATACAAAAATTAGCCGGGTGCGATGGCGGGCACCTGTAATCCCAGCTGCTTGGGAGGATGAGACAGGAGAATCATTTGAACCTGGGAGGTGGAGGTTGCAGTGAGCCGAGACTGTACCATTGCACTCTAGCCTGGGCAACAAGATTGAAACTCAGTCTCAAAAAAAAAAAAAAATTAAGCATTAATCAGGCTGTGCTTTGACTCACTTCTTTGTAACCTTAAGTCACTTATGTAGCACTAGACGCTTACCATTTACATCCCCAATGTTCCTTTTCAGAGGTTAAGACTTTTGTTTAAAAACTGCTTTAGCAGATTCTGAATTCCAGCAAAACAATGATGCCAACCAATTTAAAGACCCCCACGGAGGAACTGAATCAGCACAATAATACACTCTCCTTACCTCCGTGTCTCATCACTTCACCCTGCATTCAGCCAAACAATCTCCACACTTGGGCCCACTCCAAAATCCTTAAAAACCCTAGCCCCAAACTCCTCAGGGAGATTTGAGATCCCATTTGGCTGTCCTATGATTAAACCTCTTCCTCTGCTGCAACCTGGTGTGTCGGCATACTGACTTGCCATGCGCACTGGGCGATGACTTTATTAAGGTTAGAGTATCTTCTCTGTCATTTTTTTCTTTTCTGAAAATTTTACTTCTTTTTTTTTTGAGACAGGGTCTTACTCTGTCGCCCAGGCCAGAGTGCAGTGGCACCATCTCGGCTCACTGCAGCCTTGACCTCCTAGGCTCAAGTGATCCTCCTGGGCTCAAGTGATCAATCCTTCCATCTCAGCCTCCCGAGTAGCTGGGACCATAGGTGTGCACCACCACACCCGGCTAATATTTGTATTTTTGTAGAGACAGGATTTTGCCATGTTGTCTAGGATGGTCTTGAACTCCTGGGCTCAAGCAATCCTCCCGCCTTGGCCTCCCAACGTGCTAGGATTACAGGCACGAGCTACCATGCCTGGCCTGAAATTTTTACTTCTGGTTTTGCTTCTGCTTCCTTCCTTCCCTGCCCGACACATCATCATCATCCCAGTTATCCTTGATGTCTCCATCTTCTCCTTCCCAGTGGTCCCCTACCTTGTAGTGCCAGTGCCCTCCACACTCCACAGAGAATGAGTCCATGTCCCAAGAGTCCAAGTCCTCCCACCTATCATCACTGCTGCCATCTGAAGCCAGGTATGGCTGGGCCTGAAGGGAAGAGTTAGCGCAGCAGAGGTGAGAGGTAAGATGCTGGATTTGCTCTCGTTGGCTGGCAAGGGCCCTCAATGGTTGTGACTGGCATTTCCCTGATGGCTAGTGATGTTCGGCGGCTTTTCATATGCTTGTTTATTATTTTTTAAGTTGCATTGTCTCTTTTGATGAATAAGGTTATGCATCCTTGTATATGTTTAAGAGCCCTCTGTATGTTATTTTCTATGAATTGTTTATATCTTTTATTTGGTTTTCTTTTGGGATGTTGTTTCTTTTTCTTGTTTTCTTTCTTCCTTTCTTGGCCTTTTTGAAGAACTAACTCATAGATTTATTTATTAGTGCTAATTTTTATGTTTTGTAATTCATTTGTTTATCCTTTATTAATTTCTTCCTCTTGCTTTCCTTAGGAACGATTTTCTTCCCTTCCCCCTATAACTTTCTTGAGTTTTTTTGTTAAATGAATTTTATTATTTTGATTAAAATTATTTTTAACAGCCGGGTGTGGCAGCTCATGCCTGTAATCCCAGCACCTTGGGAGGCTGAGGTGGGCGAATCATGAGGTCAGGAGATCAAGACCATCCTGGCTAACATGGTGAAACCCCATCTCTACTAAAAATACAAAAAAATTAGCAGGGTGTGGTGGCACATGCCTGTAGTCCCAGCTACTTGGGAGGCTGAGGAAGGAGAATCACTTAAACCCAGGAGGCAGAGGTTGCAGTGAGCTGAGATCATGCCACTGCACTCCAGCCTGGGCGACAGAGTGAGACTCCATCTCAAAGAAAAAAACGTATTTTTAACATAGTTTTTCTTCTCTACGAACTGTTTTAGCTATAGTCTATGGGCTCTGATATATACGGTTTTTACTAACATTATTGTCTACTTAGGGGAGAAAAAAGCTTTTCCTCAGTTTTAGTACCTGGCAACCTGTCAAGAGTCACATTCACAGGAGAAAAAGCACACAACCATTTTTTTTTTTTTTTTTTGAGATGGAGTCTCGCTCAGTCACCCAGGCTGGAGTGCGGTGGCACGATCTCGGCTCACTGCAAGCTCCACCTCCCGGGTTCACGCCATTCTCCTGTCTCAGCCTCCCGAGTAGCTGGGACTACAGGCACCTGCCACTACGCCCGGCTAATTTTTTTGTATTTTTAGTAGAGACAGGGTTTCACTGTGTCAGCCAGGATGGTCTCGATCTCCTGACCTTGTGATCCACCCGCCTCAGCCTCCCAAAGTGCTAGGATTACAGGTGTGAGCAACTGCGCCCAGCCAAGGCATACAACTTTATCATGTTAATAATTGTACATGCACCAGGCTTCACAGAAAACAAGTGAAAAATCCAAAGAGATGATTGGATTTGAAGGCATATATACCATTTTAACATAAAGTGATAAACTATGGAGAAATGACTAGAAAAGAAAAAGAAGCCTTGGGCTTCTAAGGGGTTAAATTGTAGGAAGGTGATGAGAAAAATTCTGGGGGAAACTAATGGCAGATAAGGGTTGTTTATGCAGACTCATTTAGTGCTATCTCTAGAGATAACATTAATTTTCCATTCTCCTCTTCCTGGTATGGGTGGGGGGACCTTTACAAATGGGAATTTTCTTTGCAGAAAGGAAATGTATGTCCTGCTTGTAGTCAGATAGGAGGAAGGCAGAGGGCTCTTCCTGTGTCTGCTGCTTCAGCTCAAAAATAATCCTTATACCAAAGTTATATATTTTGAGGTACCATATCTGATCTCCTTCACTGAGATATTTTATACTTTCTTCTTTTTCTCTTCCTCCTTCTTTTTCCTTTTTGGACCTAGTGTTAAGTCAGGGAGAGTTATAAAAGTCCAAGTGGTAGGCCAGGCACTGTGGCTTACACCTGTAATCCTAGCACTTTGGGAGACTGAGGCGGGCGGATCACGAGGACAGGAGATTGAGACCATCCTGGCTAACATGGTGAAACCCTGTCTCTACTAAAAATACAAAAAATTAGCCAGGTGTGGTGGCAGGCGCGTGTAATCCCAGCTACTCAGGAGGCTTGAGATAGGAGAATCGCTTGAACCTGGGAGGTGGAGGTTGCAGTGAGCCGAGGTCCCGCCATTGCACTCCAGCCTGGGTGACAGAGCGAGACTCTGTCTCAAAAAGGAAAAAAAAAAAAGTCTAAGTGGTAAAGTTTGTTTGTTTTCTGGTTCTGTAATAATTTTTGTTTTATTACATCATGATTAGAGAATGGTGTCTCAGGCCAGGCATGATGGCTCATGCCTGTAATCCCAGTACTTTGGGAGGCCAAGGCAGGGGGATCACTCAAGCTCAGGAGTTTGAGACCAGCCTAGGCAACACAGTTAGACCTCACCTTTACTAAAAATAAAAAAATTATCGAGGTGCGTATGCCGGCACACACCTGTAGTCTCGGCTACTGAAGAGGCTGAGGTGGGAGGATCACTTCAGCCTGGGACTTTGAGGTTGTAGTGAGCTATCATCACCAATGCACTCCAGCCTGGGTGAAAGAGTAAGACCCTAGAGAAAAAGAGAGAGACAGAGAGTAGGGAGAGGGAGAGAGAGGTGTCTTTATTCCTTTTGCAATGTAACTACTTTTGGGATTTATTGAAGTTTTTGTGACATAATTACTGTGCAGTCAATTAATTTTGAAAACGTTCCATAGATACCTCACAATAAAATAAGTTTTTAGTCTTTAGATTATAAATTTGATATATAAAAAGGAGCTCTATTGAAAAAATATGTTATTTGGGTCTACCTTATGACCATGGCCTAAAAGAGAGGTAAATTAAACTCCCTAACTGGTATGTTTCTATAAAAAGCAGTACAAAATTGCTTTGTATAGTCTTAATATTAATTAGATAATTATTAATTAGTGGTAATGTAACCACAAAACAGATTCACCTTGCCTGCTGCCAAGTATTATTTGTTACTTAGATACTAATAAGAATTAATAAAAATATCAATTGTGTGAATTTCCCAACCTTATTATTAAAGAACTATTGTCTCATTTAATGATTTTTCTTTTTTAACAGAATTCACCCAAGTCTAGTATTAAGATCAGAATCTCTGCTAAACTTTTTCTTTTTTTTGAGATGGAGTCTCACTCTGTCACGCAGGCTGGAGTGCAGTGGCGTGATCTTGGCTCACTGCAACCCCTGCCTCCCAGGTTCAAGCGATTCTCCTTCCTCAGCCTCCCAAGTAGCTGGGACTACAGGTGCGTGCCACCATGCCAGGCTAAGTTTTTTTTGTATTTTTAGTAGAGATGGGGTTTCACTGTGTTAGCCAGAATGATCTCAATCTCCTGACCTCGTGATCAGCCTACCTCGACCTCCCAAAGTGCTGGGATTACAGGCGTGAGCCACTGTGCTCCGCCTAATCGCCGCTAACCTTTTACGCTTGCTTGGTAAGAACACATTTTTCTCAGCCTTTTGTATTCAAACTTTCTTTTTTTCTTTTTCTTTCTTTTTTTTTTTTTTTTTGGAGACAGGGTCTCACTCTGTCACCCAGGCTGGAGTACAGCGGTGCCAGTTTGGCTCACTGCAACCTCCACCTCCCAGGTTCAAGCTATTCTCCTGCTTCAGCCTCTTGAGTAGCTGGGATTACAAGTGTGCGCCACTACACCTGGCTAATTTTTGTATTTTTAGTAGAGACGGGTTTTGCCTTGTTGGCTAGGGTGGTCTTGAACTCCTGGCCTCAGATGATCCACCTGCCTCGGCCTCCCAAAGTGCTGGGATTACAGGGGTGAGCCACTGCACCTGGCCACAACCTTTCTTAATCATTTTGTTTTATCATTAGGTTTTACTTTGTGATTAAATATGAGAATGTCTTTCAGCAGGTGATTGTCATATCAACAAGCAAGTCATCTTACTTGTTGATATGACAATTATGTGTTGGTCTATTATCTTTGCTTTATTATTGTTTGTGTTTTTAGTGATAATTTGAAAGGTGTGTATTATTTTTGTTCTAGTAGCTACCTTTATCACTTTTTTAAGAAATAATTTTTAGAAAACGATAAAGACATAACCCTCATGTAGATACAAGAATGAACATGTGTTGAAGATTTTATTTTTCTCCTTAATTAGCAAGGGAACCAGTCAGGAATGATAACTCTTTCAAAGGAAAAAGTCAAAGGAACACAAATTTAAATGGACAAAGAGATTGAATTACAAATGGAGGCAAACTGGTTTTTCCACAAGGGAAAGAACTCAAAGGAAACTCTCCTAGGTAATACAGTTTGCATATCTATCAGTCACCTACGATTTACAAAGAGATGCAAAATAGCTCAAAGACAATGAACAGGACCAAAAAATGCAGTTTTTCATTGAAGTACAAAATTGCTTCTTATAGTCTTAATATTAATTAGATAATTACTAATTAGTGATAATGTAACCGCCCAACAGGTTCACCTTGCCCGCTGCCTAGATGGAGCTGATGTATCAAGACAGGGGCACTGCAAAAGAGAAAGAGTTTAATTCATGCAGAGCCAGCTGTACGGGAGACTGGAATTTTATTATTATTCAAATCAGTCTCCCTGAAATTCGAGGATGGCGGATTTTAGGATAATGTGATAGGCAGGGGCCAGTGAATCAGGAGTACTGATTGGTTGGGTCGGAGATGAAATCATAAGGAGTCAAAGCTGTCCTCTTGTGCTGAGTCAGTTCCTGGGTGGGGGCCACAAGACCAGATGAGCCAGTTTTTTGATCTGGGTGATGCCAGCTGATCCATCAAGTGCAAAATATCTCAAGCGCTGATCTTAGGTTTTACAATAGTGATATCATCCCCAGGAGGGCCAAAATCTTTCAGCCTCCATCTGCGTGACTCCTAAACCATAATTTCTAATCTTGTGGTTAATTTGTTAGTCCTGCAAAGGCAGTCTAGTCCCCAGGTCAGAAGGGGAAGGGCATTGTCCTTGTTTGGGAAGGGACATCATCCTTGTTTCAAAGTTAAACTATAAACTAAGTTACTCCCAAAGTTAGTTTGGCTTATGCCAAGGAATGAACAAGGACAGTTTGGAGGTTAGAACCAAGATGGAGTTGGTTAAGTCAGATCTCTTTTACTGTAATAATTTTCTCAGTTATAATTTTGCAACTACAGTTTCAGTAATACTCTTAATCTTCTGTTTCTTTAGACATATCTATCAATTTTGTTTATAGGATGAGCAGCTAATTCCAGTTTCCCTGGGAATTTCCTGGCTTCCACACTGAAAGTCTCTCATCGTGGGAAACCCCTCAATCGATGGAAAACCAGGACCGTTGGTCACTGAAATTTTCTACTATAAGAAATGATAGAATTATTGTAGTTCTACTTTGTTCCATTTTTTTTTTTTTTTTTTGAGATGGAGTCTTGCTCTGTTGCCCAGGCTGGAGTGTAATGGTATGATCTCGGCTCACTGCAACCTCTGCCTCCCGGTTTCAAGCGATTCTCCTGCCTCAGCCTGCTGAGTAGCTTGGATTACAGGTGCCCACCACCACGCCCAGCAAATTTTTGTATTTTTAGTAGAGACGGGGTTTCATCATGTTGGTCAGGCTGGTCTTGAACTCTTGACCTCAAGTGATCCACCCGCCTTGACCTCCCAAAGTGCTGGGATTACAGGCGTGAGCCATCATGCCTGGCTCCACTTTTTTCCTGAGGAAGTTTTTATTATTTATTTATTTTAAAGATAGGGTGTTGCTCTGTCACCCAGGATGGAGTGGAGTGGTGCAATCACGACTCACTGCAGCCTTGACCTCCCGGGCTCAAGTGATCCTCCTGCCTCAGCCTCCCAAGTAGCTGGGACTACAGGTGCATACCACTAAGCTCAGATAAATTTTTTATTTTTTGTAGAGATGAGATCTCCCTAAGTTACCCAGGCTGGTCTTGAACTCCAGGGCTCAAGTGGTCCTCCCACCTCAGCCTCCCAATGTGCTGGGGTTATAGGAGTGAGTCACTGTGTCTGGCCATGCCCAGCTAATTAAAAAAAATTCTTTTACAGAAGGTGTCTCACTGTGTTGCCTAGGCTGATCCAGAACTCCTGGCCTTAAGTGATCGTCTCTCAGCATCAGAAGCTTTTTTTTAGATAATAGTGGTACAAAACCTTGACTATACCTGAATAAGTTTTTTAAAATTCGGATGCTTGGGGCCCAACCCCAGAAATTCTAATTTAATTGGTCTAGGATATGGCTTGGCCATCTAGGATTTTAAAAGTCTACTCAGGTAGCTCTAATGTTCAGGCAAGGTTGTGAATTGCCAATATGTAAAGATATGGAGCCATCTGCAAGATGTATTGAATGCAGAGTAGTGTATACAGACGGCCTCTGACATACAGTGGCTTGACTTATTATGATTTCTGACTTTATAATGGTATCCATACAACCATTCTGTTTTTCACTTTCAGTACTGCATTCAATAAATTACATAAGATATTCAACCCTTTATTATAAAATAAGCATTGTGTTAGATGATTTTACCCAACTGTGCACTAAGTGTTTTGAGCGCATTTAAGGTAGGCTGGGCTAAGCTATGGTGTTTGGTAGGCTCAGTGTATTAAATGAATTTTTGATTTACGACATTTTAAACTTACAATGAGTTTATCAGGACGTAGCTTAATTGTAAGTCGAGAAGTATCTGTATAGCATGTCACCACTATGTAGAAAATGGAAAAGAAAAAGAAAATATTTATATATTTCCGTATATGTACATAAACCATCTCTGCAAGGACGTAGAGGGAACTGGTAACGTTGGTTGCTGCCAGGTATGTGAACTTAGGGAGTAGGAGGGAGATTTTTCACTGTGTACTTTTTGGACCTTGTGAATCTATTATTAATGTTTTAAAGTTATTTTAGGCTGGGCGGGGTGGGGTGGCTCACGCCTGTAATCCCAGCACTTTGGGAGGCCGAGGCAGGCGGATCACTTGAGGTCAGGAGTTTGAGACCAGCCTGGCCAACATGGCGAAACCCCGTAAAAATACAAAAATTAGCTGGGTGCTGTGGCGAGCGCCTGTAGTCCCAGCTACTAGGGAGGCTGAGGCAGGAGAATCACTTGAACCTGGGAGGCTGAGGCTGCAGTGAGCTGAGATCACACTATTGCACTCCAGCCTGGGCTACAGAGTGAGACCCTGTCTCCAAAAAAAAAAAAAAAAAGTTATTTTAAAATTCTACCTCTTTAATCTAAAAAAAAAATTTTAGTTTTCTGAAAAAGTAGGTATATAACTAGACAATATGAGCTCTTCTTTTTTTTATTTTTTAAATTTTTTAATATAATTTTTTTTTTTTTTTGAGACAGAGTTTCTCTCTGTCACCCAGGCTGGAGTGCAGTGGCGCTATCTTGGCTCACTGCACGCTCTGCCTCCCGGGTTCACGCCATTCTCCTGCCTCAGACTCCTGAGTAGCTGGGATTACAGGTGCGTGCCACCACGCCCAGCTAATTTTTGTATTTTTAGTAGAGACGGAGTTTTGCCACGTTGGCCAGGCTAGTCTCGAACTCCTGACCTCAGGTGACCTGCCTGCTTCGGCCTCCCAAAGTGCTGGGATTACAGGCATGAGCCACCGCGCCTGGCAATCTCTTCTATTTTTTTAAACCCTCCAAACCACAGAAATTTTAAAAAGAAAAAAGAGCTTTGCATAGAAAACATTTTTTAGGTAAGGAAATTAAAACACACAACATGCACACACATGCACAACAAAGGGACTTTAGGCAGTAAAACTATGTCTCTTTTATTTCTTATTTTCTTTTGAAAAATATAACCATATTCATTATTTTTATAATTTTTAAATATTTTATAATTCAATATTTTTATAATAAAAAATAGAAACCTAACAATCCTGTTTTTTTGTTTTTTTGTTTTTTTTTTCTTGAGACGTAGTCTCGCTCTGTTGCCCAGGCTGGAGTGCAGTGGCGTGATCTGGGCTCACTGCAAGCTCCGCCTCCTGGGTTCACGCCATTCTCCTGCCTCAGCCTCCCCAGTAGCTGGGACTACGGGCGCCCACCCCCACGCCCGGCTAATTTTTTGTGTGTTTTTAGTAGAGATGGGGTTTCATCGTGTTAGCCAGGATGGTCTTGATCTCCTGACCTCGTGATCCGCTCACCTCAGCCTCCCAAAGTGCTGGGATTACAGGCTTGAGCCACCGCACCCGGCCAATCCTGTTTTTATGTAGAGACAAACTTTCCCTCTACTGGAGTGAGTAGGCTTTGTCCTGCTAGTGTGGTGGCCTTTGTGCCTCTCCCTTCCTGGGCCACTTGGTATCTTCTCTTCTTGCTCAGAAGGAAGCCCGACCACTGAGCCTTCAACATCAGCCCCGCTGCCTCATGGGAGAGGGTTTGGGGGCTGCTACCATTGGAGCTGGGCAGCTGCCAGTGGATGCCCAGGCAAACTCTACTGATTGTCTCTCACATGAGGGACACTGTAGGGGAGAATAAAACTTTTCCTCTATCCCCTGAATGTTCCATAATTGAGTCTATGAAATAAACTGACAGTGGACAGATTAACAGGAAAAAAGATATACAAATTTATTATGTGGACCAGGTATCACATGAAAGAAAAGTGAATACCTCCCAAACCCAGTGAGATCTAGAAGCTTATTTACTTGCTCGCTCTCTCTGTTTTTTTTGTTTGTTTGTTTTGTTTTGTTTGCAGGGACTCAATCACTTATTTAATTATTTATTTTATTATTTTTGAGACAGGGTCTCACTCTGTAGCCCTGGCTGGAGTGCAGTGGTGCAATCACGGCTCACTGAAGCCTTGACCTCCCAAGCTCAAGCAATCCTCCCTCCTCAGACTCCTGTGTAGCTGGGACCACAGGCACACGCCACCACACTTGGATAATTTTTAACATTTTTTGTAGTGATGGAGGTCTCACTATGTCGCCTAGGCTGGTCTTGAACTCCTGGGCTCAAGTGATCCTCCCGCCTTAGTCTCCTGAGTAGCTGGGACCACCGGCACACACCACCACACTTGGATAATTTTTAACATTTTTTGTAGTGATGGGGATCTCACTATGTTGCCTAGGCTGGTCTTGAACCCCTGGGCTCAAGTGATCCTCCCTCCTCAGCCTCCCAAAATGCTGGGATTACAGGTGTGAACCATCGCACCTGGGTTGGAAGCTTATACGCTCTCTTCATATGGGAGAGTGAGGGGTAACGTGGGCAACTTGGAGAGTAAATGATTTTGATTTGGGGGGAAGAAGAATAGATGACAGCCTGTGACAAAGTCTGTCTGGGCATGGTGTCAACCTTGTCTCTTCTGTGGTGTTGTTAATCTTCCCTGGTTGATGAGATCCCCAGGAGGTGACTAATGACAACTGAATTTCTTTTTTGAGGATATACCTTTAGACAGATGAGGGAACTTCAGAAAAAGTCCGTGTCTGTACTTCGGGGAAGAAAGAGGGGTGAGAGGCAGGAGAGCAGAAGAAGGTCAGAGAGGCCTTGCTTCCTCTTTAGTTCAAAGCACTCAGCATGCCAAAGCACCATACTTTGGGGTATGATTTTCTGTTTTTTGTTTTTTTGTTCTTTTTGTTTTTTGTTTTTTGTTTTCAGACAGAGTTTCACTCTTGTTGCCCAGGCTGTAGTGCAGTGGCACAATCTTGGCTCACTGCAATCTCCGCCTCCTGGGTTCAAGTGATTCTCCTGCCTCAGCCTCCCAAGTAGCTGGGATTACAGGTGCATGACACCACACCCAGCTAACTTTGTATTTTTAGCAGAGACGGGGTTTCAACATGTTGGCCAGACTGGTCTTGAACTCCTGACATCAGGTGATCTGCCCGCCTCAGACTCCCAAAGTGCTGGGATTACAGGCGTGAGCCACTGCTCCTGGCTGGGTTATGATTTTCTTTCTTTTTTTTTTTAAGGGACAGTCTCACTCTGTCGCCCAGGCTGGAGTGCAGTGGTGCGATCTTGGCTCACTGCAAGCTCTGCCTCCTGGATTCACGCCGTTCTCCTGCCTCAGCCTCCCGAGTAGCTGGGACTACAGGCGCCTGCCACCACGCCTGGCTAATTTTTGTATTTTTAGTAGAGACAGGGTTTCACTGTGTTAGCCAGGATGGTCTCGATCTCCTGACCTCGTGATCTGCTCACCTCAGCCTCCCAAAGTGCTGGGATTACAGGTGTGAGCCACTGCGCCCAGCTGGGGTATGATTTTCTGAGCCCCAATAACACTGTGCTAGGCTTTGGGTGGTTGGCGAAAAGTCAGCAGATAGGACTCTGCCCACAGGTCTTCCCTGTCTGAGGTGGTGGCCGAGACATGTGTACAGAAGCAGGCCTGTCCCTAACATTTATGGAGCCAGCATGAGAGTATCAGTGTAAGCTTGCTATTACATATTGAAATATTTATTTTTAATTAAAAATTTTTTTAACCTTCCCTCTTTTTCTGCCTCATTTACATTTTTTTGAGACAAAGTCTCACTCTGTCACCCAGGCTGGAGTGCAGTGGCGCAATCTCAGCTCACTGCAGGCCCAACCTCCCTGGGCTCAAGCAATCCTCCTAATTTAGTCTCTCAGGTAGCTGGGACTATAGGTGTGTGCCACCATGCCTGGCTATTTTTTTTTTTTTCTATATTTTGTAGAGATGGGGTTTCATCATGTTTCCCAGGCAGTTCTCAAACTCCTGGGCTCAAGCAATTCACCTGCCTCTGCCTCCCAAAGTGCTGGGATTACGGGTGTGAGCCGCCGCACCTGGCCTTAATATTTTTAAATATTTAAGTGTATACACTTTTAAATATTTAAAAGGTATAACTCAAGCTAAGAAACTGATGACTTAAAACAAAAAAACTGTTGACTAAAATATTATCTATTCTCTCCCCTTTATATATATAACTTCATAATGAATTAAGAAAGCCAGGTTTGAATGTAGAACTCTTTCTGATTTCTTGGCATTCTGTGCTTGGATATGGCTGTGGCAGGCAGCTTCTAAGATGACATGCAGTGATTCCCACCTTTGACATTTACATCCTTATGTAATCCCCTCCTCTTGAGTGTGGGCAAGACCCATGAGCTGCTTCTAACCTACAGAATACGGCAAAGGTAATGGGATGTTCCATTCATGATTAGGTGATATAAGACAGTGGCTTCTCTCTTGCTAGCAGATGCCCACTCTTCCTGGCTTTGATGAAGCAAGTTGCCTTGTTCCAGGGATCCATATTACTAATGAATGAGGGCAGCCTCCAGCCAATAGCCAGCAGGGAACTGAGGCCCTCAGTCCAGCAACCCTCAAGGAACTGAAATGCTGCTAACGACCACATGGATGTAGAAGCAGATCCTTCCCCAATCAAGCCTTGAGATGAGACTGCAGCCCCAGACAACACCTCCTGAGAGACTCTGAAACAGAGAGCCTGGCTAAGCCCTGCCCATATTCCTAACTCACAGAAACTGTGAGATAATACATATGTGCCATTTTAAGCTGTAAGTTGGTGGTCATTTGTTACGCAACAATAGGTAACTAATATAATGGCACTGCTGGAAAAGTGGCCCCCAGTTAGTGGCCCAGCCATCTTCTCTTCCTACCTGCTCTTCATCCTGAACCTGGAAGGGCCTCAAGTCCATCTCTGTGGACACCCCAGCTCTCATGTCAGTTCTGCCCACCCCCCACTCCACACTCCTGGACATAGGCCTAGAGGGTGCATGCATTTGGCAAGTGCTACCTATGAGCCCAGTGTTGCTCTTGGGAAGGTGGGCCAGGGGACAAACCCCAGCAAGCCCTGGGAATAGCTCAGGGACATTAGTGCAGGGAATTCTAGGGTCGCAGGTACCCATAGCATTCTAGAGGAGGGGCTTCAGGTCCTCGGCCCTCCACAGACTCTCCACCCGACTGGTAAGGGTGGAGCAAGGCCCTCTAGAGCACAGGGCCGAGGCCAGGAACCCCTCACCCATGGAGGCCAGCGCTGCACTCAAGGAGCACTGGCTGAGGGCCAGGTGATGGGACCAGACCCAGAGGGCTGCCTGACGAGGGCCAGAGGGCAGTGCTGCAGCACACCTGAGAGGAATCTTTACCGGGAACTGCGGGTGGAGCTGGGCCAGGAATGTGGGAGGGCTAAAGCACCAGCAATGGGAGGACCTCCAGCAGGACAGCCCTAGTCACTGGCTTCCAACAACGTAGTTTCTTTAGGGTGGAGAGGAGCTGGGGCTATTGAGTCATAGTGCATTTGTTCAAGCCCCGCCTCTGCACACTGGTACATGACTCTAGTCAAATTACCTAAACTCTGAGTCTCAGTTTCCTTCTCTGTAAAATGAGGATAATAATAGAACTTATGCCATAGGTTTGTGGAGAGGATTAGTGCATGTGAAATGCCTGATAAGTGTAATGAATATTGGCTGTTATTAAGGAAACTGAGGCTCAAAGCAGATGAAGGGTGATCTTTCTGTTCCCCAGTGCTGCTTGCCTTACCTAATATGTCAGAGGGTGACACGAGGAGGGGAGCATTCAGTTCTAGGATACGCATTGTCTCTACAAGCATTTATGGAAACTTTCAGACCATGACGCTAACTCATGCCATCCTTCCTCAGACTCCCCTAGAGCTGGCGTGACACAGTAGGAGGTGCTGCCTGAGTGTGCAGAGTGCGCCTTCACAGTGCCTGTCCAGGAGGACTGAGTTCACTGGGTGAGCACCTCAGTCCCTGGTCCCTGTTGCCTCATCTGTGAAACAAAGGGGTTACCAGTGTAACGCTAAGCATAGACCACAGACTATAGCCTCATCTTTTGGTGCACCTGAAGGAAGTTAGAAATGCAAATCTCAGCCATCCCCCTCCAACTCCCCTCACACAGACTTACTAAGTCAGAATCTCTGGAACAAGGATCTGAGAGCTTGCATTTCTCTTTTCTTTTCTTTTTTTTGTGAGATGGAGTCTCGCTCTGTTGCCCAGGCTGGAGTGCAGTGGCGTGATCTCAGCTCACTGCAACCTCCGCCTCCCGGGTTCAAGCGATTCTTTTGCCTCAGTCTCCCGAGTAGCTGGGACTACAGGCATGCAGCACCATGCCTGGCTAATTTTTGTATTATTAGTAGAGACAGAGTTTCACCATATTGGCCAGGCTGGTCTCTTTTTTTGTTTGTTTTTTTGAGACAGAGTCTGTTGTCCAGGCTAGAGTGCAGTGGTGTGATCCCAGCTTACTGCAACCTCCACCTCCCAGGTTCAAGTGATTCTCCTGCCTCAGCCTCCTGAGTGGTTGGGACTACAGGCACCCGCCATCACGCCTGGTTAATTGTATTTTTTTTTTTTTTTTTTTTTAGATGGAGTCTCGCTCTGTCACCCAGGCTGGAGTGCAGTGGCACAATCTGGGCTCACTGCAACCTCCGCCTCCCGGGTTCACGCCATTCTCCTGCCTCAGCCTCCTGAGTAGCTGGGACTACAGGTGCCCACCACCATGCCCGGTTAATTTTTTGTATTTTTAGTAGAGACAGCGTTTCACCGTGTTAGCCAGGATGGTCTCGATCTCCTGACCTTGTGATCTGCCCGCCTCGGTCTCCCAAAGTGCTGGGATTACAGGCGTGAGCCACCGTGCCTAGCCAATTTTTGTATTCTTAATAGAGACAGGGTTTCACCATGTTGGCCAGACTGGTCTTGAACTCCTGACCTTAAGTGATCTGCCCACCTCAGGCTCCCAAAGTGCTGGGATTATAGGCGTGAGCCACCACGCCCGGCAGAGTTTGCATTTCTAACATGCTCTCCAGGTACTTTTTTTGCTTGCTGAAGTGGAGAACCTCTGGGTTCTGACAGTGGACTGTCAGAGGTCTTCACAGACTTGAGTCCACAGATGCCTTCAGGTGCCAATTCAGAGGCCTCACGGTTGGGCTTCCTGGGTCCCCACCCTGGGTCAGTGCAGGACTCAACCAGAGCAACTCCCCTGGGGTTCTAAGAAAATGAATGTTCTCCTTCTCACTCATTAGAGGTTAGAAACTGCTGGGCTGGGGTCAGGGCCACTTTTGTAATTTGTGGGGTCCAGTGCAAAATGAAACTGCAGGGCCCCTTATTCAAAAAACAGGAGGAAAGCTTTTTTCCTTTCTTCTGTGGTCTTCCATGTCACAGCGGTTTTTAATTTGTGATTTAATGTCATGCACCCTTCAGGCATGGGGATATAGGCAAGGCGAGTACAGACCCTCACCAGCTTCCGGACCTTCCTGAGGAAGCTGCAGTTTACAGGGAAACCTCTGAGCTCTTTTTGGAGCAAAACTGACTGCAGCTGGCAGCACGCAGTTACTTAGGGTGATTAACGAATGCATTTGAAAATTCCCTCCTGCTTCAGCCTCAGCCTGTGCCTGAGCTATGGTCAGTGCAGCAGTGCATTTCTGTATAATCTCTTTTGACAACTGAGAGGGGGGCCAACCCACAAGACTAACCCAATTACAGCAAAAGAGAGACCTGGCTGCTCCCTGTCGACAAGGTGAACACAAGGGTATCCCCTTTCGGGGATGCGGTGCTTCAGGACCAGTGGGCTGCCGGCACGGGAAGTACTTTCCTGCTCCAGCATCTTGAGATATTTTTGCTTTGTGACAAACGGTGGCTGTCACTCCTGGGCTGTGTCAATTAGGCACAATCTGCTTGCACCCCCACAGCTGGGCCTGAGATACTTCAGCACAGGAAGAGATATGCAATGGTAAGAGCCCTTATCCGGGATCAGAAAAGTTGGGGTCTCTGGTTCCCTATCTTGCTGTGTGGCTTTGGGTAGAGCATTCAGTCTCTTTGGGCCTCAGCATTCTCTTCTGTAACATAATAAGGTGTTAAAGTAGATTACCCCCACCTCTTCTTCTCTCTCATTAACATTCCATGTGGGTAAGGATTTAAGAGAGAGTTTTCAGTCTATACTGTTAGTTTTACAGGTAGAGCTGTAAGAACATAGGGCAGAGGGGATATACACCAAAACAAGGGTTGGGGTTACATCATGGAAGGCTAAAGTGTCCACTTAAAGAGTTTGGCCCTTCTTCATAGACAACAGGGAGTCATTGAAGGCATCTAAAGAGGGAAAGGGATATGTTCAGAGCTGAGCATTAGGAAGAGGAAGTGGGAAGCGATGTTTCAGAAGAATTGAGGATGGAAAAGTAGCCAGCTAAGTAGTGACCACGTGTGCACACACCTTTTGCACTTCCTGGACAGCACCAGGCTGCCTCCCTAATTCACAGTCCCACCAGCAAGCTAAGAGAGTCCTTATTTCCTCATAATCTCTCTATCACTTGGCATTGTTAGACCTCTACATTTTTGCCAATGAGATGGTTAGGAATTGGCATGTCATCGTACTAATTTGAAATTGCATTTCCTTGGTTAGTAGTGCAGTTGATTTCACTATATTGCCCAGGCTGGTCTCGAACTCCTGACCTCAGGTGATCCACCCGCCTCGGCCTCCCAAAGTGCTGGGATTACAGGCATGAGCCACTGCGCCCGGCCTGTAAAAGTTTTAATAATTTCCTTTTACCTTTAAGTCTTTGACCCATGTTGAATTTATTTTGTGTATAGCATAGGTAAGGATGAAATTTTATCTTTTTCCACATGGATACCCAGTTGTCCTGGCACCATGTATTGAATGGTTCACAGGTCGTCTCCGCTGCCCAGGGTGAGACAAGCAAAGCACTGGTTCTCAGGGTTGTGCAAGCTCATGGCCGGCAGTAGAGAGTGAACACCTCCTTAAGTTTTGCACCCTGGGCACCTCACTTGCCTCCCCCTGCATGCCTGGCCTGGCTGTTGCTCTCTGCACCTGGGAATCCAGCCCAAGGTGAGAGGGCTTCTCTTCTCTTGTCATTGACAGTCCCCGACACACACAAGACTTTGCGTCTTCTGCTTAGGAATGTTGGTTCCTGATACATAAGGGGCTTTGTGAAGAAGGAGGAAAAAGAACTCTGGAATTTCCTATCAGCTCTGGAGGTGTTAGGAGGGGTGCCTGGGACTAGGGCAGCTATGGTGAGACCTTT
Organism: Homo sapiens; assembly: GCF_000001405.40. NCBI lineage: Eukaryota > Metazoa > Chordata > Mammalia > Primates > Hominidae > Homo > Homo sapiens. The sequence goes on from NC_000002.12 coordinate 62,366,632, forward strand.
CGGGGTGAGGGTCAGGGACCTTGTGCCCCAGAAGTGCTGTTTGAGGCTTCACAGTTTTCTGAGGCTTCTGGGGGCAGGACGCTGGTGCTTACATGGCCTCTCCCCTCTGCGCTGTCAGGAACAAACCCTGGAATGCCTGGTAGTTGTGGTTCTGCCCCCTGCCTTCTCCATAGAATATGGAAGGTGCTTACAGAGCACCCTAGAAAGTTTAACCTACTGCACAGATGTGGACTCAGATAGCAGTAGAAGTAGAGAAAAATTTTCCTCTTCTCATTTTTTTTTTTTTTTTTGAGACGGAGTCTCACTGTCGCCTGGGCTGGTATGCAGTGGAACAATCTCGGCTCACTGCAACCTCCGCCTCCCAGGTTCAAGCGATTCTCCTGCCTCAGCCTCCGGAGTAGCTGGGACTACAGGCGCGTGCCACCACGTCCGGCTAACTTTTGTATTTTTAGTAGAGACAGAGTTTCACTATGTTGGCCAGGCTGGTCTACAAACTCTTGACCTTGTGATCTACCCATCTCAGCCTCCCGAAGTGCTGGGACTACAGGTGTGAGCCACTGCGCCGGGCCTTCTCATTCTCTTTTAATCCTTCTAATTGCACCTGGGAGAAAAGCTAACCTATAAAGCCCCCTCCCTGACAACACTTGCTAATCTTCCCCTGTTATCCCCTAGAGACTGGGCCTCAGGCTTGGGAGCCTTGGTGAGTTATGGTATCTGACCAGATATTTAGTCAATTGTTTTGTTTTGTTTATTGAGACGGAGTCTCACTGTGTTGCCCAGGCTGGAGTGCAGGGGCGCAATCTCGGCTCACTGCAACCTCTGCTTGCCAGGTTCAAGCAATTCTCTTGCCTCAGCCTCCCGAGTAGCTGGGATTACAGGTGCCTGGCAACACGCCTGGCTTATTTTTGTATTTTTTAGTAGAGACGGGGTTTTGCCATGTTGGCCAGGCTGGTCTTGAACTCCTGACCTCAGGTGATCTGCCCGCCTCAGCCTCCCAAAGTACTGGGATTGCAGGCGTGAGCCACTGAGCCCGGCCACATTGTTTTGTTTTTGTTGTATTTATTTGGGAGGAGTTACCTTCTATTCTTGCAAGTGATGGCAGTTTGCTATTAATGATGCCAGTAGAGCATTTCCTTTTGAACACATTTATTCAAGCAAAAAAATATGCCTTATGTGTGTAAAATCACATTTATGTGTGTATTTGGATAAAGACATGTAGGAAAGGAGGACATCAAAATGTTGATGGTGGTTTTCCCGGGGTGATGAGATTTCAGGTGGTTTTTGGCTTCCTTATTTTTTTTGTGTTGTTTGCATTTTTTATAATGAGTATACACTGAGTTACACAATCAGAAAAGAACTATATTTATTTATTATTATTATTTGTTTTTTGAGACAGTCTCACTCTTTCGTTCAGGCTGGAGTGCAGTGGTGTGATCTTGGCTTACTGCAACCTCCGCCTCCCGAGTTCAAGCAATTCTTGTGCCTTAGCCTCCTGAGTAGCTGGGATTACAGGTGTGCATCACCACACCGGCTAATCTTTGTATTTTTAGTAAAGATGGGGTTTTGCCATGTTGGCCAGGCTGGTCTCGAACTCCTGACCTCAAGTGATCTGCCTGCCTCAGCCTTCAAAAGTGCTGATTACAGGTGTGAGCCACCACACCCAGCAGAAAAAAAAGTATTTTTATTATGGAAAGAGGTATATGCACTTAAAAGAAAATATTAAGTGAATAATAATACAAGGAATATATTTGTCAACATGTTGACTAAAGTTGGGAAACCCAATTCACAAAATAGCAACTTAGGGAGAATGTGGGGCTTGCTTTGGGAGGCTGTGTGGGAGAAGAGGGGACAACTGAAAGCAAGCAGAGAAGGATCCAGGAAGGGCTTCCTGTCCTGGGACATTGTGGCTGCCGCCAAATAGCAGCTGGGCTCTGTCCTTTCAGTGTTGTTCACAGGATTCCATTTCAGAGTCTCAGTTACAACTTTTTAATGGGGACATAATGATCATTTGGTGAGGTCAAGGCTGAGTTTTGGTGGTGTGTTATTTACCTTGCCAGGATGGGGTGGACAAGAGGAAACTTCGTCAGGGGTCTTGCTATGTTGCCGTATTAGTCCATCCTCATACTGCTATAAAGACATAGCAGTATGAGACTGGGTAATTTATAAAGAAAAGAGGTTTAGGCCGGGCGTGCTGGCTCACTCCTGTAATCCCGGCACTTTGGGAGGCTGAGGCTGGTGGATCACCTGAGGTCAGGAGTTTGAGACCAGCCTGGCCAACATGGTGAAACCCCATCTCTACTAAAAATAGAAAATTAGCCAGGCATGGTGGTGGGCACCTGTAATCCCAGCTACTCGGGAAGCTGAGGCAGGAGAATCTCTTGAACCCGGAAGGTGGAGGTTGCAGTGAGCCGAGATTGCGCCACTGCACTCCAGCCTGGGAGGTTGCAGTGAGCTGAGATTGCGCCACCGCACTCCAGCCTGGGCGACAAAGTGAGACTCCATCTCAAAAAAAAAACAAAAACAAAACAAAACAGAAAAGAGGTTTAATTGGCTCACAGTTTCGCAGGCTGTAGAGGAAGCATGGCTGAGGAGGCCTCAGGAAACTTTCAATCATGGCGGAAGGTGAAGGGGAAGCAGGCATGTCTTACATGGCCAGAGCAGGAGGAAGAGAGAGAAGGCGAAGTGCTACACTTTTAAACAACTGGATCTCGTGAGGACTCACAGATGTTCAGGGCAACAGCAAGGGGGAAATCCACCCCCATGATCCAACCACCTCCCACCAGGCCCCTCCTACAGACTGGGAAGGATTGGGAATTATAACTTGACATGAGATTTGGGCAGGGACGCAAATCCAAACCATAGGAGTTACCCAGGCTGGTCTTGAACTCCTGGCCTCAAGCAATGTCTCTTGGTTGAGAGCACTGGCTTCTCCCCATTGGGCTGTCCTTGTCTGCAAGGTGACTGCTGTGTGGTTCCTATCCCAGACACTTGGTGGCTGGTGCCAGGCCCATGGTACTGGCCCCTCCCAGGGAGGGCATAATTTAACAGGAGCCCTGGGGCAAAGGATTCCTGATGTGTAGCCTTGGGAACCCTAGGCTCACTGCCCTCAGGAAGAGCCTTTTTTAGATCACAGCCTAAGTTACTGTTTAACCTTTAATAGGGCCAGCAGCACAGTCCAGACGCAACAAGAAGCACACAAGTAATCTCAGCTCTTCTTCCTCGGGGACTTAACTTGGCTTCACATCTGACTCTGGTTCTGGGCATCTAATGTGGGACAGATGTGGGGTAGGAGACAGTATCTGCCAATCATGAGATAATAAGGACTAAGTAGCTGCTACTCACTAGCACTGTGGGAGGACCAGATAGTCACTGTCCCTGTTCTTCTGGAGGCGGCAGGAAGCAGCATGTGGCAGAGAAGCGGGGTTGCCACAGGACACAGTGTAGGGCTCTGGAGGTGGGGTAGGGCAGGGGGCCTGAGCAGGAAACCTTTATGCTGAGACACAAGGAGTTTGCCAGGTGACAACAGGTAGGGAGGGGCAGCCCAGGAAGAGGACTGTGTGCAGAAATCCTGAGGCAGGAGGGATGTGGTGTCCAGTTGAGAGATGCCCTTTAGGTGGCTAAAGAAGAAAGCGCAGGCTGGGGACCCCTGGGGAGCAGATGAGCCTGGGGAGACAGACAGGGCCAGATCCTGTGGGACTGCCTAGGGCAGTGGTTCCCAATGGAAGGCAATTTTGTCCTCCAGGGACATTTGGCAAGGTTGTCACAAGTGTGTTGGGGGGTGCTCCAGGGATGCTGCTGAACATCCTGCAATGCAGAGGATAGCTCTGACAACAAAGAATTTTCCGCCCCCAAATGTCAGTAGTGCTGAGGTTGAGAAACCCTCTTCTAGGACCACTTGAAGGACTTTGTTCCTTATTCTGAAGCCAAGGGGAAGCCATAAAGGGGTTTTACATAGGAGAGTGACTGATCAGATTTCTGTTGTAGAGTATTCCATGTGGCTGCTCTGAGGAATTTTGAGACCTAACTGTTCTAATTCAGAACCACTCTTGGTAGTTGTGGATCCATTCTCCAGCTTGGGAATTTCCAGCCTCTGTGATTTTCTCTCCCCCATCCCCACACCCGCACCTCCAGGGCTAGGCTTTTGGCTGCTTTGTGGCCATCTGGGTTTCTGCCAGGGCAGGGAAACCAAAGCAGATATTTACTAAGAGCTAAGCAGGGCAGGGGTTTCTCCACTCCACACAATAGGTACAGCACTAGGGCCTACAAAAGTGTTTAAGGCCTATGTGGCAGGCAGAAAAATGCTCCTGCAAAGATGTGCATGTCCTAATCCCCCAAACCTGTGAATATGTTACCTTACATGGCAAAGGGATTTGGTAGAAGTGCTTAAGTTAAGGATCTTGAGAAGTGGGAAGATTATCCTGGATTATCTGGGTAAGCCCAATGTAATCAAAAGGGTCCTTCTAAGCGGAAGATAGGAGGGTCAGATTCAGAGGCTGGGTGATGACAGAAGCAGAGGACAGAGAGAGATTTCTAGATGCTGCAGCTGGTTCTAAAGATAGAGGAAGGGACCAGAATTCCAAGATAAATTTGTGTGCCACCAAATTTTTGGTAATTTGTTACACAGCAACAGGAAACTAATACAGCCTGGAAAAAGTTTTTATTAACTCTGAAATAAAAGAGGAAAACTGCAAACTAGATATTAATAAATGCATTTATTTTAAAATTTGTTTTTTAATATTTAATAAATACAAAAAGGTATAAAGATTAATACAACAGGCCAGGCACAGTGGCTCACATCTATAAGCCCAGAATTTTGGGAGGCTGAGACAGGCGAATTGCTTGAGGCCAGAAGTTCAAGACCAGCATGGGCAACATAGGGAGAGCTAGTCTCTACAAAAAAATTTAAAAATTAGCCAGGTGTGGTAGTACATGCCTCTAGTCCCAGATACCTGGGAGGCTGAGGCAAAAGGATTACTTGAGCCCAGGAGTTCAAGCCTGTAGTGAGCTATGATCAGGCTACTGCACTCCATCCTGGGTGATGGAGGGAGACTCTGCCTAAAAAGAAAAAAAAAAGACTAATATAACACACAGCTAGGTAGTATTACCCACCCAACTCAAGAAATAAAGCATCTCTTTCTTATTTTATCTATTTTTTTTTTTAAGACTAGAGATGGGGTCTTGCTGTGTTGCCCAGGCTGGTCTCAAACTCCTGGGCTCAAGCAATCCTCCCACCTCAGCCTCCCAAACTGCTAGGATCCCAGGCATGAGCCACCATGCCTGGCCGAAATAAAGCATTTCTAATACAGCCAAAGAATCTTGCAGACCCATGTTGATTTCATTCCCCTTTCTTCCTTAGAGAGGTAATCAATATCCTAAAGTTGGTATTTATTATATTCTCATATTTTTAATAAATGTATCCCCAAACAATACGTAATATTGCTTTGCATGCAACTTTATATACATGGCATCATAGTGTGTTTTCTTATGCAGCTTGATTTTTATGTCAAATGTGTTCTGAAAATCATTCTTGTTGATGTATATGGCAACTATATATTACCCTATCGTATGAATATGTCCTACTTTATTCTGCTGACACACATTTAGGTTGTTACCAGTTTGGGGCTATTACAAACCATATGGCCATGAACATATTTGTACCTGTCTCATTGTGAATTTCTGCAAGGGTTTCTCTAGAGTTAATTCCCAAGAGTGGAACTTCTGGTACCTTGGATAAATAGCTTCTCCAGAGAGTTCAAACCATTCTTTAGAGAGACTGGGCCAATCAAAATTCAACTGGTGATGCATAGAATTCTTGGTGATGCTGGTATTCTTAGATTTTTGCCAATATAATGAATGTGAAATAATATTTTATTGTGATAAAAACTTTTATTTTCTGGATCACTATGGAGTTGAGTATCTTTTCCTGTGTTTACAGATCATTCCTGTTTCTTCTGTGAATTGCCTGTTCATCTCTTTGCCCACTTTTCTGTTGGATTGATGGTCTTTCTCTTGTCGTTTTGTAGAAATTCTTTGTATTGTTTGGAGTACTACCCCTTTGTAGTTATATGTGTTGCAAATATCTTCTCCCATTGTATGGTTTGTCTTTTCATGAACATACATTGTCTTTTGATGAAGAGTCTATTGAGGCAGGAATATCATCTTATCCCAAGGCAGGAATTGGGCAGAAATTCAGTTCCATGATCCACCTAGGATTATGTTTCAAGGCTCAACTGGTGAGAATAGTTAAGGAGTGTAACTGGCACTGGACCTCAGTGTTGGAAAGTAATGGGGCATGGTGTGCACTGTAGCAAGCTGGAGAGCGTTGGGAACAGGTGCTTGGTGTCGCAAAAATCAACACTGAGACAAAGGATCTCTCAGCAAGGCTAGTTTACTTTCTGCAGAAAGGGTGCCGCTCACTAGCAGTCTTGCCATGAGCGCACACCCGAACAAAGGAGACAGGGTCACTTATAACCTGAAGTGGCCACCCTACTGCTGTGTCTGGTTTCCACTGGATGGAATGCGACCTCACATTCTGTACTAGTCCCGATTGGCTAGTGACTTAGAACTTTCCAAAAGAGGCAAAGGCAGAGGAGAACAAAGGAAGGTGGAAGCCACTTGTGGAATGCTGAGAAAGGTAAAAACACCTCCAAATAAGGAAGAGGAACAGGCTGTGGCCTAATGCTTGCTTGGACCAGTATAAGCATGCCAGGGCAAATATCTAGGCTAAAATATGGGAGCTAAGAACACAAAGTACATTGATTTCTTTATTACGGCTAGCAGATATCTAAGAATGTTAGCCCAGGTCTTTGAATAAATTTTGCTTCTAAAAGAAGTTACTATTTATTCGTAATTAGACGGGGAGGAAAGTCCCTTTGAAGAGAAACCTCTACTTCACTTTCTACAATTGAAAATGGCTGTTAAAAAAAAAAAAAAAAAGAAAATGGCTGTTATGGGATATAGTGATTCCTTGATTCCAGCTGCCTTATGTGAGCAGGGAATGCAGACGTAATATTGTCAGATCTTCTGATTTTTTTCAAGAGAAACCAGAAATCCAGATTTTTATGGGGATGGCAACTGATTTTTAAGTACTGGCTCAAATTCAATAATTTTACAAAGTTGTTCAGGCCAAATAAAACATTTTTCTGGGGTGCCACTTTGTGACCTTTGATTTAGCCCAGAATAAATTGTTTGTTTGCAGCCTGAACTACCTTTGGGATAACCAGTTCCTAAGAGCCATATGAAATAATATTTCCTTTTACTTGTACTGAAATAACCTCTGTTGAATAACAAGAATCTTTCCTTACTTGAATGCTTAGGAATTTGTAGTTCCCAATACAATCTCACAGATTTCAGTTGTATCTCATATTAATTGTCTCCTTCTCAGACAGAAGTTGAGATGAATGAAATAGTCACAAAGCCTGAGACCAGTGTTCTGGTATTGACTTGCTTCCCACAGTACTTAATGAAAATAATTGTTTTTTTCTTTTAGGTCTAAGTAAGTGTCTTAATGGCTGTAATTTACTTGTGTGAACCCAGAAAATCTGAGACAGGTCTCAGTTTATTTAGAAAGTTTATTTTGCCAAAGTTGTGGACAGCCTGTGACACAGCCTCAGTAAGTCCTGATGACATGTGCCCAAGGTGATCGGGGGACAGCTTGGTTTTATACATTTTAGGGAAACATGAGGCATTAATCAATATATGTAAGAAGTACATTGATTCTGTATGGAAAGGCAGGACAACTTGAAGCAAAGTCAGGAAGTGGGGAAGGAGCTTCTAGGTCACAGATAGGTGAGACACAAAGGGTTGCATTCTTTTGAGTTTCTGATTAGCCTTTCCAAAGGAGGCAATCAGATATGCATCTATGTCAGTGAGCAGAGGGATAACTTTGAATAGAATGGGAGGCAAGTTTGCCTTAAGCAGTTTCCAGCTTGAGTTCTCCTTAGTGATTTTGGGGGCCCAAGATGTTTTTCATTTCACACTTGTAAATACTGCAGCATTGACAATGGAATGCTGTGTACCTGCTAGTCAAATTAAGCTTCAATTCCAAGGGCAAGCTACACCCCAGGGGTGTCAGCTAGTTTTATATCTGAAAGGCTATTCAAGGTGCCCCTTAGAAATTGCTTGAGTCATCTATATTTTGATTGATAGCAGATACTTTGCTAATCAGCACATGAATATCAGAAATTGGTTTTATTTTGTGGTGAAATCAGTGGGTTGGTAATTAGCATGAGACAATGATAGAAAAGGGCTCACTGATGAAATTAAAGAGAATCAAGATATGTGAATATGCTAACATATTTGAGAGGCCCTGCTCATTTGCCTGAACAGGGTGTAAGAGTCTATTGAGGCCTTTAGCATGCCCCTATAAAGATGGTGCAAGACCCTGGACTCTGAACCACTCCTGTATCCAGATATTGCTTTAGAAGAGTTTCTGGTTGCCTGATGCTGACCACAGAGATAATTAAATCCTGTCTCTGAAATGTTGGTTCTCTTCCTGCGGACCATTCATGTCATGTAGTCATTAAATCATTTAAAAGGACATAAGCTGGGACTTCATGAAACCTACAGAGTGGGTTGTATAAAATGTTCTGTGCCTAATGGTCCATGAATACTGGCTTAATAAATGTCTTTGAGTGGGGCAGAATTTTGCCTGGGGCCTTCTTTTATTACAAGTTGATAGCAATGTAGGAAATGAGCAGCTTAATCTTACCCACTACCAAACATCTTGAGCTACTGCCATAAACTGAAAGTAACAGGCTAGTTCCCAAAAATGAAACAATGGAGGAGCCAAAACAAAGCTGGAGGCATCACATTACCTGACTTTATACTACAAAGTTGTAGTAACCAAAACAACGTGGGACTGGTATAAAATCAGACCCACAGACCAATGGAAACCAAATAGAGAACCCAGAAATAAACGCACACATTTACAGTCAAGTCATTTTTTTGTTGTTGTTTTGTTTTTGTTTTTGAGACGGAGTCTAACTCTGATGCCAGGCTTGAGTGCAGTGGTGCGATCTCGGCTCACTGCAATGTCTGCCTCCCAGGTTCAAGCAATTCTTCTGCCTCAGCCTCCTGAGTAGCTGGGACTACAGGCGTGTGCCACCACACCCAGCTAATTTTTGTATTCTTAGTAGAGATGGGGTTTCACCATGTTGGTCAGGATGGTCTCAATCTCTTGACTTTGTGAGCCACCGCGCCTGACCCAGTCAACTCATTTTTGACAAAGGCACCAAGAACATAAATTAGGGAAAGGACACCTTTTTAATAAATGATGTTAGGAAAATGATAATCATATGCAGAGGAATGAAACTAGACCCCTATTTCTCACCATATACAAGAATCAAATAAAAAATGGATCAGGCCAGGCGTGGTGGCTCATGCTTGTAATCCCAGCACTTTGGGAGGCCAAGCCAGGTGGATCACCTGAGGTCAGGAGTTCGAGACCAGCCTGGCCAAAATGGCAAAACTCCGTCTCTACTAAAAATACAAAAATGAGCTGGGCATGGAGGCACGCGCCTGTAATCCCAGCTACTCAGGAGGCTGAGGCAGGAGAACCACCTGAACCCGGGAGGTGGAGGTTGCAGTGAGCCAAGATTGTGCTACTGCACTCCAGCCTGGGTGACACAGTGAGACTCTGTCTCAAAAAAAAAAAAAAAAAAAAAAAAAAAAAGGATCAAAGACCTAAATGTAAGACATGAAACTACTAGAAGAAAACATTGGAGAAATGCTTCAGGGACAATAGGCTGGGCTAAGATTTCTTGAGTAAGACCTCAACAGCACAGGTAACCAAAGCAAAAACTGACAAATGTCATTAGATCAAGCTAAAAAGCTTCTGCACAGCAGATAAAACAATCAACAAGGTGAAGAGACAACTTATAAGATGGGAGAAAATACTTGAAAACTACTCATCTGGTGAAGAATTAATAACCAAAATATAGAAAGAACTCAAACAACTCAATAACAAAAAAAAAATCTGATTTAAAAATATGTAAAAGATCTGAATAGACATTTCTCAAAAGAAGACATAAAAATGGCTAACAGGTATATGAAAAAATGCTCAACATCACTAAGCATTAGGGAAATGCAAATCAAAACCAGAATGAGATATCCCAGTTAAAATGATTATTGTTAAAAAAACAGAAAATAGCAAAAGTTGTCAAGGGTGCAGAGAAAGGGGAATGCTCATACACTGTTGGTGGGAATATAAATTAGTATATCCACTATGGAAAACAGTATGGAGGGTTGTCAAAAAACTAAAAATAGAACTACCATATGATCCAGCAATCATCCTTCTGGGTATATACTCAAAAGAAAGGGCTGGGCATGGTGGCTCATGTCTGTAATCCCAGCACTTTGGGAGGTGAAGGCAGAAGAATCACTTGAGTCCAAGAGTTCAAGACTAGCCTGGGCAATATGGTAAGACCCTGTCTCTACAAAATTTTTTAAAGAAATTAGCCTGGTGTGGTGGCATGCACCTGTAGTCCTAGCTACTTGGGAAACTGAGGTGGGAGGATCATTTGATCCTGGGAGCTTAAGGCTGTAGTGAGCCATGATCGTGCCACTGCACTCCTGCTTGGGTGGCAAAGCAAGACCCTGTCTCAAAAAAGAGAAATAAAGAAAGGAAATCAGTATATCAAAGAGATATCTCCACCCCCACATTTATTGCAGCACTATTTACAATAGCCAAGATATGGAATCAACATTAAGTGTCTATCAACAGATGAATGAATAAAGAAAAGGTTTTATACACACAATGGAATATTATTCTACCGTAAAACAGAATGAAATCCTGTTATTTGCAACAACATGGATGGAACTGGAAGACATTATGTTAAGTGAAACAGGCCAGGCATGGAAAGACAAATGTCTTATGTTCTAACTCATATGTGGGAGCTAAAATAATCTACCTCATGGAGGTAGAGAGTAGAATGGCGGTTACCAGAGGCTAGAAGGGCAATGGAGAGGGGAAGATAAAAAGGGGATGGTTAATGGGCACAAAAATACGGTTAGATAGGCTGGGCATGGTGGCTCACACCTATAATCCCAGCACTTGGGGAGGCCGAGGTGGGTGGATCACCTGAGGTCAGGAGTTCAACACCAGCCTGCCCAACATGGTGAAACCCCATCTCTACTAAAAATACAAAAAATTAGCTGGGCATGGTGGCATACACGTGTAATCTCAGCTACTCAGGAGGCTGAGGCAGGAAAATTACTTGAACCCAGGAGGTGGAGGTTGCAGTGAGCCAAGATCATGCCATTGCACTCCAGACCGGGCAACAGAGCAAGACTCCATCTTAAGAAAAATACAGTTAGATAGAAGAAATAAGATCTGGTGTTTGGTAGCACAATAGGGCAACTATAGCTATCAATAATCTATTGTATATTTCAAAATAGCTAGAAGAGTAGATTTAGAATGTTCCCAACACAAATGATAAATGTTTGTGGAGGTGGATATCCCAGTTACCCAGGTTTGATCATTACACATTGCATGCTTCTATCACATGTACCCCTGATATAGTTTGGCTCTGTGTCCCCATCCAAATCTCACATCAAATTGTAATCCCCATGTGATTACGAGGGGAGGGAGGTGATTGGATCATGGGGGCAGTTTTCCCCATGCTGTTCTCATGATAGTGAGTTTGTTCTCATGAGATGTGATAGTTTTATAAGGGGCTCTTCCCCGCTTTGCTTACTTCTCTCTCTCCTGCTGCCTTGTGAAGAAGGTGCCGGCTTCTCCTTCCGCCATGATTGTAAGTTTCCTGAGGCCTCCCCACCATGCAGAACTGTGAGTCAATTAAGCCTCTTTCCTTTATAAATTGCCCAGTCTCAGGTATTTCCTTATAGCAGTGTGAGAATAGATTAATACAACACCATAATATGTACAACTATTTTTTTGAGACAGGGTCTCACTGTGTCACCCAGGCTGGAGTGCATTGGCATGATCACAGCTCACTGCAGCCCTGACCCCCAACCCATGTCAGCCTCCCACATCAAGTGATCTTCCCACGTCAGCCTCCCAAGTAGCTGGGACCACAGGTGCATGCCACAACACCTGGCTAATGTTTTATATATTTTTTGTAGAGATGGGGTTTCACTATGCTGTACAAGCTGATCTCAAACTCCTGGCTTCAAGTAATCCTCCTGCCTTGGCTTACCAAAGTGCTGGGATTACAGGTGTGAGCCACCATGCCTAGCCTGTACAACTATTATGTGTCCATAATAATTAAAAATAAAAAGTTTTTGAAAGAAAGAAAATAGAACATGGAGGAGCCAGCCTCAGAGATGAGAACTGATTCCTGAAGGCCCCAGGAATACATGACTAACTCTGCTTCTGTAGGGGAGTAAAAAATGGCTTTCCTATAGCCTTCTAGGTTCCTTGGCTGGGCTATGAATTAAGTTAATGTAAGACTAATGAACAGGGGAAAAGCCATATTTAATTACCTATGCATGCATGGGAGTCTTACAAAATATGAGACTTGAAGAAGAGGCATATGACTGAAGCTTAGAGCATCCTGAGATACAGAAAGCAATGGGGGCTTGGGGCTTCTGGGAGGTGGCGGCCACACAAGTTATGGAAGGGTGAGGGGAGGAAATGTGTGGTGAATAAAGGTCTTCTTGTTATGCAGATAAAAGTCTCCCAGGTAACAAGGTCGGGAGCAGCCCTTAGGAGAATAGGTGGTTTCTGTCTAGGCCTAGTGTCCACCTCCAGGCTCTCTCCTGTGATCCCAGTTAATCTCCCCTGGTGGATGAGATTCCTGCAAAGGAGATTCAGGACAATTGAGTTCCATTTGGAGGAAGGTCTTTAGGCAGCTAATGGGAGCTCAGAAAAAGCCTCTGTCTGCATCCACTGTTCCCCATGTGCCCTTGGTTCAAAGCAATCAGCACACCAAAGTGTGATATTTTGGGGTGGCATTTCTTGGACTCCTTCAACTTCATCCTCCAAGCCAGACTTTTCAACAGGAAAGTCATCTGGGTGTCTACATACTGGTTGTCATTGTATTCATATTTTATCGTTCCTCTTCTATCTAGTTGTCCCCAATTGTTGGCAGGAAATTTATTTTTTATTACTTCTCTTCCTGTATTTTGACTGGAAACTGGTGTTTTCTGACAACACAGCACACAGGCAGCTGGGTTTTGTGGCACTGAGCACATAACAAAAGGGTCATGGGCTTTTGGCTTTATTTCCTGAAAGTTGGTGCTAGTGCCCGCATTTGATGTTTCTAGCCTATGAAACACATCAGGTGTCCCAGGAGGAGATGCCAGCTCAGCTGCCATAGGTACAGAGACAAGTATGGGGCAGTGGCAGGAAAGTCTGAAGCAAGAACAGGACTGTGGCCTGGGCAAGCCCTTCCTTTGGGGTCTGAGCCCCAGGGGAGTTATCTAAACCTAAATGCAGGCCTGCAGGAGTGTAGCCTGTAGGACTTGCATACAGGGCTCTGCAGATTGAATGGGGATCAAGGTCGCCAGTGTCTCCAAGGCACAGAACTACTAAACAGCTTGTCATCATAACATAGTAGTAGAGGCAGGTGGTGGGCCTTCAGTGAAGCCACAGGGAAACATAGCAGGAGCCCATCAGCACAGCCTGTGCCAGCAGCCTGGGGGACCTTCTTGGAAAATGTTTATTTATTTATTTATCTTTTACCAGAAAGATTACTATGAAACACAAAGAAAATTATTCATGAAAATATACAGGAAATCAATTATTTCAAATAAAATACTACTACGAGCCATAGGTTCTGCATGTTTGGAATCTAAATCCTGGAATTGTCTGTTGCTGTTCACCTGTCTCATTTTTGCTCTCCAGTTACCCTTAAGACTGGTGCTGATTTAAATATTCAGGGAGGGTGGGTATCTAAGAGGGTCTGTCCATTTGGAAAAGGCAGCAAAGACTATCCTCTCACCCACTGCCCTAACCTGTGGATTATGTTGTGAGGGTAGGACCTCGTGCCTACCCTCATAACACTTTCAGTTCTTTGATTTGTGATCTGCTTCTTGTGTTTCACTGTGCCTGGCAAGGCCATTTCTTCTCTGCTAGTTCTAATTTAGGCAGATGGCTATTGCTTTTCTTATATATGCCAACTTTTCCACACCAAAGTTTGTATCTCTAGGGAGCTACTTCTGTTTATTAACAATGGGATTTTATTCCTTCAGTGAAAGTAGATTATGAACAAATAGCAAAATGAATGTGTATTTCACCAATCTCTTCCAGCTGCCTCTTAGCTCACCAGAGGGGCTGAGAGGAGCCTCTGCCTTGTTCAGTCTTGAATCTTGGGTGACTGTGTGTGGCCATTTTTATGTGAGCCATTTCTACTGACTCTCTCCTCAGCCTGTCCTAATCAAGTTTCTGCCCCTTCTGCTGCACTGATATGCTCTTCCCACAACTACCCGTGAGGCCCTGTCATGCTAAAAAGAATTGACATGGTCCACCTGTCATTTACCCAATGCTTCTGCTTATACTTGCATGTGAAATTAACACTCCCTTTTCATTTATATTTATATTTGTATTTTAAAAATTTAATCTTGGCCAGGCGCAGTGGCTCATGCCTGTAATCCCAGCACTTTGGGAGGCTGAGGCAGGCAGATCACCTGAGGTCAGGAGTTTGAGACTAGTCTGGCCAACATGGTGAAACCCTGTCTCTACTAAAAATACAAAAATCAGCTGGGTGTGGTGGCTCATGCCTGTAATCCCAGCTACTGAGGAGGCTGAGGCAGGAGAATCGCTTGAACCCAAGAGACAGAGGTTGCAGTGAGCTGTGATCATGCCATTGCACTCCAGCCTGAGCGACAAGAGTGAAACTCCATCTCAAAAAAAAAAAAAAAAAAAATTAATCCCTTGTCCGTGGATTTCTCTCACATCTTTCCCAGCTCATCTCACAACCTCTCCTATCATTTTCCTTCACTCCTTAAGGGGCTTCTCTTCCTCCCCTATTTATAAGTTTGCAAAGGTCCATTCTCAGCGAGCAAGCAATTTTATCCTCATGTTTTACCTCCCAAAATATCTCTGAATGCAGACCTCTTTCTGAGTTCATGTACCATATGCCTAACCCCTAGGGGATGTCTTAAAAATTCTCCAAACTAAATTTTCTTAAAAGTTCTCCTAACTGAATTTCCCCCAAATTGCATACACCATTATGCCTCCAAGTTCTGCTTCTTTTCCTAGGCTATATTTCCTGACGTGTCTTCTGCAGCCCAGGCAACAGTGCTCAGGAACACAGATCCATTCTAGGGTTCCCAAAGGGGAAGCTGACTCTGAGAATTGCAGTTATTGTACTTTCCTTGGTTGGATCAGAAAATATGGCCTTGAGGATGTGGCAGATATTAACTTCAAAAGGAAGTTTGATGGCTCTCTGTCCTATGTCTGTGTCCCCTTAGAGGTCTTTATCTCTGCTGGTAGAAAATGGAGAGGAATCACTGTGCTTCTCTTTTGCACATAATGTCAGCCTAGAGATGCATATGTGTAAAAACAAAGTTGGAGGGGGCTCAAGGGGATGAAGAATGAACTCAGTAGGATTCTCCCAAATGCTCTACTGTGTCCAGAGAATACAAACGAAGCCAACACATTTAGCTTTAAACCTTGGAGCTTTAATCTTTCAAGAACACATTTCCTTCCTGTATTTCTAGTAACTACTGTTTCTGACTTTTCTGGAAATCCCACCAGTTTCCTTGACTCCCTTTTCCATAAGAATTGAGTCATAAAAATAGAACCATGAGAAAAGTTAGTTTGACCCCTTTGCCCTCTGAAATGTGCTGGTGGAAACAGCCTGAGGGGATTGGGGGTGGGGGAAATGCCTCTTTAATCGAACTGGTTCTTCCATCTCAAGGAAAAACAAACTGAAGCAAAGAATAAAAATTGCTTTACATTAGTCCTCCACAGGAAAGGGATTTTTTTTTAAGGAAAGAATTTACCTGTGGACTCTTCTAGTGTTTGGAGAAGGGATTTTTAACCTGAGAACCATGAATGGGCTTTACTGGGATATATGATTCTCCAGAAACTGTGAGCTACATGTTTTTGTTTCTGTGCATTTTTCTCAAGTGAGGGTCTATAATTTTTATCAGATTCTCAAAGAAGTCCCTGTCCCCCCAAAATGTAAGAACTACTCATTTAGAGGATAACCTAGTTGAATTATTTATTGCTGTGTAACCAATTACCTCATAATTTAGCAATGTAACACAACTATTTGTTATCTCACAGTTTGTGTGGGTCAGGCATTCAAGAGTGGTTTAGTTGGATGACTGCTCAGGGTGTCTTATGATGTTGCAGTAAAAAGTGAGCTAGGGTTGCTGCCATCTGAAGAATGGGGCTAAAGAATCTGTTTTCAAGATGGTTCACTCACATGGCTGTTGACATAAGGCACTTGTTTCCTGTTGGCCATTGGCAGGTGGCTTCAGTTCCTTGCCACATGGACCTCGCCATTGAGCTGCTTGAGTGTTCTCACAACATAGCACCTGGCTTCCCCCAGAGTGAGTGACTGAGAAAGAGTAAGGAGAAAATCACAATGCCTTTTATAACTTAGTCTCGGAAGTCATACATTGTCAGGTCTGTCACATGCTATTCTATAAACAAGACAGTCCACTTTTTTTTTTTTTAAGAGACAAGGTCTTACTCTGTCACCTAGGCTAGAGGGCAGTGGCACAATCACGGCTCACTGCAGGCTCAACCTCCTGGGCTCAAGTGATCCTACCACCTCAGCCTCCTGAGTAGCTGAGACCACAGACACATGCCACCATGCCTGGCTAATTTTTATATTTTTATATTTTAAATTTTATTTCCCATACTACATGGATATATAATTTTTGTATTTTTTGTAGAGACAGGGTTTTGCTATGTTGCTCAGGCTGGTCTTGAACTCCTGGGCACAGGTGATCCACCTGCCTCAGCCTCCCAAAGTGCCAGGATTACAAGTGTGAGTCACTGCACCCAGGCTACAGCCCATTCTTTTTTTTTTTTTTTTTTTGAGACAGAGTCTCACTCTGTTACCCCGGCTGGAGTACAATGGTGCAATCTCAACTCACTTCAAACTCCGCCTATGGGTTCAAGTGATTCTCCTGCCTCAGCCTCCCAAGTAGCTGGGATTACAGGCATACACCACCACACCCAGCTAATTTTTGTATTTTAAGTAGAGGTAGAGTTTCACCATGTTGGCCAGGCTGGTCTCGAACTCCTGACGTTGTGATCCTCCCACTTCGGTCTCCCAAAGTTCTGGGTTTACAGGCGTGAGCCACTGCACCCGGCCAGCCCAATGGGTTCTTCCTGCCTGCTGCACAAACAAAATCAACTCACCAAGACCATGGCATTGTAGTAACAAAAGTGTTTAATTGACACGAGGCTGGTCACTCCCCATAGGAAATGGGGTTATTACTCACTCAGATCAATCTCCCTGAAGGCATGAGGTTAGGGGTTTTTCAAAGATAGTTTGGTGGGCAGGGAGCATACTGATTGGTTGGGTCAGAGATGAAATCATAGGGAATCAAAGCTGTCCTCTAGTGCTGAGTCAGTTCCTGGACTCAACAGGACTGGTCGGCAGGTCCAGATGGTGTCATGTGGTTGTCAGAACGGCAAAATCTTGAAAAGACATCTCAAAAGGCCAATCTTAGTTTCTACAATAGTGATAATATCTGCAAGAGTAACTGGGGAAGTTGCAAATCTTATAAATTCTGGAATAATGGCTGGTAATTATTTAGAATTCAAGCCCCTCTCATCCTCCTAACTTGGTGGCCATTTATTTATTAGTTTTACAGGAACAATTTCATTTTTGGGAAGGGCTAGTATCATTTCAACTGTAAACTAAATTTCGCCCAAAGTTAGCTTGACCCACACCAAGGCATAAGCAAAGAGAGCCAACTTGTGAGGCTAGAAGCAAGATGGAGTCAGCCATGTAGATTTCTCTTACTGTCATAATTTCCCAAAGGTGGTTTCAGTATGAGGATTACATGAAATGCTGGATTAATAACTGCTAAAAAATGTTAGCAGTAACAATGGTGACCCCACCCCCAATCTAAGGATTTCCATTTCCATTCAATAGAATTATACATTTATGAATTGTTAATCTTCTACATGTGGTCAGAAGTGATTATTTATTGAGAATTACTTTGTAGAGCAGGTGCTGTAGGGCAGGGAGATAAAAAAGAAATTAAAAACAGACCCTGTTCTCAATCATTCTACATTTTAGTTGGGGAAAAAAGATACATATGTGTAGAACAGAGGGATGCTTTGGAAATCCATTGATACCCATCTCTTTGTTGAGAAACAGGGGAAGTCCTTGCCTTGAGTGTAACTTTGAAGGTTAAGATTCAGGCGTGGGTACATGAATGAAGATTTAATTGGAAAGGGAAGCTGAAATTTGAAGGAAGACCACAGAAGACATTTCAGGACCATACCAGAAAAAATAAAAGGGAAAAGAAGAGGATTTATGAAATCAAGAGTTCACAGATAAAGGAATAAACTTAAAGAAAAAGCAAAAAGCCACTGGGTGCGGTGGCTCACACCTGTAATCCCAGCCCTTTGGGAGGCCAAGGCAGGCGGATCACGAGGTCAGGAGTTTGAGACCAGCCTAGCCAATGTGGTGAAACCCCATCTCTACTAAAAAATCCAAAAATTAGCCGGGTGTGGTGGTGGATGCCTGTAATCCTAGCTACTTGGGAGGCTGAGACAGGAGAATTGCTTGAACCGGGGAGGCAGAGGTTGCGGTGAGCTGAGATCGCACCATTGCACTCCAGCATGGGCGACAGAGTAAGACTCCATCAAAAAAAACAAAAAGCAAAAAACAAACAAAAGCCAGGCACTTCTCTGAGGGAAGAAATGATCTGTGCCATGGTAATTCCTGAAGGAGCACTTTATCATATTTATCCAACTGTTTATTGGAAGAGAAAGATATTCTATTAACCCTTCAAGAACAAAGAAAGTGTCTATTAGGCTTCTGTAATCCAGCATGGAGGATACTTAAAAAAAAAATACTGAAAAACCAATTATCTGACTAATTATAACTTTAGATTAAAATGTTTGCTGACCGGCATCCCATGGAGCTGGTTCTCTACATCCCAGCTTTTTGGCTTATCCCCTGTTGTGGGAGGGGTCAAATTAGGGTTTCCAACAGCTCTCTCAGGCAACCTCATAGGCTGGGGAAGAGATAGAGGAGAGGCCTCTCCAGGCTGGCCTCAAAGGGCATTTGCAGCATGGAGGGCATGGAATAGAAGGAGTTCAGGAAAGGCCACTTCAAAATATGACACTTTGGTGTGCTGATTACATTGAACTAAGGGCACTTTGGGAACAGCAGATTCAGACAGAGGCTTTTTCTGAGCTCCCCTTAGCTGCCTAAAGACAATCCTCCAAATAGAACTCAACTGTCCTGAATCCCCTTCATGGGAATCTCATCCACCAGGGAAGATTAACTGGGATCATAGGAGAAAGCCCGGAGGTGGAGACCACGTGATATGGTTTAGCTGTATCCCCCAGCAGATCTCATCTTGAATTGTAGCTCCCATAATCCCCATGTGTCATGGGAGGGACCTGGCTGGAGGTAATTGAATCATGGAGGTGGGACTTTCCTGTGCTGTTCTCATGATAGTGAATAAGTCTCATGAGATCTGATGGTTTTATTTATTTATTATTATTATTATTTTGAGATTGAGTCTCGCTCTGTTGCCAGGCTGGAGTTCAGATCTTGGCTCACTGCAACCTCTGTCTCCCAGGTTCAAGCGATTCTCAGCCTCCCGAGTAGCTGGGACTACAGGCGCATGCCACCATGCCCAGCTAATTTTTATATTTTTAGTAGAGACATGTTGGCCAGGATGGTCTCAATCTCTTGACCTCATGATCCACCAACCTTAGCCTCCCAAAGTGCTAGGATTACAGACGTGAGCAGCTGCACATGGCCTGATCTGATGGTTTCATAAAGGGGAGTTCGCCTGCACAAGCTCTCTTGCCTACTGCCATGTAAGATGTGCCTTTGCTCCTCATTTGCCTACTGCCATGTAAGATGTGACTTTGCTCCTCATTTGCCTCCTGCCATGATTGTGAGGCTTCCCCAGCCATGTGGAACTGTGAGTCAGTTAAACCCCTTTCCTTTGTAAATTACTCAGTTTTGGGTATGTCTTTATTAGCAGCATGAGAACAGACTAATACACCATGCCCAGGAAGATATTCTCCTGAGGGTTTCTCCAGGCAACTTTTATTACCTGGGAGACTTTTATCTGCCTAACGAGAAGACCTTTATTCACCATACATTTCCTCCCCTCACCCTCCCATAACTTGTGTGGCCACCACCTCCCAGAAGCCTCAAGTCCCCATTCCTTTCTGTAGCTCAAAATACTACATAGGTTGCATATCCCTAATCCAAAAACTCGAAATACTCTAAAATCCAAAATTTTTTTGAGTGTTGACATGAGCCTTCATGTCATGAGTGGAAAATTCCACACCTGAACTCATGTGATGTGTCACAGTCAAAACACATTAAAAACTTTGTTTCATGCTCAAAATCATTAAAAATGTTATATAAAATTACCTTCAGTTTGTGTGTATAAGGTGTATATGTAACATAAATGAATTTTGTGTTTATACTTGAGTCTTAGCCCCAAGATCTCTCATTATATATGTGTAAATATTTCAAAATTGGAGAAGATTCCCAATCTGAAACATTTCTGGTCCCAAGCATTTTGGATGAGAGATACTCAATCTGTATAGGCTTCAATCATCTGGCCCTCCTTTGAGTCTTATATTTTGAAGGACTCCTGTGCCTATGTATGTAACTAAAGATGGTTTTTCTCCTGTTAATCTGTCTTATGTCAGTTTAATTTGTAGCCCAGGCAAGGAGCCTAGAAGGGCAAAGGGAAGCCATTTTTCACTCACTTTCAATGTGGAAGACTTGGTCACATGGCTGACCTCAGGACAGTCATATAAGGCAGCTCTCTTGACTGGGGATTGAGAAGAACACAGCCATACTCTGGTTGGTTCCCAGGAGCATTGGCTTCTTTGATGTCACAATAAAGCAAACATTGGACTTTCTCAAAAGTTAGAAGGCAGGTGGCTAGGCACAGGGGCTCACGCCTATAATCCCAGCACCTTGGGAGGCTGAGGCGGGTGGATCACCTGAGGTCAGGAGTTCGAGACCAGCCTGGCCAACATGATGAAAGCCCATCTCTACTAAAAATACAAAAAATTAGCTGGGCATGGTGATGGGCGCATGTAATACCAGCTACTCAGGAGGCTGAGGCAGGAGAATCACTTGAACCAAGGAGGCGGAGGTTGCAGTGAGCCGAGATCGTGCCACTGCACTCCAGCCTGGGGAATAAGAATACAACTCAGCCTCAAAAAAAAAAGAAAAAAAAATATATATAGAGAGAGGCAGGTCCAATTCAGTTTGCTGACCTTGGAAGCCATCTGATTTCTTTGGGATTTGGGTCTGACCATGGAAAGTTCTTAATACTTGTGGTAGCATCTGCGATTGAAGGAGTTTTTCATCACAGCAGCTGTGAAACAGTCCCCTCCCACCACCCCGCCAGTTTGGGAAGGGCGTCTGTGTTGTGTTGGCCGTCGCAACACCCTCAGATCCTACCCTCTGCCTCCTGGACAGATCTCCTGCTGGCACCTAATGTTGAAGCAACCTACTGGCTCCTAGCACTCTCTCTCATTTTTTTCCCTTGAGACAGGGTCTCTGTCACCCAGGCTGGAGTGCAGTGGCGTGATCATGGCTCACTGCAGCCTCCGCCTCCAGGCTCAAGGAATCCTCCCACCTCAGTCTCAGCATTCTGAGTAGCTGGGACTATATCACGTCTTGCTAATTTTTGTATTTTTTGTAAAGATGGGGTCTCACCATGTTGTCCAGGCTGATCTCAAACTCCTGGGATCAAGTTATCTGCCCTCGGCCTCCCAAAGTGCTGGGATTACAGGAGTGACCCACTGTGCCCAACAGGCTCCTAGCACTCTCAATGCCTACGGAGAAGTCTTTTAGGAAAAAAAATAGAAAAGGAAACAATGATTTTATTGTTTTTGTTCAAATAACACATATTTATCATAAAAATTTAAGTAATATAGAAAAGCATAACGAAGAAAGTTAAAAAAAAAAAAATACACACACACACACACTATAAATCCCATTGCTCCGAGATAACCATCCCCCAACATTTGTAAAAAATATGATTCAGGAATCTATAGGTAGGTGAGTAGACAGAACAACAGAAACAATTTTATAAAAATAAAATCATTCTCTGCATACTATTTTAGATGTAAAAAGTTTAATATCATTTAACTTAAATTTAACAGTACAAAAACTGAAGCAAAACTTTTTTTTTTTTTTTTCCTAGATGAGGTTGCTCTGTCACCCAGGCTGGAGTATAGTGGTGTGATCGCAGCTCACTGTGGCCTCCACCTCCCAACCTCTGGAGTACCTGGGACTCTAGGTGCTCACCACCATGCCTGGCTAATTTTTTTTTTTTTTTTTTTTTTTGAGATGGAGTTTCGTTCTTGTTGCCCAGGCTGGAATGCAATGGTGCGAACTCGGCTCACTGCAACCTCTGCCTCCCAGGTTCAAGCAATTCTCCTGCCTCAGCCTCCCGAGTAGCTGGGATTACAGGCATGCGCCACCATGCCCAGCTAATTTTGTATTTTTAATGGAGACAGGGTTTCTCCATGTTGGTCAGGCCGGTCTCGAACTCCCGACCTCAGGTGATCCGCCTGCCTCAGCCTCCCCAAGTGCTGGGATTATAGGTGTGAGCCACTGCACCCGGCCTTTATTTTGTTTTATTTTTTGTAGAAATGAGCCCTGGCTATGTTGCCTGGGCTGATCTGCATCTCCAGGGCTCAAGCAATCCTCCTGCCTGGAATTACAGGCATGAGCCACTGTGTCCAGCCAGCAAAACTTAAAAATTACTAAATTGGCCAGGTGCTGTGGCTCACGCCTATAATCTCAGCACTTTGGGAGGCCGAGGCGGGCGGATCACCTGAAGTCAGGAGTCCAAGACCAGCCTTGCCAACATGGTGAAACATCATCTCTACTAAAAATACAAAAATTAGCTGGGTGTAGTGGCGGGCGCTTGTAATCCTAGCTACTGGGGGACTGAGGCAGGAGAATTGCTTGAACCCGGGAAGCGGAGGTTGCAGTGAGCCAAGATGGCGCCATTGCACTCCAGCCTGGGCAACAAGAGCAAAACTCCATCTCAAAAAAAAAAAAAAAATTACTAAATTGGCTGCTGCTTTATCACAAGATATAATAATTCTTAAGAGATTGATCTAGAAAAAAGACAATGCAAAACATTAGGAGATTAAATTTGCTTTTTTAAAAAAAGCCATGTTTCAATTTTAAGTGGTATCTATTGACTTCCTGCTACAAAAGATGAGGAATTACCCGCAATTGTACTTTAGCCCAATGCCTGACTCTACCTCTTGATTTTTACTACAGTTGACCCTTGAACAACACAGGTGGAAATTTATGAATCCACTTATTCATGGGTTTTCTTGCACCTCTGCCACCCTTGAGACAAGAAGTCTAACCCCTCCTCTTACTCCTCTTCCTCAGACTGCTCAAGGGGAAGATTACGAAGATGGAGACCATTATGATTTACTTCAACTTAATGAATAGTGAATATATTTTCTCTTCCTGATGATTTTCTTTCTGTTTTTTTGAGACAGAGTCTCTCTCTGTCACCCAGGCTGGAGTGCAGTGGCACGATTTTGGCTTACTGCAACCTCCGCCTCCTGGGTTCAAGCAATTCTCCTGCCTCAGCCTCCTGAGTAGCTGGGATTACAGGTGCGGGCCACCACACCCAGCTAATTTTTTATATTTTTGGTAGAGACGAGGTTTCACCATGTTGGCCAGGCTGGTCTCAAACTCCTGACCTCAAGTAATCCGCCCGCCTCGGTGTCCCAAAGTGTTGGGATTACAGGCGTGAACCACCATTCCTGGCCAATGATTTTCTTTTTCTTTTTTTTGAGACAGGGTCTTGCTCTGTCACCAGGCCGGAGTGCAGTGGCATGATGTTGGCTCACTGCAACCTCCGCCTCCCGGGTTCAAGTGATTCCTCTGTCTCAGCCTGCCAAGTAGCTGGGATTACAGGCACGTGCCACCACACCTGGCTAATTTTTTGTATTTTAGTAGACACAGGGTTTCACCATGTTGGTCAAGATGGTCTCTATCTCATGACCTCATGATCCAGCCGCCTCTGCCTCCCAAAGTGCTGGGATTACAGGCATGAGCCACTGCAGATTTTCTTAATAACATTTTCTTTTTCTAGCTTACTTTATTGTAAGAACACATAATATAATACATATAACCTCCAAAATATGTGTTAACCAACTGTTTATGTTATCAGTAAGGCTTCTGGTCAACAGTAGGCTATTAGTAGTTAAGTTTTGGGGGAATCAAAGGCTATATGTAGATTTTCAACTGTGCAGGGAGATCAGCACCCCTAATCCCCCCAATGTGCAAAGGTCGAGTGTATATTCCATTGTCAATGTTCCCCTCATTTCATTTTTTTCTAATTTTTATTAAAAAAATTTTTACAACATGCTATTAGTTACATATTTTATTATTTTTATTTAAAAATATTTTTAAATTATTTAAAAAATTTCTTGTAGGTACATAGTAGTTGTATATATTTAGGGGGTACATGAAAGGTTTTGATACAGGCATGCAATGTGAAATAAGCATATCATGGATAATGGGGTATGTATTCCCTCAGGCATTTATCCTTTGAGTTACAAATAATCCAGTTCCATTCTTTAAATTATTTTAAAAGTATACAATTACATTATTATTATATAGTTCCCATATTGTGCTATCAAGTCGTAGGTCTTATTCATTTTTTCTAATTTTTTTCTTTACCCATTAACCATCCCTGCCTCCCCCTCAACCCCTCACAACCCTTCCCAGACTCTGATAACCATCCTTCTACTCTCTATGTCCATGAGTTCAATTTATTTTGATTTTTAGATCCCACAAATAAATGAGAACATGTGATGTTTGTCTTTCTGTGCCTGACTTATTTCACTTCACATAATGATCTCCAGTTCCATCCATGTTGCAAATGACTGAACCTCATTCTTTTTATGGCTGAATACTACTCCATTGTGTATATGTACCATATTTTCTTTATCCAGTCATTTATTAATGGACACTTAGGTTGCTTCCAAATTTTAGCTATTGTAAACAGTACTGCAACAAACATAGGAGTGCAGATATCCTATGATTTCCTTTCTGTAGCAGTCTCACTGCTGGATCATAGAGTGGCTCAATTTTTAGTTTTTTGAGGAACCTCCAAATTGTTCTCCATAGTGGTTTTAGTAATTTACATTCCCACCAACAGTATACAAGGGTTCCCCTTTCTCCACATCCTGGCCAACATTTGTTATTGCTTGTCTTTTCCCTATAAGCCGTTTTAACTGGGGTGAGATGATATCTCATTGTAATTTTGATTTGCTTTTCTCTGATGATCAGTGATGTTGAGCACCTTTTCCTATGCCTGTTTGCCATTTGTATGTCTTCTTTTGAGAAATGTCTGTTCAAATCTTTTGCCCATTTTGGATCAGATTATTATATTTTTTCTTATGGAGTTGTTTGAGCTCCTTGTATATTCTGGTGATTAATCCCCTGTCTGATGGGTAGTTTGCAAATATTTTCTCCCATTCTGTGGGTTGTCTCTTCACTTTGTTGACTGTATACTTTGCTGTTCAGAAGCTTTTTAACTTGATGTGATCCCATTTGTCCATTTTTGCTTAGGTTGCCTGTGTTTGTGGGGTATTACTCAAGAAATCTTTGCCCAGACCTATGTCCTAGAGATGTTCCCCAATGTTTTGTTGTAGTAGTTTTGTAGTTTGAGGTCTTAGGCTTAGGTCTTTAATCCATTTTGATTTGATTTTTGTATATGATGAGAGATACGGGTCTAGTTTCATTCTTCTGCATATGAATATCCAGTTTTCCCAGCACCATTTATTTAAGAGATTGTCTTTTCCCCAGTGTATGTTATTGGCATCTTTGTCAAAAATGAGTTCGCTGTAGGTGTGTGGATTCGTTTCTCTCATCTCATTTTGTTCCCTACCCACACTTCTCACTGTTGTTTAGTTTTGGCTATATATATATATATTTGTTTTGTTTTTTGAGATGGGGTTTTTGCTCTGTCACCCAGGCTGGAGTGCAGTAGTGTGGTCTCGGCTCACTGCAACCTCCGCCTCCCAGGTTCAAGCAATTCTCCTGCCTCAGTCTCCCAAGTAGCTGGGATTACAGGCACCTGCCACCATGCCTGGGTACTTTTTTGTATTTTTAGTAGAGACAGGGTTTCACCATGTTGGCCAGGCTGGTCTTGAACTCCTGACCTCAGGTGATCCACCCACCTTGGCCTCCCAAATGCTGGGATGATAGGCGTGAGCCACCACACCTGGCTTGGCCCTATGTTTAATGGACTCAGTGCTCACCACCTCTATGTTACCCAGTGGTATGGATTAAATTGTGTGCTGTATCCCCACAACTGAGAAAAAGGTATGTTGAAGTCCTTACCCTCAGTACCTCAGAATAGGACCTTATTTTAGAAACAGGATTTTTACAGAGGTGATCAGATTAAAATGAGCTTAGTAGGGTGGGCCCTAATCTAATATGACTGGAAATTCGAACACAGGCATGCATGGAGGAAAGACTCTGAGAAGAGGCATAGGGAGGACACTGTGTGAAGATTGCAATTATGCTGCTGCAAGCCGAGGCCTGTCTGGGGCTGCAGAATCTGGAAGAGGCAAGAAAGGATTCTCCTTCATGATCCTCAGAGGGAGCGTGTCCCTGCTAACACCTTGATTTCTTACTTCTAGCTCCCAGCACTGTGAGACAATGACTCTGTTGTTCTAAGTCATCCAGTTTGTGGTCTTTTGTTATAGCAGCCCCAGGAAACTAATACACCCAGGTCCTGTACTGTAGAATCCATTTTGACTCATCTCTGGTTGGATAGATTTCATTCATAAGTTGTTTTTCAAGAAACGTTCATGGGTCCTTTATTCCCTGAGGTTTAGCATGCCTGAGAGTGTCTGTTTATTGCCTTTATACTTGAAGGATAACTAGGTGTGTAGAAAATCCTTGTGTCAATCAGAAATGACAAAGGAGATGTTACCACTGACCCCAGAGAAATAAAAATAACCATCAGAGACTACTACGAACACCTCTATGCACACAAACTAGAAAATGTGAAAGAGATGGATCCATTCCTGGGCACAAAAACCCTCCCAAGACTGAACTAGGAAGAAACTGATTCCCTGAACAGACCAATAATGAGCTCCAAAACTGAATCTGTAACAAATAACCTACCAACAAAAAAAATCCTAGGACCAGATAGATTCACAGCCAAATTCTACCAGATGCACAAAGAAAATCTGGTACCATTCCTACTGAAACTATTCCAAAAAACTGAGGAGGGACTCTTCCTCCACTCATTCTGTGAGGCCAGCATTATCCTGATACCAAAACCTGGCAGAGATATAACAACAAATAATAAACTTCAGGCCAGTATCCTTGATGAATATTGAATAAAGATCCTCAATAAAACATTGCACACTGAATCCAGCGGCACATCAAAAAGCTAATCCACAATGATCAGGCAGAAATAAAGCCTACTTGATCATGAATACCCCTACTTGTATACCCCTGTGTTACAAGGTTAGTTCAACATATGCAAATCAATAAATGTGACTCATCACATAAACAGAACTAGAGACAAAAATTACATGATAATCTCAATAGACGCAGAAGAGTCTTTCAATAAAATTCAACATCCCTTCATGTTAAAAACTCCCAATAAACTAGGTAATGAAGGAACATACCTCAAAATAATAAGAGCTATCTATGACAAACCCACAGCCAACATCATACTGAATGGGCAAAACCTGGAAGCATTCCCCTTGAAAACCAGCACAAGACAAGGGTGCCCTCTCTCCCCATTCCTAGTCAACATAGTATTGGAAGTCCTGGTCAGGGCAATCAGGCAAGAGAAAGAAAGAAACTGCATCTAAATAGGAAGAGAGGAAGTCAAACTATCCTCTTTGCAGATGACATGATTCTATATCTAGAAACCCCATAGTTGCAGCCCCAAAACTCCTTCAGCTGATAAATAACTTTAGCAAAGTTTTAGGATACAAGATTCATGTACAAAAATTACTAGCATTGCTATACACTAACAACAGCCAAACCGAGAGCCAAATCAGGAATGCAATCCCATTCACAATTGTGACGAAAATAATAAAATACCTAGGAATACAGCTAACTAGGGAGGTGAAAGATCTCTATAATGAGAACTACAAAACACTGCTCAAAGAAGTCAGAGATGACACAAACAAATGGAAAAACATTCCAGTTCTCATGGATAGGAAGAATCAATATCATTAAAATGGTCATACTGCCCAAAACAATTTATAGATTCAATGCTATTCCTATCAAACTACCAATGACATTTTTCACAAAACTAGAAAAAAACTGTTTTAAAATTCATATGGAACCAAAAAATAGCCCAAATAGCCAAGGCAATCCTAAGCAGAAAGAACGAAGCTGGAGGTATCACATTACCCAACTTCAAACTATACTACTGGTATAAACTATTTCTGGTTAATGGCTACATTAACCAGAAAAACATGGCGCTGATACAAAAACAGACATATAGGCCAATGGAACAGAATAGAGAGCCCAGAAATAAGGCCACACACCTACAACCATCTGATCTTCAACAAAACCGACAAAAGCAACAAGGAAAGGATTTCCTATTCAATAAATGGTGCTGGGATAACTGGTTAGCCATATGCAGAAGATTAAAACTGGCCCCTTCCTTACACCGCATACAAGAATCAACTCAATATCGATTAAAGACTTAAATGTAAAACCCAAAACTATAAAAACCCTGGAAGACAACCTAGGCAATGCCATTCTGGACACAGGAACAGGTAAAGATTTCGTGACAAAGATGCCAAAAGCAATCACAACAAAAGCAAAAATTGATGAATCTAATTAAATTGACGATCTAATTAAATGTAAGAGCTTCCGCACAGCAAAAGAAACTGTCAGCAGAGTAAACGGACAACCTACAGAATAAGAGAAAATTTTTGCCAACTATGCCTCCCACAAAGGTCTAATATCCAGCATCTATAAGGAACTTAAACAAATTTACAAGAAAAAAAACAACCTCATTAAAAAGTAGGCAAAGGACATTAACAGACACTTTTCAAAGGAAGACATACGTGGGGCCAACAAGCATGTGAAAAAAAAGTTCAGTATTACTGATCATTAGAGAAATGCAAATAAAAACGGCAATGAGATACCATCTTACACCAGTCAGAATGGCTGTTATTAAAAAGTTAATGCTGGGCGCAGTGGCTCACACCTGTAATCCCAGTATTTTGGGAGGCCAAGGCGGGTGGATCATGAGGTCAGGAGATCGAGACCATCCTGGCTAACATGGTGAAACCCCATCTCTACTAAAAATACAAAAAATTAGCTGGGCATGGTGGCAAGCGCCTGTAGTCCCAGCTACTTGGGAGGCTGAGGCAGGAGAATAGCTTGAACCTGGGAGGCGGAGGTTGCAGTGAGCTGAGATCTCACCACTGAACTCCAGCCTGGGCAACAGAGCAAGACTCCGTCTCAAAAAAAAAAAAAAGCAAAAAACGGTTAAAAAATAACAGATGCTGTTGAGGTTATGGAGAAAAAGGAACAGTTATACACTGTTAATGGGAATGTAAATTAGTTCAACCATTGTGGAAAGCAGTGTGGTGATTCCACAAAGAGCTAAAAACAGAACTATCATTCGACCCAGCAATCCCATTACTGGGTATACACCCAAAGGAATATAAATGGCTCTACCATAAAAAGACATGCATGCATATGTTCATTGCAGCACCATTCACAATAGCAAAGACATGGAATCAACCTAAATGCTCATTAATGGTAGACTCAATAAAGAAAATGTGGTACATATGCATCATGGAATACTACATAGCCACAAAAAAGAACAAGGTCATGTTCTTTGGAGAAACATGGATGGAGCAGGAGGCCATCATCTTTAGCAAACTAATGCAGGAGCAGAAAACCAAATACTGCATGTTCTCACTTATAAGTGGGAGCTAAATGATGAGAACACGTGGACACATAGAGGGGAACAATACACACTGGGGTCTACTTGAGGGTGAAGGGTGGAGGAGGGAGAGGAACAGAAAAAATAACTATTGGGTACTAGGCTTAGTGCCTGGGTGACAAAATAATCTGTACAGCAAAGCCCCATGACATGAGTTTACCTATATGACAAACTTGCACGTGTACCCCTGAACCTAAAATAAAAAGTTTTTAAAAAAGAAAATTCTTGTGCCATGTTTTCTTTCCTTTGGCACTTTAAAAATGTGGGTCCTCTGTCTTTTGGCATTGTGAAAAAACCTGAGGAAATTTGATCTGGTTTTTCCTTCGGTAAATGCTTTTCTACATGGTTAACCACATGAGATTTTCTTTGTCCTTGATGTTTCATAACTGCAGCAGGATATATCTTGATGTTGAACAGTCTATGTCAATTTTTCTTGGAACATCTATGCCCTTTTGATCAGCAGATTGAAATCATCCTTATTTCAAGAAAGTTTTATTATTTTTGAAATAATTTACACTTAATTTCTTTTATTCTCTTTTTTTCTGGAAGTGTTTATTCTCTGTCAGAAATGCTGGAGATCTCTTTTTTTTTTTTTTTTTTTTTTTGAGATGGAATCTCGCTCTGTCGCCCAGGCTGGAGTGCAGTGGCGTGATCTCAGCTCACTGCAAGCTGCTGGAGATCTCTTTTACCGGGCTCCCATAAGAATAGTAATTTTCTCTAGAATCATTAACAAGTCTTGAGATTTAGCTGTTGTTGTTTTTGTTGTTTTTTTTGTTTTTTTGTTTTTTTGTTTTTTGTTTTTGAGACAAGGTCTTGCCCTGCTACCTAGGCTGGAGTGCAGTAGGATTGACTCCCAAGTAGCTGGGACCACAGGCGTGTGCCTCCATACCCAGCTATTCATTTCGTTTTGTGTGATTTCCTGGTTTCTGCCCAACAGATATTGAACTAGAGTCAGTTTTTTTTTTTTTTTTTTAATTTGACAGTGTTTTGCTCTTGTTGCCCAGGCTGGAGTGCAATAGTGCCATCTCAGCTCACTGCAACCTCAGCCTCCTAGGTTCAAGCAATTCTCCTGCCTCAGCCTCCCGAGTAGCTGGGATTACAGGCATGTGTCACCACACCCGCTAATTTTGTATTTTTAGTAGAGACAGGGTTTCTCCATGTTGGTCAGGCTGGTCTCGAACTCCCGACCTCAAGTGATCTGCCCACCTCAGCTTCCCAAAGTGCTGGGATTACAGGCGTAAGCCACTGCACCTGCTGTCAGTTTTTTTAAATGGTTTTTTTTTTTTTTGTCTTCTAATGTAGCTTCCATCTCTTGTCACATTTTATTCTTCCATTTTTATCCTGAATTTATTAGCTTGCTTTTTATCTTCTGTCATTTTAGAATCTCTTCTTTGAATTCTTATGTCTTGTCTTTGCAGGCTTTTTCTAGAAATAGTGTTGTCTGAAATTTCTTTGAGAACATGGAGAATTTATCTGAACATATTTTCTGTTTCCTTGGGTAATTATTCTTGCGGTGTTTATTTTTTTATCAGCCTTTTGTGTATATTTCCTTCCTCTGCAATTTCTATGTGTAAGTCCAATATGGTTCCCTGTTGGTTATTGTTTGTCTTTGAATGGGATCCACTACTGGCTGAATAGCAGTATGAGGAGTGGAGAAAGAGCTAGGGGTGTTGGAGAGAATCTAGGATCCTTCAGCTTCAATAGGTTTTGTTATCTCAAACACCCTTTCAGTTACTTCCTTTTTCTTGGGGGTCATCTCCCCACAGCTTTTGGTGTTCAGGAAGTCCATGTGACCTAGACTTACAGGTCCATGGGTGCAACCTGGTGGTCCCACCTCCACATCCTCCTTCCCCACTCATCCTTCCCCATGACTGCCTTTCTGGAGGCGAGGTTAGCAAGGTAGTTCCTGCAGGCCCCCCTTCCCTGCCATTCTGCAGTGCCTGTCAGCTCTCTACAGGACTTCCCCAGTCTCTGGGGACCAGCCTGTGCTACCGTATTGCTGAGATATTAATAGATTCCAAGCATTATCAGCGAAGCTTCTATCACAGATTTTTGGAGTAATCTGTGTCCTACCCTGGGTCCAAGGAGGCACCTGGCATCTCTTTCCTGTTACAGTTCCCATCTTACAGTAACAGCAGGTTTGCTTCATGGGCTCTGGTTTGGTGCTGTAGTTATTTGTCTCATTGAAAATGGAGGCCTTGGCCAGGCGCAGTGGCTCACGCCTGTAATCCCAGCACTTTGGGAGGCCGAGGTGGGTGGATCACGAGGTCAGGAGTTCGAGACCAGTCTGGCCAGCATGGTGAAATCCTGTCTCTACTAAAAATACAAAAAATTAGCCGGGCATAGTGATGCACGCCTGTAGTCCCAGCTACTCGGGAGGCTGAGGCAGGAGAATTACTTGAACCCAGCAGGCGGAGGTTGCAGTGAGCCGAGGTCACGCCACTACACTCCAGCCTGGGTGCCAGAGTGAGACTCCATCTCAAAAAAAAAAAAAAAAAGAAAAAGAAAGAAAACGAGGCCTCTTCCCCTATTTTTCATTTGTAGTGCTGTGATCAGTAGGCTTCATAATGGGAGAGTGGAGTAAATATTTTAACAGGAAGTCTTTTGTTTTGAAAGGCTAATTGATATTAATTAATCTATTTATGGCCTGGGAATATTTACCTTTGTTATGTTTTTATGTGAATATACTATAAATTATAAATAGGAACATTATTTTTGTGCTTGTTTATATTCTATTTCTCCTACTTTCTTTCTTTTTTTGTTTTTTTTTTTGAGATGGAGTTTTGCTCTTGTTGCCCAGGCTGGAATACAACGGCACAATCTTGGCTCACTACAACCTCTGCCTCCTGGGTTCAAGCGATTCTCCTACCTCATCCTCCTGAGTAGCTGGGATTACAAGCATGCGCCACCATGCCCAGCTAATTTTGTATTTTTAGTAGTGACGGGGTTTTTCCATGTTGGTCAGGCTGGTCTCAAACTCCCAACCTCAGGTGATCCGCTCACCTCAGCCTCCCAAAGTGCTGGGATTACAGACATGAGCTACCGCACCCAGCCTTCTACTTTAGTTTTAAAAGTGTAGTTGGTCATGAACTGCACTCCTTAGTTTCTGTTTGTTTCTTTTCAAAATAAGAATGTCTTCATAACTTTTTATTTATTTATTTATTTATTTATTTATTTATTTATTTATTTAGTTTTTTGAGACAGGGTCTCACTCTGTCACCCAAGCTGGAGTGCAGTGGCGCGATCTCGGCTCACTGCAACCTCTGCCTCCTGGATTCAAGCGATCCTGCCACCTCAGCCTCCCAAGTAGCTGGGATTACAGGTGCATCCCACCACATCTGGCTAATTTTTGTATGTTTTGGTAGAGACGGGTTTCACCATGTTGGCCACGCTGGTCTTGAACTCTTGACCTCAGGTAATCTGCCTGCCTCCCTAGAATGCTGGGATTACAGGCGTGAGGCATCACCCCTGGCCATAACTTTTTTATTATAAAAATAACACGTGCTCATTATAAAACAGTGAGCAACACTAAAAAGAAAAATCACAGTGAAAGCCATTGAAATGCCACCATCTGTACATAATTGCTATTAAGTTTGTGTGATAATCTTTTGAGACATTTTCTATGTATACAACAATGTGTCAATAATTTGAGAAAATGAAATCATATATGCTTCTTTGTAAAGGTTTTGTTTTATTATATAAGTACTACATGAACACATTAGCATTGAAAAAAATTCAAAGGAGGCAGACAAGCTCTCGCTTAATTTCCCTTCATCCTCTTTCCTTTCTTTGGGAAAATCACTTGTCTCAGATTTCCAGGCCTTTTTTCTATTCATTTACATACACATTTGTAAACACATAGAAACATATACAATTTTTTTTTAACATTTTTGAGACACAGTCTTGCTTTGTCACTCAGGCTGGAGTGCAGTGGCACAATCATGGTTCACCGCTGCCTTGACCTCCCAGGCTTAAGTGATCCTCCCACTTCAGCCTCCTAAGTAACTGGGATCACAGGCACACACCACCATGCCCAACTAATTTTTAAATTTTTTGTAGAAACAGGGGTTTCACTATGTTACCCACGGTGGTCTCGAACTCCTGGGATCAATGTTTCTCCTGCCTAGGCCTCTGAAAGAGCTGGGATTACAGGCATGAGCTACTGTGCCTAACCACATATACAGTTTTTTAAAAAAACATATATTAGATCACTGAATATGATTGAATTTCTTATTCAGTATATTTTTGGTTACTATTGAGAAGGGGATCTAATTTTATTTATTTATTTTTGAGACAGAGTCTCGGTCTGTCGCCCAGGCTGGAGTGCAATGGTGCAATCTCTGCTCACTGCAACCTCCACCTCTCGGGCTCAAGTGATTCTCCTGACTGAGCCTCCCAAGTGTCTGGGATTACAGGCACATGCCACCACACCCAGCTAATTTTTTTTGTATTTTTAGTAGAGATGGGGTTTCACCATGTTGGCCAGTCAGGTCTCAATCTCCTGACTTCAGGTGATCCACCCGCCTCGGCCTCCCAAAGTGCTGGGATTACAGGCATGAGCCACTGGGCCCAGCAGGGATCTTATTTTTAATTAAAATTTCTAATCATTTTAAAGGAATTGAATTGTGTTTTGAGTATACACTATCTTATATTCATCTACTTTGCTCAACTGTTTTATTAATTCATATGAATTACAACCTCTGCCTTGGATTTTTAAAGTTCCCAATTATGCTTTTAATACTGATATTTCTTGCATATTTTGTTCTAATATTTATTTTCCAGCACCATATTTAAGTAACAGGGGTGATGTAGAGATGTGATTTTCAACTTTAAGATGTGAGTGCATCAAACTCACCTGGAGAGCTGGTTTGGGATAAACTTGACCAAAGATGGGCAAGACCTGTACATTGAAAACTACAAAACATTGCTGAGAGAAATTAAAGAACCAATATGTGAAAAAATACTATGAATTCATGGATCAAAAGACTCAGTATTGTTATGATGTCAGTTGTCTCCATATTCATCTGCTGTTTCAGTGCAATCCCAATCAAAATCCCAGAAGTTTCTTTGTAGAAATTGAAAAACTGATGCTAACATTTGTCCGTAAATTCAAAGAACCTGGAATAGCCAAAACAACTTTGGAAAAAAAAAAGTTGGAGGACTAACACTACCTGATTTCAGACTAAAAATCAAGCTACAGAAATCAAGACAGTGTTGTATTGCTGTAAAAACTGACAAATAGATACCACAACAGAACAGAACAGAGTCCAAAAATAGACTCATACATATATGGTCAATTGATTTTCAACAAAGTTGTCAAGGCAATTCAATGAAAAAAAGGATAATTTTTTTAAACAAATGGTGCCAGAAAAATTGAAGAGATATATGCAAAAAACAAATCTCAATCTTTACCCTACACTATACATAAAAATTAAGATGAAAGACAGGATAGACTGGGGAACTGGTTGAAGAAGACTAAGGAGACACAGCAGTGGATGCAATATGAGATCCTGGATTGGCTCTTGGAACAGAAAAGTACATTGTGGGGAAACTGGCAAAATTTAAATTAAGTCTGTAGCTTAGTTAATAAATGTTGATTTCTCGGTTTTGATAATTGTACTATGGTTATATAAGTTGTTAACATTAGGGGAAGCAGGATGAAGGGTATATGTGAATACTTGGTACTGTATTTGTGGCTTCTTTTCAAAGCTAAATTTATTTCAACATAAAGCTTCTTAAAAATTAATTTTAAGGCTGGGCACAGTAGCTCTCACCCATAATCCCAGCATATTGGGAGACCAAAGTGGGTGGATCACCTGAGCTCCGGAGTTCGAG
This sequence comes from Homo sapiens, assembly GCF_000001405.40. Classification (NCBI taxonomy): domain Eukaryota; kingdom Metazoa; phylum Chordata; class Mammalia; order Primates; family Hominidae; genus Homo; species Homo sapiens. Next base: position 62,402,551 of record NC_000002.12, read on the forward strand.
ACCAGCCTGGGCAACATGGCAAGACCCTGTCTCTACAAAAAATACAAAAAATTAGCTGAGCATAGTGGCATGTGCCTGTGGTCCCAGCTACTTGAGAGGCTGAGGTGGGAGGACTGCTTGAGCTTAGGAGACAGAGGTGGCAGTGAGCCACGATTGCACCACTGCGCTCCAGCCTGGGTGACAGAGCAAGACCCCATCTCAAAAATAATAATAATAATTAATTTTAAGTGGAAAATAGACCTAAATTCAAAAATTAAAATTTCTAAAATAAAATTTAGTAGAAAATCTTAGTAGCCTTGAGTTTGGCAAGACTTCTTAAATATGATGTACAAGAGGCATAAATTACAAAATAGACAAACTGGACTTCATCAAAATTTAAGACTTTTGCTCTTCAAAACACATGGCTACAAAAATAAAAAGGCAAGCCAATGACTGGGAGAAAATATTTGCCAAGTATATATCTGACAAAAGACTAGAATATTTGAAGAGCTAGAACATATGTATTTTGTTTGGCTCAGACAGTATTTAAAGATTATTTTGAAAAGATTATGAGCTTTCTCTTTTTAAGGATAAGAGCTTTAGCTTTTTATTTTTTATTTATTTAATTTATTTATTTATTTTTATTTTTTTAATTTTTATGTATGTATGTATTTATTTATTCCTGAGATGGGGTCTCCCTTTGTCACCCAGGCTAGCATCTTGGCTCACTGCAACACTTGCCCCCAGGGCTCAAGCAGTCCTCCCACCTCAGCCTCACAAGTAGCTGGGATTATAGGCACGTGCCACCATACCTGGCTAAGTTTTGCATTTTTTGTAGAGATGGAGTTTTGCCCAGGCTGGTCTCAAACTTCTGGACTTAAGCAATCCACCCACCTCAGCCTCCCAAAGTGCTGGGATTGCAGGTGTGAGCCACCACACCTGGCCTATTTATTTATTTTTTTGAGGCAAGGTCTTGCTCTGTTGTCCAGGCTGGAGTGTACTGGTATGATCATGACTCAGTGCAGCCTCCACCTCCTGGGCTGAAACAATCCTCCCACCTCAGCCTCCTAAGTAACTAGGCCTACAGGTGTATGCCACTCACCCAGCTAATAGTTTTATTTTTATTTTGTAGAAATGGAGTCTCACTATGTTGCCCAGGCTGGCTTTAGCTTTTTAGATCCAAATATGAATGTACAGGAAATACAGAAGACAGGAGAGCATGTTAAATGTCACCAGCAAAATCCAGACCGTGGAAAACTCTGTAGGACAAAAGGCCTAGCTTCTTTAACAAATACATTGCAAGGGAAAAAATGGTGGGAGCACAGACCTACAGGTTAAAGAAGACTTAAAAATATACCAGTCACTCTCAAGGTGTGGGCTGGGTTTAGATCCTGTTTCAGACACACTATACAAAGTAAAATAATATTAAATAAACATTTTTTGAGAAAATTATAAATTTTAACACTACAGGCTATTTGATGGTAAGAAATTATTGAAATTTTATTTAGTTATTATATGTGTCATGGTTAGAAATAAGAGTTCTATGCTGGGCGTGGTGGCTCACGCCTGTAATCCCAGCACTTTGGGAGGCTGAGGCGGGTGGATCACCTGAGGTCAGGAGTTTGAGACCAGCCTGGCCAATGTGGTGAAACCCCATCTCTACTAAAAATACAAAAATTAGTTGGGTGTGATGGTGGGTGCCTGTAATCCCAGCTACTCAGGAGGCTGAGGTAGGAGAATTGCTTGAACCCAGGAGGCAGAGGTTGCAGTGAGCCGAGATTGTGCTACCACACTTATGCCTGGACGACAGAGCAAGACTCCATCTCAAAAAAAAAAAAAAAAAAAAAAAAAAAAAAGATAAAGAAAAAGAAAGAAAAGAAAGAAGAGTTCTTTAGCTGGGCATGGTGGCTTGTGGCTCACGTCTGTAAACCCAGCACTTTGGGAGGCCAAGGTAGGCAGATCATGAGGTCAGGAGATTGAGACCATCCTGGCCAACATGGTGAAACTGCATATCTACTAAAAATGCAAAAATTAGCTGGGAGTGGTGGTGCGTGCCTGTAATCCCAGCTACTGAGGAGGCTGAGGCAGGAGAATCACGTGAACCCGGGAGGCGGAGGTTGCAGTGAGCTGAGACCGCACCATTGCACTCCAGCCTGGCAACAGAGAGAGAGACTCCATCTCAAAAAAAAAAAAAAAAAAGAAAAGAAAAAAGAAAAGAAATATGAGTTCTTATCTTTACAAGAAAATGATGAATTGGATTTACTTCAACATAATTCTTAATGAAGGGAAGTAGGTGGGGTTGTAGATGAAACAAAATCGGCCATAGTTGACAATTGTTGAAACTTGGTGGTGGATGCACGGGGATTCATTATATTCTTTTGCTTATTTTTAAATATGTTTGAAGTTTTCATTAATTTTGTTTTTTGTAAGCCTTTAGCAGCTAATAATAACTTATTTTTTAAGGGGAACTTCCTCAAAAAAATTCTGATTTTAGATTCTCTTGAAAAAAATGGAAAGATGTGGTAACGCTAGGCCAGCTTCCACAGTGCAACAACCAGCCAGAGTTGAAAAGGATCACGAGGAAGGCCTGATGCAGCCACAATCCTGACCACTCCCGGGGGCACTTCCACCTGGCCCGCTCCTGTGTCTACACTACCCACCTCAGCCTTTAAGTGTTGGGGTCCCAATCCTGATATGGACTGCCTCACATTCCTCCTAGCACTCTCCTAAACCCAGCCCAAGCCCTGTCGTTCAAGTGGGGCTAGCACAAGGAGGGTTGCCTGCTCTTCCTCAATTTTTCATGCTTTTTCCCAGATCTTTTCTTCTGTGCCATGGATCCTTTTTGGTCCCCCAAGAATCTAGGGTTTTAAAACTCAAAAGCCAGAAAGAAACACTTCTCTCTCCTGCCTCCTGCTCTCTGCCATTATGTGCCTTCCCTGAGGGAGTGAGAACAGAACAGGCTGAGACTTTGGGGAAACAGGCAGGGATGGGAAGGAAAACCAGGAGAGTGTGGTTAAGATGTAGCTGTAGAGCTTATACCTATCAGATTGGCAAATATTAAAAACTTGGATAATATCAAGTACTGCCAAAGGTGAAGGAAAACAGAAACCCTCTGGGAATGTCATCCAGTATAACCTTTCTGGGAAGAAGTTTAGAAATAGTAAGAGAAACTAAATACAGACAGATCTTCCCACCCAGCAGTTCCATCCACTCCTAGATACTGAGCCCAGAGAAACTCTTACAAAACATGTAAGAGGATGTCCATTGCAGAATTGTTTGTAATAGGGACGATTTGAAAATACCTAGAAATTTACTAATAGGAAAATAGATAAAATGTGTTATATGCAAATGATGATAATAATTCAGCAGATAAAAGGAATGCTCTGGTCACATCCACTTGGATCAATCTCAAAAACATAACTTTGACTGGAAAAGGGTGAGAAGCAGAATGAGATGTATACCAAAGACCACTTACACATATTTTTATTTATTTTATTTATTTTATTTTATTTTTTTTTGAGACGGAGTCTCGCTCTGTCACCCAGGCTGGAGTGCAGTGGTGCGATCTTGGCTCACTGCAACCTCTGCCTCCCAGGTTCAAGCGATTCTCCTGCCTCAGCCTTCCGAGTAGCTGGGATTACAGACGTGTGTCACCACGCCTGGCTAATTTTTTGTATTTTTAGTAGGGACGGGGTTTCACCATTTTAGCCAGGATGGTCTCGATCTCCTGACCTCGTGATCTGCCCGCTTTGGCCTCCCAAAGTGCTGGGATTACAGGCATGAGCCACGGTGCCCGGCCCACATATTTTAAAAATATGCGCAAAATAACACCAATCTCAGACCTGCGTGCAAATCAAACTACAGATTGGGAGGGAAGACACACAAAAATCACGGGAATGGGTCCTGTGGTAAGAGGAGAAAAACGAGATTGGGGATGGGCTGAAGGGGGCCAAAAAATAAGGTTAACTAAAATACAATTGAGTCCAGCGCATACCAACAAAGACGCCATGCCTTGAACCAAGAAGTATGGCTAATTCATTTTGGGCACATGAAGTCTTTGCAAGCAGAAAAAAACTAAACCAAAACAATACATCAGTTAATGTTTAACAGAAGTGGAAACAGAACTCAAGGGAGTGGCTGTGGCTACCCAGAGGTCTAATATGCACCCAGAGGTGGCAGAGGTTGGTCACTGTGAGGTTTGGATAGTGAGGGCAGAGGGTGGCCTCAGGCAACTCCAGGGGAAATCAGGTGACCCGGAACCTTCAGTCCCTGGTGATTACTTCTAAAAGACTGATCTCATTCTGGGGTGACCCCATGTCATGGCCTTGAGTCACTTTACTCACAGAAATTCGGTCTTCCTGAGGCACTGCTGACTGCTTTCAGGGAACTTGATGGTCACAAGATTTTCCCACAAAGATTGTTACCATGGGGTGCTTTCCATCTGTTATTAACCTCAGGTTTCTCCAGCAAAGTCAGCATATCCTGGGAACACAGACTCCTCCCGTCCACTTTTGTTGCCTGCTTTCAGTAACCAAAAGCTGTTTCTCAAACGGCATGTTATAGAACTCAGACTAGGACTGTGCAGCTTATTTTTCACATGGCGGGGACGGGGGAAGTGGTTCTAGCTAACAGCTCTGGTAATGCTTGAAGTCCCACTCTTGGGGAATGAAGGGGAGAAAGATAGATGATGAGTTATTTTCTGTCTCCTGAATCCATCCTTCTCTTCCTTCCTCTTCTCCCTCCTTTCCTTCTCAAACATATATTTACTGCTGAGTACACAACAGGCACTGTGCTAGGCACCATGTGATTTGAGTCTGACATTATCACCTGCCCTCAAGGAGGTTAAAATCTAGTGGGGAGGAAGCAATGATATCAAGCATGATGGAAGCGTAAGGATGCTTTGAGACACGGAGGCAGACAGCTGCATCTGATGGGAAGGTGTCAGAGACAGCTTGGAGGTGGAGCACCTTGAGCTGAGTCTGGAGGAACATAATGGAGTCAAGAAGAATGGGAGGAACCGGGAGAGGTATTCCTGCTGGAGAGGACAGCGTGGGCACTGGCTGGGAGCATGAAACAGCGTGAATCACTGGGAGGCTGACTGTAGTTCATCATGTCTAGGTTTGGTGCTCAGGACTGAACTCAGGCCCTATCTTCTCCCTGAAGCCTGCAGCAGGTGCCCCACCCCATCAAGTTCCAGCCCCCACCGCCCCCCAGCTCCACCTACTGACAGTCGCTTGTTTCCCTTCTGTTCTTTCTCTTAGGAATTTTTTTGGTGTGAAGTCTTCCTTTCCCAGTCTTAGAGAGGGTCCCAAGAGGCCAATGCTTCTCCCACCCAGTGCTCAGAGCTCTTATTCCACCATGGGGATGTCTTGCCCGATTCTGAGTGGGTACAGTGTTCACCGAGGAGGCAGGCTGAGGCAGTTGGTAGCAGCACTGAATCCCACCCCAGCCCATTGGGTTTTCAGTCTGAGGGGCTTCTCCAGTGTGTGCCTGAGCCTGGCTGACACCTGGGCCAGTACGCAGGTGAACATTCTTCTGGGAGGGGAACTGAAAGCCTGTTGTAGCCAGTTTCTCAGTGATCCTGATCTCCTGGTTTTCAGGCCCTTGAATGGTCTCCTGCCACATTGCATCAGGGTCGGTCTGCATGGCCCACAAGTACAGCAGAAGTGATGGCATATGCCTTCGAGGCTAGCTTAAGAAAGACACGGTGATTAGCCTGCATTAGTTTCTGCCTTGGGCTGCTCACTATGGAAGCCAGCTGCTGTGTTGTAAGGATGTTCACGCAGCCCTCTCAGAGGTCCCAGAGGTGAGGAACTGACGCCTCCTGCCAACAGCCATGTGAGGACCCATCTTGGACGTGAATCCTCCCGCCTCATATCAAGCCCTCACGTGACAGCAGCTCTGCTTAATATCTTGACCGCAACCTCATGAGAGACCCTGAACCAGAACAACTCACCTTAGTCGCGTCCAAATTCCTGACTCTAAGTTACCATTAGAGATGACACACGTTTTGCTGTTGAGGCTGCTGTTTCAGGGCAATTTGTTACATAGCAATAGATAACTCATGCAAAGCACTTGGCAACTCTAAGTGGTTTTTCCCACTGCGTGTTTGGGGAGGCTTCTGGACTGGGGTTTTGCCTCCTCTGCCAGACAGGAAATATTAGGGTTCCCAAAAGATCACAGCAGCTCACTCAACAGCTCCTTCCCTCGCTCCTTCTCTCTTCCCAGCAAATTGAAGGTACTTCCCTTTAAGCAACCAAAATCCAACAACAGATGCTTCAACAATAGATGCAAAAAGAAATCTGAATTGGGGGAGGGTGAGAAAAGAAAAATAAGAAAAAAGGGAAGAAAAAGATCCATCCCTGTGAGGTCTGAGAATAAAAGAAGGAAAAGGAAAAGAAAAAAAAAAAAAAAGAAATCACCAGTGAACCCCTACCTGGCTAAAACAGAGTTTTCTCCTCATCTCCACCCCCAGAGGTCTCCAGTCAGGGAGGTGACTGGCCTTGGGCACTGGTACATTCCCAAACACTATGTAAACAAGCCCCATCAGACCCTTCCAGCCTCCGAAGCTGTCATTGCCTCCCTTTTGCTAAGTTGGTATTTAAACCTTTACCTCTGGCTGTACAGCAAGGTACTTATTACCGAGTGCTCCCACATATGAATAGACCTCGTCTTTTTTCCCGTTCGTATGTCTATTGTGAGTCATTTCACAAACCCCCTCCTCAAACCTAAGTTGGTAGAGGAAAAGACTTTTCTCCCAGCACCCTCAAGTCAAAGAAATTCCCAGGGGCTGTCAAGTGAGAAGTTCTGGAGCCCACTGCACTGAGTATTCTCTCTGGTCAAAATGAACTTTCCTAAGAACAACCACCTCCAATAGGGGAGATGCTGCAGGGACCCCAGATACACCCACCACACCCAGATACAAATGGCCAGAGGCCCTTGGAAACACAGCTCCTGGACCTTAGGTCATAGCTGAGGCACCCTCTGACATACACAACGCTGCATCATCGCCTGGTCTGCAGCAGCTTCTTTTTGGGTTTTGGCTTCTTTAACAAACACTTAGTGCTTGCTATGAGTCAGGCTCTCTTCTAAGTATGTTAGAAATATGAAGTCATTTAATCCTCACAACAACCTGCCTAGGAAGGTATTTTTACAGATAAGGATCCTGGGGCACAGAGAGGTGAAACAATTTGCCCAAGGCCACACAGTGCATGAGTGGCAGGGCCAGCCTGGCTCCATGCTCTGCCCTGAGATGAGAATGGACCCAGGGTCCATTTAGTGAGCATTCTGTGCCACCAGGGCACTGTTTCTTGGCCAGCACTCCTGGGGCTGGACAGGGTTGTGTATGTTGGTTTGGGCTGGGGGGAATCCAGGGGTCCATGTCCAAGCAGGGCATCAGCTCTTGAGGAAGCAAGGCCATGGCCTTACTAGAGAGAACTTCGTCTTCCAGGGCCAATCTCCACAGTCAGCTGAGGGTCTGCCTGAGCCCTGCCCAGGGTAGGAGGGGCTCTTGTGCGCAGGCTCATACCTGCTTCCTCACCCCTGCCAGGTTTGCCCCTATGTTTCCCACCTTCCTGGACCAGTGCCCCTCAACTAAGGGCAGTTTTGTCCCCCAGAAGACATCTGACAATGTCTAAAGGCATTTTTGATAGTCATGACTAGAAGGCTGCTACTGGCATCTAGTGAACAGAGGCCGGAGATGCTGCGAAACAGCCTACAATGCACAGAACAAAGCCTCACCACAAAGAATGGTCTGTCAGTAGTGCGGCGGTGAGAAGCCATGATCTAGGCCCACCTCACGGCATCCTTAAGGCTGAGAACCCCTCCCGTGTGATCTGTGTCTTGTTACAGCAGGGGTCCAGCGTCCTTGGAGGGCCACACCCATCCTCACTTTGGCGTCTCCCAGAGGCTACAACAGAAAGTGAAGGACTCAGTTTGTACTGCAGCCTCAAGTTCTTGGAAATAAAATAAGGATGTTGAGGTCCTGGTAAATGTGGTGGCCATTATTTTGCATCAGGCTCTGTGCTGAGCACTTTATATATTTTATCTTATGTCATTCTCATAAGCCAGTCTGTGATGCTATTATTATCCTTCTTTTATAGATTGGGAAACTGAGGCTTTAAAAAAGTAGCTTGCTCAAGGTCACACAGCTAATAAACCTGGTGACAGTCTGCTTTCTAGCCTAACCAGGCCCTGGTATACATACTTAGGAAAGTAAACATGGTAAATGCCCAGGGAGAGCCCACTCTTGGCCTGGCTTATGTCCTCCCCTGGGATCAGCACCCCTCACTCCACAGCACAGTTGCAGCTGAAGCTCTCAGGGCCAGCTAATTCTCTTCCCCTCTCTGGTTCTTACAGAAGGAAGGGGAAGAGTACAGAGAAGCAAGAGTAGGGTTAATTTTTGTGCAGGGACAGTTAAGACAGAGAGGAAGGGGCAGGGAAGAGATGGACAAGGGAGGGAGGCCTGGGAGCTTTTTATTATTTATTATAGCAGGGGAAAGAATGGGAGGTTTGTTTCTAAGCCATAAATACTCTCCTTTGATCCCTGTGTCTATCAGAGATAAATTAGTCACTCTTAGGCCTCAGAAATTAATGACTGTCCTAATGATCACCCTAAGTGACCTTGCAGCATTCCTAATTCTCACCACTCCCTGCAAAGTAGCTGTGTCAGGGTTTGGCAAGGTTTGGGGATGAGGCAGGACTGAGCGGGATGAAGGTGTAATTTCATTCCTCAGCCCCAGCCTCACTTTGCAGAGATGAAATTGGCCTCTACTCCTAAGGCCAGAGAACAGTCAGAACCAGATCCCAACTTCTGGGCTCTGCCCTCCCTGGCTTTGCTTCAAGCACAGGGATGGGGAGCACTGCGTAAGGAAGCTTCAGGGCCCTGTGGAATTCTGACCTGGGAGAGGGTGGATCCCCTAGGGGTGTGCAGGCCTGCGAGGGGCACCTGAAAGCAAGAGGGCATTTGGATCAGGTTAACATCTGACCTCTCAGCAGGCCCTGCCCATTCAGACTGGGGAAGAGCTTTGAAGTTTCCTTTGTGTGATGTTTTCATGGCCCTGATCCTACTGTACTGGAATTAGCCCGAGGCCCTGCCCCTTCCCTGGAGATTTGTTCCCCAACTGCAAAAGTCTTAGAAAAATACCGCAAGCTCCACCCACCATCCCCACACCACTGAATGCTTTTTCCTTAGGCTAAAATACCAGGGAGGAAAAGGCCTCAGAACCCCCACCAGGAGACATTCTGTGCGTGTTTACAGTTTCTCAAGTGGAAAGCAAGGACCCCTGGAACCAGATCTGAGGGCAGGTGCTTCCCAGATAAGCATGTTATGGGGTGGGGAGGATGGAGTAAGGGAGGGAGAAGCAAGATTGTCCCTGGAGGCTTCCCAAGCCACGGGCCAGGTCCAGAACAGCAAGGCTGTGGGTTCTGGCCAGAGAGAAGAGGAAGCTGGTGAAGCCAGGCCTTCCGGCCGTGCTCAGTGAGCAAACCATTGTGCCTAGTGTGGCCAAATATCCATCTCGGGGATCTCTCTCTGAGCACCAATGGCTTCTCCTATACTATTGCTCAAGTCCACCATAAAAGCAGTGTTTAAAAACGAAGGGAGAGGAAGACAAAAGAGAGGAAAGCGGAGAGAGAAACGGGAGGAGACGGAGAGAAGCAAGGAATCCCAAACTAGACTGCTAGATTCTGCTAGATTCGGCTTTTCAGAGTAAAGACTCTGAGCAATAGTGCCATCTTGTGGCTATGAGTAGGAATTACAATTAGTTTTCTCTCTCTCTCTCTCTCTCTCTCTCTCTCTCTCTCTCTCTCTCTCTCTCTCTCAATCTCTCTCCCCCCCTCCCTCCCTCCCTCTCTCTCTCTCTCTCTCTCTCTTTCTCTCCCCCTCCCTCCCTCCCTCTCTCTCTCTCTCTCTCTCTCTCTCTGTCGTCTACTCATGGTGTTTGCAACTGCAGGGGCACAAGCCATGGATTTTGTTTCCACCCGAGACAATTGCCTCTCCCCCGACACCTACACCCCAAACTACTCCAGACTCTGCACCCTCTTCTACACACCTCTGGGGTGAGTCCACATTTGCCCAGTAGAAATACCTGCTATCTGATGTTTGACTCAACTCTAAGACTCATTCAACAAATATTTATTGTGCTTTTATTATGTGCCAGGCACTGTCCTAAGATCTGCGGACCTGACTATAAATAAAAATGTCTCCTTTCATGCACTTTACATTTTAACTAGGGAGGCAAATATTAAACACATACATGTAAAATATAATGGGATGTAGTAACAAGTGCAATAAAGGAAAATAAGGCAGGGGATTCAGGGCTATTTCAGATAGGGTAATTGATGAGCTACAACTTTTTTTTTTTTTTTCAGAGATAAGGTCTTGGTGTGTTGCCCAGGCTGGTCTTGAACCCCTAGCCTTAAGCAGTCCTCCTGCCTCAGCCTTCCAAAGTGCTGGGATTACAGGTGTGAGCCACTGTGCCTGGTGCAGTCGCAACTTTTATCAGCACAGATATCTGCTAATATCTGTGCAAAGGCATAGATGAGGTGAGGGAGTAGGGCAGGTGAGTATCTGAGGGAAAAAGGACCTACAAACACAAAGACCAAAGCCGTCTGTCTGGATCTTCCCTGAGATGTGACTCCAGAGTAGCAGCCAAAGAATATGACACTCAGGAAGTCATCTAGGGTTCGAGGTGCTAAAGCCAACTTTTTTCTTTTTCCTTTTTTGAGACAAGGTCTTTCTCTGTTACCCAGGCTGGAATGCAGTGGCGCAAACACGGCTCACTGCAGCCTTGATCTCATGGACTCAATTGATCCTCCCACCTCAGCCTCCCTAGTAGCTGGGACTACAGGTGGGTGACCCCATGCCCGACTAATTTTTGTATTTTTTGTAGAGATGATTTTGCCATGTTGCCCAGCCTGGTCTTGAACTCCTGGACTCAAGTGATTCACCCGCCTTGGCCTCCCAAAGTGCTGGGATTGCAGGTGTGAGCCACCATACCCAGCCTAGAGCCAACATTTCTCTTTTTTTCTATGCTTAGCATCCAAAGCTATCTTTATCAAAATCCACCTGCTAAAGCCCCCGCTAGGACAGCATGTGGGGAGGCTCTAGGCCATTCTGGATTCAGGACCTTCTGGCTCCATTCTGAATACAAAAGCTGACTTTTGACGTGAGAAATCTGACACACTCTTCACTCTCTGAGCCCAGGATTTTCTTTGCCAAAGAGCTGGGCTTCTTTCTGTAGCCAGTGGTGATCCCACAAGCTTGCCTTTGCTTATATCAAAGACTCCAGATCTCCAGTTGAATGTCTCCACCAAGACATCAGAGTTGAAATTAAAAAGAGCATTTCTTTCAGAGAATAAGCCCAAGCTTTGGAGATCTGGTTTGTACCCAGTCCCTGTTCCAGGCCAGCCTGCTCTGTCCCTTGCTCATTTAATTTTCTAGGTTAACAAACAGAGCAAAGTTTCCAGGTGTGCTTGCAGAATATCACCTGGAACATTATTTGGAGGAGAGAGGCAGGGTGCTGAGCTTTTTCTGAAGCTTTTTCTGAAGGCTTATATTCTGTAGGTCAGGGAGCCAGTTACTTACAAGTAAAACTGTCCCCAACAAGATTGCTCTATCAGGGCCCATTTGGGGTTGGCTTTTCTAGCATATGAGTCTAGCATATGAATCAGGCCAGGTGTGGTGGCTCACACCGGTAATCCTAGTGCTTAGGGAGGCTAAAGGGAGCCGGTTGCTTGAGACCAGGGGTTTGAGATCAGCCTGGTCAACATAGTGAGACTCCATTGCTACAAAAAATTAAAAAATTACCCAGGCATGGTGGCACGTGCCTGTAGTCCTAGCTAATTGGGAGGCTGAGGCAGGAGGATTGCTTGAGCCCAGTAGTTCGAGGTTGCAGTGAGCCGTGATTGTGCCACTGTACTCCAGCCTGGGTGACAGAATGAGACCCTGTCTCTAAAAAAAATATAAAAATTAAAAAAAAAGTATGAATCAAGTATAGCCTGAGTGGACTCTGGGTGGACAAGGGGACTGGTTTCATCTGGTTACTTGACTCAGAAAGTCAAAAATAGGCTGGGCATGGTGGCTCACGCCTGTAATCCCAGCACTTTGGGAAGTCAGGGTGGATGGATCACTTGAGGTCAGGAGTTCAAGGCCAGCCTGGCCAACATGGTGAAACCCCATCTCTACTAGAAATACAAAAATTAGCTGGGTGTGGTGGCACGCCCCTGTAATCCCAGCTACTCAGGAGGCTGATGTGGGAGAATTGCTTGAACCTGGGAGGCAGAGGTTGCAGTGAGCCTAGATCGTGCCATTGCACTACAGCTTGGGTGACAGATTGAGACCCTGTCTCAAAAAAAAAAAAAAAAAAAAAGTCAAAGATACCTGAGGTCTTTTCTTCAGTGTCTGCATTCTCAATGTTCATTTCATACCCGAGAAGCAAAGCCAGGCAAGGCAGCCTGGTAAATGGGCCCGGATCTTTTCCCAGAGAGCACTTTGTAACCTTGATAACAAGACTCAAATGACCTCCACCAAAATCAAAAACAAAACTAACAAAAGCCCATTTGAATGTTAGAAAACATCTTCACAATGAATCTAGTCTTTCTGTTTTTGTGGTTTCGGCAGCTGCTTTATTTGGGTGTGTTCTTGACAGTCATGGTTTCAGAGGGTTCTTCTATCCAAGAGGAAGTCAGTCCTCTGAAGACCAAGTTTGCGTACTGGACAATTTGAGCTGACAGCAGCTGCCAACTCATGCTCGGCTCTTCACGGTGGACTGTCTCTTGTGCAGGTCAGCTTGTCCTGGCAGATGCTATCCATGGCAGTGCTTCCCTGCCTGGGCCTGGGGAGAGGCCCTCCTGGGAGATTCCTCTTCTGGCTGAGCCTGTACCTGGGCCTGTGTGCAGGTAAGGAAGGCAGGTCATTGCTGCCTTGAAACTAATCCAGTGGATGTACCTGGATCAGAAGACAAAATGAACTCACCAAATGTCAAATCATTGTTAACCAGGGCAAAGACTTACTTGTCCTCTCCCTGCCATGAGAAACAGCTCTGCCAACCACTGTCACATCTCCAGTGAGGGCTCTCATGGTATTTGCAGTGTGTGTGGTTGTTGTTTTTTGGAAGATGGGATCTAGAGAGTAAGAGGGTGTAGGGGTATAGGACTGGCAGCATTGGCAAGGGCTTAGAGCAAGGACATTTGGTAGCTGCCCGTGGGAGTGTAAACATTTCAGGAGGCCAATCTGGCAATGTGTGTCACGCCCAGAACAGTCCTGGCTTATTGTTATTTATTAATTACTATGGATTTTTAATATTATCTTTTTTCACTCTCAAAGAATCCTGCTTTGTAGAATAAATGATATAATCACCCAACCTTTGGTGTGCCTTTAGGGAATGTATCCTAAGAATATGTACAAAGATGTAGATTTAGGGATGTTTACCACAGGGGTACCAGGCTTAAAGAAAAGCTAGAGATAAGTTATGTGGTTAATAACAGAGAATTAACTAAATTAGTTAAATAAATTATAGTACATTCCACACAGTAGAATGCTAGATAGCCATTAAAATGAAATGTGGAAAAATATATAGTTCCATGGGAATATATGCATATTATTAAGGAAAATTACTAAACATTTTTTATATATAACACTATTATATATAGTGTTTAGTAATATATATAGTGTTTAGTAATTTAATATTAAATACTATATATATTTAGTAATTCACTATATATAGTAATTTAACATTAATGATTATATATTATCATGCAAACCTAGTTTACAAAGAAAAAAACATATGCACTGAACAAAAGACTTGAAGAATATACACTAAGCCATCATCAGTGGTTATCTCCAGGAAGTGGAATTAGAAGTGTCATGTACTTTCTTTTATGCCTTTTCTGTATTCCTACATTTTCTACAAGGAATGTGTATGTTGTAGGCAGAATAATAACATCAAAGATGTCCACCTCGTAATCCTCAGAACCTGTGAATATGCTAGCTTACATGGCAAAAGGGAACTACGTCTACAGATAGAATGAAGGTTGCTGATCAGCTGCCTTTGAGAAGGGGAGTGTATCCTGGATCATCCAGGGGAGTCCAGTGCAATGTCAAAGGTCCTTAAAACAGGGAAGAGGGGCCTGGCATGGTGGCTCACGCCTATAATCCCAGTACTTTGGGAGGCCGAGGCGGGCAGATCACGAGGTCAGGAGATTGAGACAATCCTGGCTAACACGATGAGACCCCGTCTCTACTAAAAATACAAAAAAAAAAAAAAATTAGCTGGATGTGTTGGTGGGCGATTGTGGTCCCAGCTACTCAGGAGGATAAGGCAGGAGAATGGCGTGAATCCGGGAGGTGGAGCTTGCAGTGAGCTGAGATCGCGCCACTGCACTCCAGCCTGGGTGACAGAGCAAGACTTTGTCTCAAAATAAATACATAAATAAATAAAATGGGGAAGAGGGAGGCAGAAGAGTGAATGTCAGAGTGATGTGATATGATGTGAGGAAGGCTTGACCAGCCATGGCTGGCTTTGAAGAAGGGGCCATGAGCCAAGGCATGTGGAAGCCTCTAGGAGGTGCAAAAGGTGAATGGATTCCAAAAGGAATACAGTCCTGTTGCACCTTGATTTTAGCCCAGAGAGACCCATTTTGGACTTCTGACCTCCAGAACTATGAGATAATAAATCTGTGCTGTTTTAAGCCACTAAGTGTATGATAATTTGTTATAGCAGCAATAGGAAACTAACACAAGAAATTTCCTTTTTAGTCAGAAAAAAAAGATAATAAGAAAAGTCATTTTTAAAGAGAGGATTGGGCTGGGCTCGGTGGCTCATGTCTGTAATCCCAGCACTTCGGGAGGCCAAGGCAGATGGATCACTTGAGGTCAGAAGTTTGAGGCCAGTCTGGGCAACACAGCAAGGCCCTGTCTCTACAAAAAAATGAAAAAATTAGCCAGCCATGGTGGAGTGCACCTGTAGTCTCAGCTACTTGGGAAGCTGAGGCAGGAGGATTGCCTGAGCCCAGGAGTTTGAGGCTACAGTGAGCTGTAATGGCACCACTGCACTCCAACCTGTGTGATAGAGCAGCATCTTGTCTCAAAATAATAATAATAATAATAATAATAAAATAGAGGATTAGAAATCATTCTTTGTAATCTAACCCAACAGCCATCCAGGGAGGAGGCCTATAATCTGCATGAGGAGCTTCTAGAACTAGCTGGCTGTTGTTTTGTTATTAGCAGAAAACAATAATATTGTCAATAAGTAAATAATCAAGAACCCCAAGCAGATTTAACCCAAAGAAGACTACCTTAAGGCATTTAATAATCAAACTCCCAAAAGTCAAGGATAAAAAAAAGACTCTAAAAGCAGCAAGAGAAAAGAAACAAATAACATGCAATGGAGCCCAAATATATCTGGCAGCAGGCTTTTCAGTAGAAAACTTTACAGGCCAAGAAAGAGTGGCATGACATATTAAAAATACTGAAGGAAACAAAACTACCCTGGAATAGTATATCCGGTGAAATATCCTTCAAACATGAAGAAGAAATAAAGACTTTCCCAGACAAACAAAAGCTGAAGGATTTAATCAACTCCAGACCTATCCTACCAGAAATGCTAAAGGGAGATTTCAATTGGAAAGAAAAGGACATTAATGAGCAATAAGAAATTATCTGAAGGTACAAAGCTCACTGCCAATAGTAAATACACAGAAAAACACAGAATATGATAACACTGTAACTGTAGTTTGTAAACTACTTTTATCCTAAGTAGAAAGAATAAACGATGAACCAGTCAAAAATAATAACTACAACAACCTTTCAAGACATAGTCAGTAAAATAAGATAAAAATAGGCCAGGTGCAGTGGCACACACATGTAACCCCAGCACTTTGGGAAGCTGAGGCGGGTGGATCACTTGAGGTCAGGAGTTCAAGACCAGCCTGGCCAACATGGTGAAATCCTGTCTCTAGTAAAAATACAAAAATTAGCTGGGTGTGGTGGTGCATTCCTGTAATCCCAGCTACTCAGGAGGCAAGGCAGGAGAATTGCTTTAAGATCATGCCACTGTACTCCAGCCTAGGTGATAGAGCGAGACTCTGTCTCAAAAAAAAAAAAAAAAAAAAAGATATATAAATAGAAACAACAAAAATTTAAAAAGCTGGGGGATGAAGTTAAGCCATAGAGATTTTATTAGTTTTCTTTTTGCTTGTTTGTTTATGCAGAGTGTTAAGTTGTTATCAGGTTAAAATAATGTGTTATGGCCAGGCGCGGTGGCTCACGCCTGTAATCCCAGCACTTTGGGAGGCCAAGGCAGGCAGATCACGAGGTCAGGAGATGGAGACCATCTTGGCTAACACAGTGAAACTCCGTCTCTACTAAATATACAAAAAATTAGCTGGGCGTGGTGGCAGGAGCCCATAGTCCCAGCTACTCAGGAGGCTGAACCAGGAGAATGGCATGAACCCAGGAGGCGGAGCTTGCAGTGAGCCGAGATCATGCCACTGCACTCCATCCTGGGGGACAGAGCGAGACTCCGTCTCAAAAAAAAATGTGCTATAAGATAGCATTTGCAAGCCTCATGGTAACCTCATACAATTAATACACAAAAAATAAAAAGCAAGAAACTAAATCATATCACCAGAGGAAACCATTTTCACTAAAGGGAAACAGGAAGGAGACAAAAAAGACCAGAAAATAAATAACAAAGTGGCAGGAATAAGTCCTTACTTATCAATAATAACATTGAATGTAAATGGACTAAATTCTCCAATCAAAAGACATAGAATGACTGGCTGAATGGATGAAAAAATAAGACCTATTGATCTGTTGCCTACAAGAAACACACTTCACCTATAAAGACACATATACACTGAAAATAAAGGGATGGAAAAAGATATTCCATGCCAACAGAAACCAAAAAAGAGCAGGAGTAGCTATGCTTATATCAGACAAAATATATTTTGAAACAAAAACCTATAAGAAGAGACAAAGATCGCTATATAATGATAAAGGGGTCAATTCAGCAAAAGGATATAACAATGTTAAATATATATGTACCCAACACTGGAATACCCAGATATATAAAGCAAATATTAATTAGAGATAAGGAGAGAGATAGGCCCCAGTGCAATAACAGCTGGAGACTTCAACACCGCACCTTCGGCATTGGACAGATCTTCCAGACAGAAAATCAACAAAGAAACATCAGATTAATCTGCACTATAGGCCAAATGGATCTAATTGGTATTTACAGAACATTTCATCCAATGGCTGCAGAATACACATTCCTTTCCTCAGCACATGGCTCGTTCTCAAGGATAGACCATGTTAGGTCACAAAACAGGTCTTAAAACATCCAAAAAAATCAAAATAATATCCAGCATCTTCTCTGACCACAATGGAATAAAACTAGAAATTAATAACAAGAGGAATTTTGGGAACTATACAAATACATAGAAATTAATATGTTCCTGAATGACCAATGAGTCAATGAAGAAATTGAGAGGGAATTTGAAAAATTTCTTGACATGAATGACAATGGAAACACAACATGCCAAAACCCATGGAATACAGCAAAAGCAGTACTCAGAGGGACATTTATAGCTTTAAGTGCCTACAACAAAAAAGAGGAAAAACTTCAAATAAACAATCAATGATGCGTCTTAAAGAACTAGAAAAGCAAGAGCAAACCAAAACCAAAATTAGTAGAAGAAAAAAAAAATAAAGATCAGAGAAAAAATAAATGACATTGAAATGAAAAAAATTATATAAAAGATCAACAAGACAAAAAGTTAGTGTTTTGAAAAGTTAAACAAAATTGACAAACCTTTAGCTAGACTAAGAAAAAAAGAGAGAAGATCCAAATAAATAAAATCAGAAATGAAAAAGGAGATATTACAACTGATACTGAAGAAATGCAAAGAATCATTAGTAGCTACTATAAGCAATTATATGCCAATAAATTGGAAAATCTAGAAGAAATGGACAAATTCCTAGACACATACAACCTACCAAGATTGAACCATGATGAAATCCAAAACTTGGACAGACCAATAACAAGTAATGAGATTAAAGCTGTAATAAAAAGCCTTCCACTAAAGAAAACCCTGGGACCCTATGACTTCACTGCTAAATTCTACCAAACATTTAAAGAAGAACTAATACCAATCCTAGTCAAACTATTCCAAAAAGTAGAGGAAGAGGGAATACTTCCAAACTCATTCTACGAGGCCAGTACTACCCTGATACCAAAACCAAAGACACATCCGAAAAAGAAAACTACAGGCCAATATCTCTGATTGAAGCAAAAATCAACAACAAAATACTAGCAAACTGAATTCAGTAATACATTAGAAAGACCATTCAGCATGACCAAGTGGGATTTATCTCTGGGATGCAAGGATAGTTTAACATACATAAATCAAACAATGTGATACATCGTATCAACAGAATGAAGGATAAAAACCATATAATCATTTCAATTGATGCTGAAAAAGCATTTGATAAAATTCAACATCTTTTCATGATAAAATCCCTAAAAAAACTGGGTATAGAGGGAACATACCTCAACATAATAAAAGCCATATACAACAGACCCACAACCAGTATCATACTGAATGGGGAAAAACTAAAAACCTCTCCTCTAAGATCTGGACAAGGATGCCCAGTGTCACCACTGTTATTCACCATAGTACTGGAAGTCCTAGCTAGAGCAATCAGACAAGAGAAAGATATAAAGGGCATCCAAATTGGAAAGGAAGAAGTCAAATTATCTTTGTTTGCAGATGACGTGATCTTATATTTGGAAAAACCTAATGACTCCGCCAGAAAACTGTTAGAAGTGATAAACAAATTCAGCAAATTTGCAGGATACCAAGTCAGCATACAAAAATCAGTAGCATTTCTATATGCCAACAGTGAACAATGTGAAAAAGAAATTTAGCAAGTAATCCCATTTATAATAGCCACACAAAAATACCTAGGAATTAGCTTAACCAAAGAAGTGAAATATTTGTATAATGAACACTGTAAAACACTGATGAAAGATTGAAGATGAAAGATGAAAGATTGAAGAGGACATCAAAAATTGAAAAATATTTTGTGTTTATGAATTGGAAGAATTAATATCGATAACATGTCCATACTACTCAAAGCAATCTACAGATTCAGTGCAATCCTTACCAAAATACCAATGACATTTTTCACAGAAATAGAAAAAACTACCGCAAAATTTATATGAAACTACAAAAGGCCCAATTGCCAAAGCTATCCTCAGCAAAAAGAACAAAACTGGAGGAATCCACATTACCTGACTTCGAATTATATTACAGAGCTACAGCAACCAAAACAGCATGGTACTGGCATAAAAACAGACACATAGACCAATGGAACAGAATAGAGAACCCAGAAACAAATCCACACAGCTCCAGTGAACTTATTTTCAACAAAGGTGCCAAGAATATACAGTGGGGAAAAGACGGTCTTCAATAAATGCTGCTGGGAAAACTGGATATTCATATGCAAAAGAATGAAGCTAGGCTGCTACCTCTCATCATATACAAAATTCAAATAAAAATGGATTAAAGATGTAAGTCTAAGACCTCAAACTATGAAACTACTTCAAGAGAACATTGGGGAAAATCTCCAGGACATTGGTCTGGACAAAAATTTCATGAGCAGTACCCCACAAGCACAGGCAACCTAAGCAAAAATGAACAAATGGAATCATATCAAGTTAAAAGGCTGCTGCACAGCAAAGGATACAGTCAACAAAGTGAAGAGACAACTCACAGAATGGGAGAAAATATTTGCAAACTACCCATCTGACAAGGGATTAATCACCAGAATATATAAGGAGCTGAAACAACTATATAGGGAAAAAATAAAATAATCCAATCAAAAAATGAGCAAAAGATTTGAATTGACATTTCTCAAAAGAAGACCTATGGCACACAGGCATATGAGATGGTACTTAACATTATCAATCATCAGAGAAATGCAAATCAAAAGTACAATGAGATATCATCTCACCCCAGTTAAAATGGCTTTTATACAAAAGACAAACAATAACAAATGCTGGCCAGGATGTAGAGAAAAGGGAACCCTTGTACACTGTTGGTGGGAATGTAAATTAGGACAACCACTATGGAGAATAGTTTGGAGGTTCCTCAAAAAACTAAAAATTGAGCTACCCTATGATTCAGCAATTCTACTGGTAGGTATACACCCTAAAGAAAGGAAATCATAGGATATCCGCACTCCTATGTTTGTTGCAGCACTGTTTACAATAGCCAAAATTTGGAAGCAACCTAACTGTCCATTAACAGATGACTGGATAAAGAAAATATGGTACCTATACACAATAGAGTAGTATTCAGCCATAAAAAGAATGAGGTTTAGTCATTTGCAACAACATGGATGGAACTGGAGATCATTATATGAAGTGAAATAAGCCAGGCACAGAAAGACAAACATCACATGTTCTCACTAATTTGTGGGATCTAAAAATCAAAACAATTGAACACATGGACATAGAGAGTAGAAAGATGGTTATCAGAGGCTGGGAAGAGTAGTGGGGGGTTGGGGGAATGGCTAATGGGTACAAAATTAGAAAGAATAAGACCCACTATTTGATGGCAGAACATTATGACTATAGTCAATAATAACTTAATTACACCTTTAAAAATAACTTAAAAGAGTGTATTGGATTGTTTGTAACTGAAAGGATAAATGCTCAAGGGAATGGATTAAAAAATATACAAGTAAATAACCAGAATGGCCCACAGCTGAGAACTGTCCTAAAGCCAGGCACAGTTAATGGGGTGAAAGCAACCTGCGCTATGTGACCAGAAGAGGGAGAACAAGGAGAGTGGCTGCTTTTGAGAGTTCTGGGACTAGGCAAGGACAAGAACCCTTTTCAAGTGAGTGGAAATTACCAGGTCGTCCTACTGGTTTGTGCTGGCGAATCTTGTTCTGGCATCAACAAGTAGAAGGGTGACAAGCACACCCGTGGGGAACTTTCCAACCCCACACAGGGGCATGGAGCTGAGCATGTTTGGAGTCTTTACCTTTCCGGATTGCTCGTTAAAACAACATGTTCAGGGTGGAAAGTTGCAGGAGATTCTCTCAAAATTCTTTTTTATTTGTTTTGAAGGAACTCTTAGGGAAACCTTAGACCCTTAGCATTGGCTGCAGTGAACAAGTTATCTGCAAATGGAAACAGCAGTTTCTTTGCTAGTGGGTCTAAAACTACCTCCTGTTTGGTTTAATCTGTTGTAAGACTCCCCTTCCACAGGATCCAGGGCTCTCTGGAAGCAGGTGCTGAGATGGAGTTTGGTGTGGATGGTATTAATTAGGGGTAAACACCTATGAAGGTCAGGCAGCCGCAGTAGGACTGGGCAGAGAGAGGGGTCACACTG
This sequence comes from Homo sapiens, assembly GCF_000001405.40. Taxonomy (NCBI): domain Eukaryota; kingdom Metazoa; phylum Chordata; class Mammalia; order Primates; family Hominidae; genus Homo; species Homo sapiens. The sequence continues at coordinate 62,423,941 of NC_000002.12, forward strand.
TGATTCAAGCTGGATAAAGCCCATCCCATAGGCATGTATGGCCCATTGGTGTTGTTTATGGGTGGGCAGAAGTGTCCAGGCATTTAGATGCCCTTCCCATGATCAGTCACTGGATGTGGGCATGGTCTTGGTGAGGCAGCTCTCAGCCAACCCTGAGGGAGCTGGAGGTTGTCCACTGGCTGTGGCAAGTCCTTCTTTGAGGGGCAGCTGAGTTGGCATATCTCTGTGTCTACCACACTATCCCCCTAGTGGACCTTGTCCCACTTGCTGGCTTGGACCCACAGACCTGCTAATGTGGTGTGTGCAAGAGGGACTTGGCTCATTTTGCACTGCCCCTGAAAGCAGACATGTGACCATCAGGGAAATGCGCCAAGGAGGCCAACCTCAGCTCAGAACAAAAGGCTTAATCATAAATGTCTCTTTACAATGGGACAGAGCGATAGCAACCAAAACAGCATGGTACTGGCATAAAAACAGACACTTAGACCAATGGAACAGAATAGAGAACCCAGGAACAAATCCACACAGCTACAGTGAACTTATTTTCACTTATATTTTCACTTATTTCACCTTATAAAAAGAGGTGCAGACGTCCTGCACCACTGGAATACTCACACAGAGCTTGGGGACCTGTGTGACAAGATGGAGAAGGGATTTCTACATTGAGCCTGAGAGTGGACTGGTGCCTTCTGGGGCTCCTTATGTCTCTGGGAGTGTGTGGCTAATGGGGCCATCTCAGGCTGTACTTCCAGGTGGCTACTCTTGGCCTCTGGGGCTCTGTCTGCTGTTGTCACCTCTAGAGGTGATGTCCATTTCAGGTGAGTCCATTGGCTACTTCCAGCATCTTGCCACAGGCCAGGTCCCACTTAGCCCAGACAAGGTCCAAATCTGGTTCAGATAATTCTACAGGCTGTCCCTGTCAGATACCCCACCTCAGAGAATTCTACAGGCATCCCTGTCAGATGCCCCACCCATCACACCACTTGCCTGGCTGCCAGTCTTGGTTCCCCTTCCCATTTGGCCACTTTTGGATTTACCAGCTCCAGCATGGGCCCACACACCCCACGGGACACTGCCCCCACTGGCTGGCCCTCAGCCCTCTGCCTGAAGCCTTGGGCGTGCCACACTGTACTTCCTCTCCCGGGCAGGTCCTGGTGACTTCACCAGCTGGTGATGGCACCTCCTGCCCATCCCTGTCCTGGAGGCAAGAACAGACAGTAACGAGTCCTGAACGTTCATAATCCCCTTGGTACATGAGGTTGCCTTTTATTTGCTCAAGCTGTACTTACACAAATTCCAGAGGTTGCCGCCTTTTCCTTGTATTTCAGAAATTGATAAACAGTCATGTTTATTTTATTCATGCTGCTCATTATTTCATATATATGTTTAAAAATCTTAGTGTATCCTACACATAAAATGATATGCGTTATGTACGTGTTACCATGTCTGAGCACCTACCGTCTGGTGTAAGACATGGAAATTTATCAGTACTTTTGAAATTCCCTGCAGTCTTTTCTCTCCCAGAAGTAGAAGGGGGGCCTGTCCTGAATTTCAGGCGCATCATTCCTTTGCCTTCCTTTACAGCCTACCTCCTATAGCATATGCGATTTGCTTTTGCTAATTTAAAAAATTTATATAAATAGATTCTACTATATTATTCTTTGTGATGCGTTTTTCCCTCCTACTCAGTCGTATGTGTTTGAGATCCAGCCATGCTATAGGGGAATGTGGTTTGTGATTTTATACTTCAGTCAGGCACCTCCTTAGTCTTCCTCTTTCCCATGATCCTGTGGGTTGGAGGGTCCTGGGCTTTCGGCTCATCTTTGTACAACAGTCCCGCAGGAGATCGCCTTTCTTTCTTTGCCTCTTTCTTATTATTCCCCTCTTGTCTCCTTTGCATCTTCCACTATAACCTCCTTCAAGTGCTAGACTATCCCTCCCTCACCACACACATGCACATATGCACAGGGTTTCTGGAGACAAATATAAAACCATGGAGTTCATATGGACGTTGAGGATTGCAAATCTTTTACTTTGCTGAAATCTGGACCCTGGGGCAGAAATGAGTTTTCTCTTCCTGCTTTAGCAGAGTGAAGCACGTTGACTTACTGCAACTGGACTGGGCAGGCAATGTTTTGCAAACTTTAGTGAGCACCAGAATTCCTGGGTCTGGGGCTGAGGGCTTGTTAATTAGGCAGATCATGGGACCCCCTTCCCCAGAGGCTCAGAAACAGAAGACGTGGGGTGGGGCCCAGGAATATGCATTTTAACGGATATACTCTTCTCCATCCAGCGATTCTGATGCAGAACGTCCTCCGGCCACTCTTTTAACAGACACCGGCCTCTGCCTGGGCCAGAACAAGAGGCACCTGACCTGAAATGTGGTCAATCTCCAAGCATGTCTCTTGGCCAGACATTAAATGAAAGCCTGTCCCCTGAGCTTTCAACACTAAGTCTGAGTAAAAATAAATCTTCACTGAGGCTTGAAGTCCTGGCAATGACTGTACCCCCGGAGAGAAAGGTCAGGCAGCCTTCAGACCTGGTGCTCTAAAACTTGGCCACTCTGTCCACGGTTGAGTGGAGTGGAGCTTGCTACCTTTCCACACACACAGCTGGGAGAAGGAGCGGATGCTTGCTGCAGGTGTATGAAATGGCTAAGCCCCCAGGCCGACGCCAGCGGTCCACGGGGCTGGCTCATGACTTGGGGAGCCATAGCAGCAGCAGCAACTGCTGGAGGCACAGAGCCTGGCCCGCAGGCACTTGGGAGCCCTCAGATGTGAGTAGGCCCGCTCTGGCGGCAGGCCTTCCTCAGGCATTTTGCAGGCTGGCCAACTTGGTTTGGCTGGGGAGAAGAATTAGCACTAGACATCTTTGGCAGGATCTATTGACATGGGCACCTGTCTGCACTGCCCCCGTGGGACAAAGATCTTAGTGGTCACACTGGGGTCACCAGTCACTGGGGCCACTGGGGCATGTTGGCAGCGATACCCAGGGAAGCAGCTAAACCATTCTTTTTCAGCCTAATGGAATGAAAAACAAACATTTTGAGCCAAGGGCAGTGGAGAGGCACTGGGTGGTACAGGGGAGCCTGGGACATCTGTTCATCCGTGGTCGATGGGGCTGGGGGAGACATGGGGACATCATTCAGTGAGTGAGCCTGGCTCTACATGGTGCTGGCACCTCAGTGATGAACAAGAGACGGGGTCCCTGGCCTCACTGAGCTTTGTCTAGGTCAGTGATCATCACAGATGTTTACAAACTGAAGTATCTGCTAGGTCAGTGGGGACACACAGAGGAGAGATGAACTTGATTTTAGTAGTCAAGGAATGCTCCACAGAGGAAGAGATGGTTACGCCGGGCCCTAAAGGCGTGGTGGGAATCAGAAAGTTAGGAGAGGGCACTCCAGGCGGAGAAAACGTCAAGGACAAAGGCCTGGATGGGATTCAGCGGGTCGCAAACTTTGCTTCTGAGAATTCTCCTAGAATGCACGTTAAGGTGCCTGGGCTCAGGTGCGGCATGGAGTGGGCTCTTTGGAGAACTGTGGGGAGTTCAGTGCAGCTGGGACCTGGTGGAGGGGGCCTGAGACACAGACCTGGGAAAAGGGCAGTGGGCCGTGAGCCAGGCTTTTCATGCCAGGCTAGGGAGTGAGAAAGAAAAGAAACTTTTCAATCTGAGGAACGTCAGCCCTTTTAAAATACCAGGCCCAGAGAGACATTTAAAATGTGGCTGTAGTTATGTCTCACTCTCCGCATGAGATCAATAATTCCCTCTTGAAGCCACTTGCCATGTGGGCTCTAGACTAACTGACACTCAGTAGCTATAAAATGCCACACTCTGGACACCATAACTCATACCCTATAGTTTAACAATGGTCAACAATGTATAGCCAATCACTAATCAGTGTTATTTCTGAAAACCAATGAGAACTGTCAAAGAACTTCATATCATCCCACTCCTTGTTCCCTTTTGCCTTTGAAAATTTGCTTGTAACAAAGGTGGAACGGAACACTCCCCAGGGCAACTTGGAAGTATGTCCTGGGCAGCTGCCCTCACTTTGGCTCAAATAAACTCTTTAAGGCCAGGCATAGTGGCTCATCCTTGTAATCCCAACACTTTGGGTAGGCCAAGGCAGGAGGACTGCTTGAGGTCAGGAGTTCAAGACCAGCTCTGGGCAACATTGCAAGAACCTGTCTCTGCAACAACAACAAAAAATACATAAAAATTTAAAAATCAAGTAAACTCTTTAAAATGGTGTTTCATGCCTTCTTCCTCTAGGTCAATAGGACCTTGGCAGTGGCAGCCAGGGGAGGGTTTAGTAGGGTGTGCCCTTTTCTTGCATCTTGGGAAGATCACATAGGAGCCCTGTGGAGGGGGCAAGGCCAGAATCAGGGTGCTTCTTAGGAGCCTGTCAGTCTCTAAAGATATGTGGTCCTGAGAGCCTGAAGAGAGAAGAATTTTTTAAAAGTTCTTCAGAGATAGAAAGAGAAGATATTGACATTATCTATACAGCCAGAGAGTGATGAGGCCCCAGGCTGTACTCTGATTTGAAAACTGAATAATGATGTGATACACATCAAAAGAAGGTGAGCCACCTCCTTTAACTTACAACAACCCTGAAATGAAAGATAAAAAAGGGGTAGGGGATCCTTTCAGAGTTACCCACAAGAATCTATTCAGAGCCTGGCCAAAATCTGGTCCATAGATGACTGAGAAGCAATTTTCCCCTAAGTAAAGTGTTTCCAAACTTCCACAGTGATAAGATAAAACTGGGGCTGTTAGGCCAGGTGTGGTGGCTCACGTCTGTAATCCCAGCACTTTGGGAGGCCGAGGTGGGCGGATCACGAGGTCAGGAGATCGAGACCATCCTGATTAACATGGTGAAACCCCATCTCTACTAAACATACAAAAAAAATTAGCTGGGCATGGTGGTAGGTGCCTGTAGTCCCAGTTACTGGGGAGACGGAGGCAGGAGAATGGCGTGAACCTGGGAGGTGGAGCTTGTAGTGAGCCGAGATGGCACCACTACACTCCAGTCTGGGCGACAGAGCAAGACTCCTTCTCAAAAAAACAAAACAAAACAAAACAACAACAACAACAAAAAATCTGGGGCTGTTATAATCATGCAGATTACCTGGTCTTTTTCCTGGAAATGCAGATTCAGGGATTGTATGGCCTAGGAATCTGTGTATTTGACAAATGCCCAGGTGGTTCTTATTTTCTGGTAAGTCTGGAAAACTCTCCTCTCTGGGAAAACATCTTTAGGCCCATGAAAATTAAAGATTAAGTACAGTATAGAAATTAGAAAGTATTTCAAATACATTGGATAGTATTAATTCTTTTTTTTTTTTTTTTTTTGAGATGGAGTCTTGCTCTGTCACCCAGTCTGGAGTGCAGTGGTGCGATCTCGGCTCACTGCAACCTCTACCTCCCGGGTTCAAGCAATTCTTCTGCCTCAGCCTCCCGAGTAGCTGGGACTACAGGCATGTGTTACCATGCCCAGCTAATTTTTGTATTTTTAGTAGAGGCGGGGTTTTGGCATATTGGCCAGGCTGGTCTCGAACTCCTGACTTCGTGATCTGCCCACTTTGGCCTCCCAAAGTGCTGAGATTACAGGTGTGAGCCACCGCGCCTGGCCAGTATTAATTCTTTTGTTTTAGGAATACTCTACACATAGTTGGCATTTTAAGTACTTATGATGTTTAAGAGAATTTGGTCTATGAGAGGAACAGCTGAGGCTTATAATTTGAATTTTTTTTTTTTTTTGGAAATAGGGTCTTGCTCTGCCACTCAGGCTGGAGTGCAGCCCCCCAGGTTCAAACAATTCTCCTACCTCAGCCTCCTGGGTAGGTACAGGCATGCATCACTACACCTGGTTAATCTTTTTGTGTTTTTTGTAGAAATGGGGTTTCTCCATGTTGCCCAGGCTGGTTTCAAATTCTGGGACTCAAATGATCTGCCTACCTCGGCCTCCCAAAGTGCTGGGATTACAGGCGTGAGCCACTGTGCCAGGCCTATAATTTGAATTTAAAAGTGTAACTGAAGAAGTTAGACTTGTGATTTTAAGTTGAAAGTTTAATAAATTTCTATGTTGGAAGACTTAGAATAATTTAAGTATTGCTATATTTATCAGTTTATTATATTTAGATTTTCAAAAAGTTATTAAGATTTTGTTTAAGTCAGATAATTGAGGTATTTAAAAAGAAATTGCATATATTAAATTTATAAAAGTAGTTTAAAATGTTTGAATGTATATACATAAGCTTATAAATAGGACCAAATATTAACCAACAACATTCTAAAGATGTTTGCTATAATTTGCTACAGTTATAAATGGGGGGAAAATCTTTCAAAGAACTTAAAATCTAAAGGAAGGTTTTTTACAGATGAATGGATAAACAAAATGTGGTATAGCCATACAGTGGAATATTATGCATCCTTAAAAAGGAAGAAAATTCTGTCACATGCTTCAACATGGATGAACCTGCAGGACACTCTGCTAAGTGAAATAAGCCAGTCATGAAATAACAAATACAATATGATTTTACCTATGTAAGGTTAGATTAGTCAAATTCATAAAGACAGAAGCAGGATGGTGGTGCCAGGGGCTGGGGCAGGGGAAGGAGAATGGGGAGTTAGTGTTTAACGTGTACCGAGTTTCAGTTTTGCAGATGAAAAGAATTCTGTGGATGGATGTTAGCAGTGGTAGAACAACATGAATATACTTAATGTCACTGAACAATGTGCCACTTAAAAATGGTTAAGATGGTAAAAATATATATATATATATATATCGAGGGAGAGAGAGAGACAGAGAAATGACACCTGAAAGTGCTCAATCCTTAGAACTTTAAAAGCTCTACTTACTGAAAATGTTGCCCAGTAAAGTATAATTATAATTATTGGTGATACAGTCAACAAATGTATGCCTAGTTAATTCTTTATAGTAAATTATTACTGTTGGAAAAAAAGCTAAAGGAAGATTTTTTAAATTGATCATGCCAAAAACTTATATATTTTTTTTTAAAAACCAAAGTTATCTTTAATCTTTTCCATGCAGAAAAACCACCTACAAGGACTCCTCAAACTCACAATAAACATAGACTGTTCTCATAGGTAAGTGAGGGTTCTAGGGCTCTAACCAAGGAAGTGGAATGATGGATGGAGAGGAGAGGGGCTTATGTGGCAGGTGTCACCCAAGTAGAATGGTACCACTGATGAAGCTATGGAAGAAGGATCAGATGGCATCTGGGGAAGGGGACACCACATGTTCAGGTAGAAACTGAGCATTCAGTAGCCAGCCTGATCCCAAGGCAGGGCACTCAGAGACACCGGGTAGAGGTAAGGATTTGAGGGCATCGGGAATGGGTGGTGGTGGAAGTCCTGTGTGCTGCAGAGAGGACCCGAGAGAAGTGTGGAGGGACCTTGGCCAAGGACATAACTCTGAGAAGTGCCAACACTTTCGGAGTGGCGGGGCCTGAGATGGCAAGATTCACTTAAATGGTCTAATTTCAGGACCCAGAATTCCTCTGCATCCCTCCTCCACCCCATATCTCTTCCAGGGCTTTGCCATGCCTGGAGTTCTTCAACCCAGGAAAAGTGGCTACAAGACCTTGATGTTCCACTCAGAGGACCAGGGATTATGGTGGGAGAGATGACATAAGGACTGAAATCACACAAAGGTGCAAATGACTAATGCCAGTAGGTTTCTGGAAGCAGGTTCCGTAGACTTGAGGGTGCACTCCGAGGAAAGCTGAGTGATGAGGAAGCACCAGGAAGGAAGTGCTCAGAAAAGGGGAGGCCGGTGGCTGGAGTGACTCCTGGTCTAGCAGTTCTTCATGTCCATCTTGTTTTCATGCCAAGGGAATTTCAGCCTTACCTTTGCCCAGGTTTGGGTGGCAATGATAGGGACAGGAGAAGGGAAATTCTGGGCAGAAGTGGGTGGGTCTCCAGCAAGGGCCTCACCCTCAAGCCTAAAACTATGGCCCAAAGTGAGAACATTCCTGTTTTCCTGCTTGACTGTTGCCTTTTCCAAAACCACCCATGGCCCGCCCCACTCCTAACCTGTGCCCAAGAAAGCCCCAGGCTCCACTAGCAGAGAGAGAAGAGAAGAAGCAGTTGGATGTCAGAGACTATGGTTGAATGTCGGAGAGAAGGGGCTTGACTTCAGAGGGACAGCTTGATGGCATAGCTTTGGAGAGGAGTCTGGCCAGGGATGGCCAGACTCCGGGGGAAGATTACCTACCCACTCCCTCCCCTTCTCAGCTCCCCTTCTCACTGAGAGCCACTTTCATCAGCAATAAAATCCCCTGCATTTATCATCTCCAATTTGTTTGTGTGACCTCATTCCTCCTAGACCTCAGATAAGAATTTGAGTGTGGGTGCAAAGGGCTGTCACACTGACCCTCCACTGAGCTGTTAACACTTAAGCCATCTGCAGATGGCAAAGCTAAAAGAGCATTGACTGAAACACTCCTTCTGGGGCTTTAGGGGTTGTGGGCACCCCCCTAGACACTGCTGCAGGGCCAGTACAGAGTTTGTTCCGGCTGTCACCCAAAAGCGCTCTCTCTGGCTCCTGCACCCGCTCACCTGCATGCTCCATCCCTGGAGGGGTTGAGTGTGGTGGATTCCAGTGAGTGGGGTTTGCCCCAGCTAGCACTGAAGTAGCTAGTTCAAACACCCACACTCCAGTTCCCACCCACAAGGGGTCAGGGAAATTTCCTGCTTCAGCAAGATCCCCTGAGAAATAAGTGAGGAGGAATCTCTTTCAGTCTCTGGTAAGGGCTGGTGGGGTGGAGGTGGGGGGTGAGTGGGAAGAAGCCACTCCATCAGCTTTGTCTTGGCCTTTGGTGTTTTTTGATCTTTAATTCCCCCAGTATTGGTTCCATCCCAGCTGTGGTTGGGCATCCCTGCTTCACTGGTTAATGAAGAACAGGTGCATCATTAGTTAATTACATCCTCAGGCCTCAGAGCTGCCCAAAAGGAGGAGGCAGTGGAAGCTTTGTACCACCTCAGACCACTGCTGCTGGAAGAGGGAAGGGAGCTGTGGTCAGAATGGGGCCCCTGCTCTCCACGAGGCTTTTCTTCCTCCTGGTCTCCTTCTCTTGCCTGATGGCTGGAATGGAAGCTCCCTGAGGGCCAGGCCCAGGCCCACCTCCATGACTAGCTTGCAGGCCTAGCCCCAAGCCTGGCTTGGCTCTCGGGCCCTGAGCCAAAGAGGTGAGTAATCAGGGGCTGCCCAGGCTCCATGCAGAGAGTGCCTGGCCTGCCACCCCGTTGCTCTTGGGGAGCCCTGGGTTGAGGGGACCTTCCAGGAGTGGGTGATGCATGGCTGTGCACCTCAGGCCCCCAAATTGCATATCAGCATATTATTCGAGCCCCTTTGGATGCCCTCGGGCAAGGGGGAGATGTAGAGGGGTAGCTCCTGGGGCCATTTGCTAGATAAATTAGACAGGCGGTAGTTGAGAAAAGGCCTCTGTGCACAACAGGCACCTCCTATTCCTAGAAGGAAGCATGTTTTTTGCCAGACATCAGGTGGACATTGGGATATCGGGCCCTGGGGTAGTGATGAGTGAAGTTCTTGACAACTCCCCCAAGGTGAGCTTTAGCTACCTGCTGCCCACTGTGCCCTTAATCACATTTAATTCTCAAGAGAGCCTGCCCAGGGGGAAGAACAGCTTCCTCTTCTACAAATGTGGCCTCCCATATTTTCTACCAACCAATCAATGCTTTTGGAACCCCTGCATGGGGGCAACCACAGGAGATAGAGACCCATAAAGCTTAGCTCCTGACCTCGGGAAATCCGTCATCTTGGGGGATGCCAGGCAAACGCCTCAGGCCCAGAAACCCAGTGACCCAGGCAGAGGAGCTCTTGAAGAGGTGGATGACACTGTAGGGACACAGACAAGTCAGGTACTCATGTTTGTAAAACGGGTAAAAAATCTACATTATTATCAACATTTTGGGACTTTGGCCTTTGAGGAAATGAGTGAGGAGGGGGTCATCAAATTGTGACACCTCTAAGACCAGGACTACTAATTCTATTCTGGCGTCTTCTTCTTCTTTTTTTTTTTTGGAAATGGAGTCTTGCTCTGTTGCCCAGGCTGGAGTACAGTGGTGCAATCTCGGCTCACTGCAAGCTCCGCCTCCTGGGTTCATTCAAGCAATTCTGCCTCAGCCTCTCGAGTAGCTGCGACTACAGGTGCCTGCCACCACGCTCGGCTAATTTTTTGTATTTTAGTAGAGATGGGGTTTCACCGTGTTGCCCAGGCTGGTCTCGAACTACTGAGCTCAGGCAATCCACCTGCCTTAGCCTCCCAAAGTGCTGGGATTATAGGCGTGAGCCACTGTGCCCAACCATCTGGTGTCATCTTCTATGTTTACTCCAAAACTCTGGAAAATCGAGAGGAAATAGAAGTCAGAGTGCTGCAGGCACTGAAGCTGATTGCTCTGTCCTGAGAGGGGCTCTTGCCAGCCTCCCACAATGTTGCCTCCATCCAGACAATGAGACCAGGGTTATGGCTGAGAGGCACCGCCTTTGGCCTTTGTAGGAACTCAAAACTGACAACACTATTAAGTGGAGAGATGTAACCTTGAGGTTGGGCCTATGGAGAAGGCTTTGCTCTGGCATTTGATTCTGTTTAAGTGTTTCTTGTCCCTGTATGAGGTTATGTCTCAGAGCTGAGTGATATGCAACAGCCAAGAACCAGGATCATCCTAAGGGCCAGAATGAATGATCCACTAAGGTGGACAACACTGCCAAGTCTACACTGGCATTTCTGAGGGCCTGTTGGAAAAAAAACAAAGCAGCTTTTCTCAATTTTGGCTGAACATGAGAATTAACTGAAGATCTTTTAAAATTGTGAGGCCTGAGTCCCACCCCTAGAGAGTCTGACTTAATTGGTTTTGAGTGGAACCCGGCCGTCTGGATGTTTACAAGCTTCCCAACCAGTTCCAATATGCAGCCGGTGCTGAATACCACCACAGTAACACCTGCGTGGGCACCTGGAGTCTCCATGTGGGGCTGAACCCTGTCTGTGCAGGATTCTAGAGCAGGCTGTGCTTTTGACATCTGTTGTATTGGCCAGAGGAGAAGGGACGAAGGAGAAGTCTCCTCCTGGTGTGTTTCTGAGTGGTGTATTTCTGTCAGGCCTGGATTTAGATGCTTTGGAGGTGAAGAATGAATTGAATGAATTTTCTACTATTGTTTCCTCCTGTATCCACCTGTATCTGGTGTGTGTGTGTGTGTGTGTGTGTGTGTGTGTGTGTGTGAGAGAGAGAGAGAGAGAGAGAAAGAAAGAGAGAAAGTCTTGCTCTGTCACTCAGGCTGGAGCATGGTGGTGCAATCACAGCTCACTGCAGCCTTGCCCTCCCAGTCTCAAGTGATCTTCCCACCTCAGCCTCCTGAGTAGCTGGGACCACAGGTGCATGTCACCACACCCAAATGATGTTTAAATTTTTTTGTGGAGATGGAGTCTATGTTGCCCTAGCTGGTCTCAAACTCCTGGGCTCAAGTGATCCTTCTTCCTTGGCCTCCCAAAGTGTTGGGATTACAGGCATCATGGACTAGCGAAGGCAGGGAATGCTCCATAAGGGAAGAAATACTTGATTTTTGGAAGAATTTAGGTAAGAAGGTTTTTCCCTGAAGGTTAGTGACATGAGGATAACAACAGTAAAGATCAGCTATTAGATCCATGTGATACTTGAAGGCCAACATGCCCATACTCTTTCTGAGTCTACTCCCTGGGTTTCTGTCGATGGAAAGGTGATTATATAGTCCAAACTTCTATAACAAATGGCTCTCCAAGTGAGGTCCTCAGACCAATAACGCCCCATCCCTGGGAACTTGTTAGACATGCATAGGCCCCACCTAGACCTAAGGAATCAGAAATTCTGAGCCCAGCAGTTTCTATTTTTGACAAGTCCTCTCTGTGGTTCTGATGCTCACTCAAGTATGAGAACCACTGTCCTGCTTTGCATCCACGTCTGCTAAGTAGACTCTAGTTATTAGGAACAAGAGACATGTTTGTTCTCAGTTACATTTAACTTATATTGGGTTGAAACCTCTCCCTCTAACTACCCCCACTGGTCCTGTGGCCTTATTACTGGACTTATGATTATTTACGTCCATCCAAGTGACACAGTGTCAAATAGCTGACAGGCTCTTATGTGTTCAGCCAACATTTACTGAGTAGCTCTCATTTGCTAGGTACTATACTAAGCCCTGGGAATGTAGCAATGAACAAAATCAAAGTATGTTCTTCCATGCAGCGTATGTTCTAGTGGGGGAGATGGTCCATTGATAGAACTACCATATTTTTATGTTTAGGTGATAGGAAGAAAAACATAAGGTTGGGAGGCTACTTTTGATAGTGGTTAGAGGAGGCTTCTTTGAGGTGATGTTTGAGTAGAAAGCTGGTTGAAATGAGAAAGCCAAATGAAGAGAGCGTATCCTGGGAAGTGGGAACAGTAGTGTCACATCCTAAGGTAGGAATGAGCTTCACGTATTCTTAAGAACAGAAAGGAAGTTAGTATAGCCAGAAGGGAACGAGCAAGGAGGAGAGATGCAGGAAGTAAGGTCCAGGAGGCAGTGGCCAGATCAAGAGAAGCCTTAGAGGTCCTGCATAGGTGTGTAGGGGAAGATAATTGTTTTTTCTACCCTTTTAGGTTCTCCAGCTGGTGTCCTGTAAATGAGACTGGCCAGAGAGACATTAACAGAAGAAAAATAGTTTCCTAACATGTGCATCACACATGCACATATAAGAGCACTCAGTGATAAGTAACCCAAAGGGGTAGTTAGAACTTGGGTTTAAATACCTGTCAACTCAAGAATCATGAGGTCCATACATTTGGAAAAGAGAGCTTTATTTCTTATAAAGGGTTGCAGCCTGCAGGCTGGCCACCCTCAGGCTGGGGCGTACTTCAAAGGAGGAAAGGTGAAATGAGAATTTATGCTGAAGGGTTAGCTAAGTATACATATTCAACAGGTTATCGGAGGAGCTGTGAATATTCAGAAGGGGGATGTATACATACATACTAAGCAAACATGCATGTTACATACATCCCATGTTCACTCTGGGGGTGGAGACTGAACACTTAAATGCATTAGAATCAGGCTCTCTATCAAAGAGTGAAACAGAGGTCACAGAGGCATCCTGTGCACAGCCTCTGTAAACCAGCCACCACCAGTTCCTGGCTGGTGGCCCCCTATCAGGAGGGAATACTGGCTAGTATTTGTATCAAACTGCAAAAGGGGAGAGGAGTCCTGCTAAAATCAGTGGTGGAGCAAGTCTTTTGATAGGGATGGCTTTGGTCAAGGTTGGTAGCCCATGCCTGTAATCCCAGCACTTTGGGAGGCTAAGGGAGGAGGATCACTTGAGGCCAGCAGTTCAAGACCAGTCTGGGCAACATTGTGAGACCTTGTCTCTACTTAAAAAAGAGCTAGTTTCTGTTTAGCCCTTAGGAAACTAGGCCTAATGGCAATTAGGGAGGGAAGAGTATAATGGGGTCTGTCTGACCTCCCATCTGGTCATGGTGGGGAACTCAGGTTTTAAGTTTCCTCTGGGGTATGCTTGGCAAAGAGGGGGTCCATCCAGTCAGTTGGGAGCCTTAAGATTTTAGTTTTATTTCTCTTAACGACAACAACAACAACAACAACAACAACAGGGTTTTAGGCTCTTAGAGAAGGCAGGTTATGGGAAGACGATCCTGAAAAGTACCGTAAGCAAGGGTTGTGTATCAAGGTTTGTTACACAGATTGATGCCTTCTCCATCGAGAAGAGTTAAGAATCCTTCCTTTCCTGGAGGGGGAAACACCTCTACGATGGGAAATTTCCTTTATAAATATAAATTTTCTTTACGATATAAAAACTTGTTTTTAGAGCTTTTTCTGAATCTGCTCGTTCTCAATGACGTTTAGCTGAAAATAATTTATACGCCAATGGTGCACATTTTGGGGTGGCATATTCTGGTACCCCTCAGGTGTCAGTATGGTTTTATGTCACTTTATGACAGGAATATGTTCTGAGAAATGCATCACGTGATTTCTTTCTTGTGTGCATATCATAGACCTACATAAACCTAGATGGTACAGACTACTAGGCACCTCAGCTGTATGGTACAGCCTCTTGTTCCTAGGCTACAAACTTGTATAGCATGTTACTGTACTGAATGCTGTAGGCAACTGTAACACATTGTTCAGTACTTATGTATCAAAGCATACCTAAACATAGAAGAGGTACAGTAAAAATATAGTATAAAAAATTAAAATGGTACACTTGTATAGTGCACTTACCATGAATGAATCTTGTAGGACTAGAAGTTGTTCTGGGTGAGGCAGTGAGTGGTGAGTGAATTTGAAGCCCTAGGACATTACTGTACACTACTGTAGGCTTTATAAACACTGTACACTTAGGCTACACTACATTCAAAATTTTGTTTTCTTCAATTACTAACTTTAGCTTACTAAAACTTTTTTACTTTATAAATTTTTTAGTTTTCTTTTTGATTTTTTGTAATAATACTTAGTTTAAAACAAGTACATACAGCTGTACCAAAATAGCTTGTTTTTTAGAGACAGGTCTTGCTTTGTCACTCAGGCTAGAGTGCAGTGGTGCAATCTAGTCTCACTGCAGCCTTGACATCCTGGGCTCAGGTGATCCTCATGCCTCAGCCTCCTGAGTAGGACAACGGGTGTGTGCCACTATGCCTATTTTTTTTTTTTTCTTTTTGGTAGAGATGGGGCCCAAGCAATCCTCTTGCCTTGGCCTCATAAAGTGTTGGGATGACAGGCATAAGCCCCCACACCCAGCCAATGTTTTCCTTATATTCTTCTATAAGCCTTTTTCTATTAATTTTTGTTTTTTTTTTACTTTGTAAACTTTTTTTGTTGGAAATGTGGACACAAACATATTTGTCTAGGCCTACACGAGGCTAGTTCATCAAGACTTCACTAGGTGATGGGAATCTTTTAGCTCCATTATAATTTTATGGGACTACCATTGTGTATGCGGTTCATCGTTGACCAAGATGTCATTATGACATGCAAGAGTGTATTTCATTTTGAATGATGGGCCAGCTACTAAAAGGTATTGATATGAGCACGGTGGTATCTATCTTTGAACAAAAATCACTTTATATAATGGACCATTCCATGAGTATAAGCAGGGAGATGAGTTAGGGAGATGCCAAGTGTGAGACATGGCAGTATGGAGGTAAGGGTGAAAACTAGTTGGATTCTAGATACTTTGGAGGAGGAGTCAACAGGACATGCTCATGGATTAGTCTGGGGTGGAGAAGAGTTAAGCAACTGACTGGAGCCTTTTTTTTTGTAGTCTAAAGTCTTCCCCAAAGCCCCACGTCAATAGAGAGGATAGGAACAACATGGAGGGATTCACAGGATTCACTCTCCTCTGAGTGCCTCCACTGGCCATCATAGGCTGGCTTGTGTACTTCTCCACAAACATGATTTTGTCCATAACTGGACCATGTCCTCAAGGGCCATATCTTAGGCTTTTCTGAATCTTCCACCCCTACCCACTCCCAATAGAATAAAAACAGTTGTGAGAACATAGGAAAGCATGCTATGGACTAAACCTGGGCTAAAACCCTTTCAGGTAGTGATGACAGCCTTAGAGATGAGGAAACAGACTCGGGGAGTAAAGGTACTTTCCTGATAGTAGCGACCATTTGAGACAACTTCCTGCCTGCCCAACATTGTGCTGGGAATTTGGGCGGCAAATGGCTGATCTGGGTGTTACACCAGCAGCTTCTCAATTTATGTTGCTGCTGAGCAAATGATGCCTCATTGTGATCTGTCTGCTGAAGGAGTTCAGAAAATGCCACCCCAAAATATGCTTTGGTGTGCTGATTGCTTTGAACTGAGGGCATTTTGAGAGACAGTGGATGAAGGCAGAGGCTAGCTTTGAGCTCACCTTATCTGCCTAAAGACAATCCTCCAAAAGGAACTCAACTGTCAAGACTTCCCCAGGAACCTCGTCAACCAAGACCAACTCATAACACAGGAGAGGAGACTGAGGTTTGACTCCGTGCCCAGACAGACTTCGTCATAGGCTGTCACCTTTTCTTCTGAGGGCCCACTCATCTTTCCCAGCATCAAATGAAGAATCACGAGGTTCGTACATTTGGAAAGGAGGGTACCACGACCTGCAGGCAGGACGTGGAGCTACTAGCTGAAACTGAAAAGCAAGTGCTCTGAGGGAAAGAAGGATGAGATGGGAATTTATGCTGAAGGGCTAAATACACATATTCAACAGGTTATGGGAGGAGCTATAAATATTAATGAAGGGGAGTGAGTGCATGTGTAGTAGGCTAACATGTATGTAACGTGCATTCCATGTTCGCTTTGGGGTAAAGACTTAACATTCAGTTAGACTCTACAACAAAAAGTGAAGTAAAGGACAGGAAGGCCCTCAGTGCACAGCCTCTGTAGACTGACCAGAATCACTTCATGATTGGTGGTCTCTATTAGGAAAGAATGCTGGTCTGTTGCTGTGTCAAAACAGCAAAAGGGAGGGACGGCATTAGGTGATTGGTTGAAATTGGTGAAGCAAGTCTGTCGAAAGCTGGTTTCTGTTTAACCCTTAGGGAAGAAGGCCTAATGGGGGTTGGGTGAAGGAAGGGGTAGATGACAAGACCTATCTAACCTCCCAGCCCATCATGGCCTGGAACTCAGGTTTGTTTTTTGGTTCCCTTGGCGAGAGGGGGTCTATTCACACCAAAACTCATTTACAGTTCCCTAAGTTGCTTACATCACCCTCCAGCCTCCCCTATGAAGAGAGTAAATATGCTTCTAGATCTCACCAGGTTTTGGGGGATATACACTTTTCTTTTATGTGATGTCCCCATGCATGTAATAAATTCGTATTCTCATTTTTACTGTGAATCTGTCTACTGCCAGTTTGTTTCATAGACTCAGCCATCAAAGCCTCAGAGGACAGAGGGAAAGCTCTCCTTCCCCATACTATTCTCAGCAGGTGCCAGAGCTACCTTTTCAATGGCTTCCATGAAGATGACTTCCCTCTGTGAGTGACTTCAGGTGGTTGGACACTAAAATATGCCACCACAAAAATATGACTGAAAAGTTACAATTTTAAGAGAAAGTTATATTAATAAAGGAAGTCTCTGCCTGTAAGAGTGTCTCCCTCTCTGTCCCAGGAGGAGAAGGATGGCTAAATCACCAGACACTTAATGGAGGAGGCATGACTTAAACCTGCAGAACAACCTTACCTTTGTCTAAGGTGCTTTTCCTGGTCTTCTGGTCTTAACAGGGTCTTTCCCCATACACTTCTTTCTTCATTTCAGAGAACTGATGGTATTTAAACCTCAAGTTTAAACTTTTTCTTTGAAATCTCATTTCTCTGGGTTATCTCCCATATATACAGGAGATATACACATTATCAAACTTCTTTTTGTGTTTTTGCTTGTTAACCTGTCTTTGTTACAGGGAGTCCTGGTTAAGAATTATGAAGGGTAGAAAGGATTATTTTTCTTCCCCTACAAGGTCCTACCCCATTCCCCCTACTCTTTTGAGGGAGCCGGTCCTAGATGTCAGCTGAAGGGAATACCATATCCTATGAATCACTTGTTATGTCTTTTTGCTCTTATTCTTTAAGCCTCTTTCTTCATACCTTCCCCTCAACAACTTGAACGTGCTTGTTTTCTGGCCCAGGCATAGGAAATGTATGCAAAGGGCAAAACAGAAGCTTTGCTGTTGACAGCACTCATATAAACAGATTTTCTTCCCAGTGCCTCCACCTAGTTCTTTCCTTCCTACAGGACTCAGACTCTCTTGGACAGAAATCTTCGTCCCCGTGAAATGCTGCCATGTCCCGAGAGACAAGGTGGGTGAGTTCTCTAACCTGATGATGTGAAGTTGGTTTCCTCTGAACATCTGGTACAAGGGGACCATCTGGGCCGGCCCCCAAAGCCACGTTGTTATTTATGCCCGTGGACTTAGGGCCACAGGAATCAATGATTATGAGGCAAACCCTGACAAGATCATGTTTCAGGGTGTCTCCCCTGTGATAGAAAGAACATGACCCCATGTTCTTTCCATGCCTGTTGGAACAAGAGAGTACACGTTTCTGCCACCCAGGCTCTGGCTGTGCATGTGGTCTTGCTAGCTGAGAACTATGCTTGACACCGGAGATAAAGCACTGCAGGGGAAGTATCGTGTCTTCTGGGATCCTAGAGCAGATTCAAGGGAAAAGATCATGAAGTCCTGTATTACAAAGTCTCCAGTTCCATTTCAAAGAACCTCCTCCAAACCTGTTAAAAGCATCACTGGTCCAAAAACTGAAATGGAGAAGAGACTTGGGATCTCAGGAACTTCGGTGCCCCACGTGGTTCAGCCAATCTCTCATGTTATTCAGCAAGCACGCACAGAGAGCATCCTGGCCACCAAGTTGCCAGAGACAAGTGAGAAGAATCTTTTGAAAATAGCCTCTTCTTCAACCTCTGTAGAAACATCAGTCTTTGATACAAGGTGGTCAGAAAACTCAGAAAAGAGTACTTTTGCCTGGGCCTCAGCAGAGAGGTCCCTTCCAGCATTGCAAGTTCCATAACAAGTTCCATGGTGACCACCAAACTGGCAGCTTGGTCCTCACTTGTAGGATGGAGAAGGCAGGAGAACACTTCAGAAGATGGGCCAGCCTCTGTGGACTCACCAGGCGTGATGGCAGGTACCTATAATTCTAATTCTAATTCAATTAACCACTCAGATTTGGGCTTATGGGAAAGAATGACATCTTGGGAAAGGGAGCTGCTTTCTCTCAGCCCCTCTCAGGAAGTGGAATGCTTCCCAGAAGGTAAAAGCAGCTTCCTGTACAGGCGAGCATCTTGCCTGGTGACACGCCATGTTTCCTATGGGGAGAGCCTGGGGCAGGCTTGGCCACTGAGGCCTGATTGTCTCTGGAAGGCAGGCCAGATCCTACTTCTGTTACCACACAGCCTTCTCCTATCTCCAGTTCTGCTCTTCCTGTGTTCCCAGCTGAGTGCTTTCTGACTGACTTGGCTTTGGTGAATTCCTACAGACATCCCAAATTCTACCATCAAGGGGCTTGCTTGCTCAAGAGCCAAGCTCATCTGCAGTGAGGCAAGAGTCACCTTGGCAGATGCATCTCTGGGTGGCAAAGTGTTAATACCTCTTGCTCTCTCCCATGGCCTTTGAGTGGCTACCTCTGAGGTGAAGTCATATCTTCTCCCTTGGATGGCCTTATCCTCAGCCTTCCCTGAGCCAGGACAGACAGCTAGCCTGCCCCGTGGTGTGATCTCAGAGGGTGTCTCCTCAAAGCACCATAGGAATTTTACAAGAAGAGACTCAATACACACTTCTTGGAGTCCAAAGGGGCTGGCCACAGAATTGCTGGAGAACCTGGCCAGGGTGATGCTGACAATGGCCCCTCAACAAGCTCCTGTAGCCACAACTGCCCCCCAATATGTTTCCCAACCTACACTGGTGTTCCCACCCTCTGCCTACCACAGAGAACCCGGAACACTAGAGGGGGGACCATGGGAATGTCTACAATAGCTTCGTGGTTGCTGTCAGGTTCACAGTTGCTTTCGGATGTCCTATCTGAGACTAGAGGGGAGGTAGATCCCTCCCTCAGCTCTTTAAGTCCAGCCATGCCCCAGGGCTTGTTCAGTCAAGGAGAGAGAGAGGCTGCTGGCAGCTTTTCTGCTGAACTCCTTGGGAGCTGCGATCCAAGCTTTCTGCAGACTGACATGGAGTGCCTTCTGCAGAGCTCAGTGGCTTCTCTGGCTCACTCCCAAAGCCAGGGTGAAACGGAGCTGGCATCTAGAAGTCTAGTGAGTACCTCCTGCCCTGGGCCCAAGGAAGCTGTTCCTAGTGGGACAATAGCTGGTCCTCACTACTTGAGGTCAAGTGGGAAACTGTTCCCAGCTACTTCATACAGCAGAGGCAGCACAGAAGGAGCAGCCTCCTTGAAGGAGGAAGATTGGGTGATGCACTGCATCCCTTTGCTCCTGGGCTAGTTCCTGGGTTCTGGCTTTCTCACACTCCGGCACCCTCCCCTGGATGTGAAGCTCCTTCAGGGCCAAAGACATGTGCGACCGCATGTGGCTGCTGCATTGGTCTTGGAGCTGTAAACTGGCTGGGCAGTGACCTCCTCTGGAGAGTCCCTTGAAGAGCATACTGACGTGGCCATTCACCCTCCAAAGGGGTTGCTCTAAAGGAAGCTAAGATCTGGAAATCCACCCACTCCCTGGAACAGGTATGGAGAGACTTCACCTGGGATCTGCCAGGTTCCCTTCCTAGCTTTCCAGAGAACCCCCACTGGCAAAAGGACCCAGGGTGTGGGGGCTCCTGCTATTCCACCCACCCGTCCCCTGGGAAGAGAGTGAATCCTCTCTGGAGACTGTGACACCCCAGAACTACACTGGTGGGTACTGCTTTTTTTCTTATCTGTAAAGAAAGCTTAGTATTTTATTTGTCCACATTCTTCTCTATATTTCAAACCATCCTTCTCTAAATGAACTTTAGAAGTTTCATTACAGTTTCTTGAAGGCAGACTCTGATTTTATTTATCTAGTATCTTTCACCCTCTTTCATGATAATTTGTTTCGTTTTGTTTTTTTGAGACAGTCTCACTCTGTCACGCAGGCTGGAGTGCAGTGGCACCATTTCGGCTTACTGCAACCTCCACCTCCCGGGTTCAAGCAATTCTCCTGCCTCAGCTTCCTGAGTAACTAGAATTACAGGTACCTGCCATCATGCTGGCTAATTTTTGTATTTTTAGTAGAGACAGGGTTTTGCCATGTTGACCAGGCTGATCTTGAACTCCTGACCTCAGGTGATCCAACTGCCTTGGCCTCCTAAAGTGTTGGGATTACAGGCATGAACCACCGCACCTAGCCTCATTATAACTGTATTGGGTACATGATTCTAAGTTGAAAACTTTTTCTCTCAACATCTGCCAGAAATTATTCCACTGTCTCTTGTTTCTATTTTGGCTATGGAATCTAACTGACATTTCTTCAAGGTGATCAATCCTGTCTCTGACTTTATTTTAAGATCTTTTTGTCTTTAAAGTTTTGCAATTTCATTATGTCTGTGTCAATTCCTTTTTTATTTTAAATTTTGCTTGAGCATACTAAGTTCTAGGTATTTGTTGGATAGCAAACTGCCCCAAAACTTAGTGGCTTAAAGAAATAACCATTTTATTACCTCTTTTGTGGTTCAGAAATTTAAGCAAGTATCAGCTGGGCAATTCTTCCACCCCACACGAGATTGGCCGCAGTATCTTTGTGGTGTTTCGCTGAAATCTGGGCTGGTCTGGAAGGTCCAAAATAGCTTTGCTCACATGCGTTTACAACATGAACATCAGTGGGGACAGCTGGGAGGCTGGACTCAGACGTGTCCCTCTTCCTTTTTCAAAGTCTTGAGATTTATCTATTCAGATTTCTTACAAGGCCTCTGGCTTTGTAAGAAACAAGAGACAAAGATGGAAACTAAGGCTGGTTCTGACTTAGCTTTGGGAGTCTTAAAGCGTGACTTTTAGGTCCCATTTATTAAGCAAGTTGCTGAGGCCATCCCAGATACAAGGGGAGAAGGATTAGACACTACCCCACAAGGGGTGGTGTAGGGAAATTTTTATGGCCATCTTTAATTACTACATTGTACATCCTGGACCTGTGAATTCATGTTGTTCATCAGTTCTGGAAAACTTGTAGCCATCAGATGTTGCTCTTTCTTCCATTTTTTCTGCTTTTTCTCTCTGGGACTTCAGTTAGATATCTAAGACTTTCTGATTTGAGCCTTCAAATCTCTTCTTTCATGTTTTTATCTCCTTGTCTTTGTGTTAAATTATGGGTGAGTTTGTTGGTTCATGAGTTTTTCTTTTCTCTGACATTTTACCACAAAATTTCAAACGTATGGCTAAGTTGAAAGACCTTTAAAATGAACAACCAATATCTACTACCTACATTCTACCATTAGTATTTTACTATACTTTGTATCTATATATTCATCTTATTTTTGATGTATTTCAAGTAAATTGCTGACATCAGTATCCATTGGGCTTTATTTCAATTTCGCATTTCTAGAAGTTCATTTATTTTCTAATCTGCCTATTCCTAGTAGTGTTTTTTATTTTGATTATGTTCTTTATTTCTTTAAACATTTCCCACATAACCATCTTCTTTATCTTAAAATTCTGGTAAGTTCTTGGATATAAATTGTTTTTTGTTTTTTGCTAAAAATGCTTTGCTTTTGATCTTAATCTATACTCCACTGTGTGTTTGGGAGATATAAAGGAAGAGAGTGAGAGAGAGGAGGCAACTTAGTGGTTTCTGAGAGCACAGTCGTCAAGGTTGTAAAATGGCATCATTATTATTAGTCCTTATACTGTCTACTAGCTATTTAAACGAGAATAGAAATAAAGTTAGAAATTCAGTTTCTCAGTTGCACTAGCCACATATCATGTTCTCAGTAGCCACATGTGTCTAGTGGCTACTGTATTGAGCAGGGCAGATTAGAATAACTTCCATCATTTATATACACAGCATGACTATATTTAAATAAAACTGTAGTTCCAAAAAACAGGCAGCAGCTGGATTTGTTTCATGAGATATAGTTTGCAGATCCCAGCTCTAGGCCTAAACTGTCATGCTTTCCTTTGCAGAGGACTTGCTTTTGCTTGTAGCTTGGTGAGCACCAACCTAGAAGCATACCAGCCCTCCAGGGCTCTCCTCAGGGCAAGAGTCCCAGACTTGTGTCCTAATTTTCCTGCTGTCCCAGGGCTTAGTGTCTGCAAGTACCCTCAGGGCAACGGGGCTGTTAGCAAGTTTTTGCTGTTCTAATCCCATCCTGGTTTTCTCTGGAGGGTAAGGTGGGGAGAGGGTCCATAGAGACCTCTTATTTGCAAATAAAACATTTTGGGTACCAGAGGTAAATGTTCTCTCTTACTTTATTTTCCTTCTCACCTCTGGTGAAACTTGGCAATTATGACTTCTACAGGGGAATTGAATAAAACTTTCAGTCTCTTTAGGAAGTTAAAGCTGTGGGCAGCTTTCTTCATGGTGTTCCAATTCAGCACTGTATCTGATGTCTGGGGATTCCTTCATGGAGTGTTGAGATCTGTAATCACTGGAGGGCAGAGATGAGATCATACAGAGCCTAGATGTGGGCCTTGCCTGTTCTCTCCAAGCTGCCGATGCCAGGATTAGTAGCACTGAAAGCCAAGGTGAGAGGCTTCAGAGAACTCAGATGGGGAAGGGTTAAGAAGGATGGCAAATGATAGATGGATGAGGGGGTCTCTATTGACCCACACGCCACCCTCTGAGAGCTCTGCATCAGGATGGCAGAAGGCCCCTTAAGAGCCTGTTGGGGACCCTGCCATGTGTTCCAAGTGTCATTCATTTTCCTGCTTGCTGACAAGCCATGAGTTGGATTAGCCTTCTCCTCTTATCACCTTCCCAGGTCTGGGTCAGTGAAGGAAATGAGATCTTGGCCCCGAGATCTCTGCCCCTGTGTTCTAGAGCAGAGGCTGGAGATGCTGTAAGATCACTTCCCATCCAGCAGGCACTTGAAAGTGCTTGTTGGCAAGTGGAAGACAAGAGCCGGTCCCTGCCATCAAGAAGTGGAGGGTTAGAGACAAATCAATGACAGCCAAATGTAGCATGACTAATGCCATGTGTGACAACAGTCAGCATACAAGTATTTGCAGGGTACTGAGGGCAATCAGAGAAGGGAGGAATTATGGGGAAGTAGAAGAGAAGCTTCTAGGGCTGGTGACATGAGCTGAGAGCCTTCTGAGAAGCCAGTAGCTCTGTTCCATAAGTGTAACTTAAGGCGAGTCTTATGCTAACTTGGGGTTGAATAGGTGGCATTTATAATGCACTTCTATGACTCAACTGAGTCTTGTACTAACCTGGTTCCTTCATCTTTCTCCTGTCTGTTCCATCCTTCACCCACAGAGGTGAGACAAAACCTCAGGGTAGTGTATATTCCAATCAGAAGGTGCCGTGTGGTTTTGAAGGATCCATTAGAGGAGCTCTCGCTGCCACAGAATCTATCCAGCCACCTGCCAAACATCTGGTACAACTGGGTCATCTGAGATGGGCCGAGAAACATATTGTCATTTATATCCAAGGGTTTGGTGGCCATAAGGACTGTGCCAAGAGCTCATCTTCCATGGGGTTTCCCCGACTGTGGAGAGGAAGGTCTTACATGCATGTGGACACTTGGGAATCAGGTGTTTGCTGCAGGGCCACTGGCTGGCAACGTGGTGCTGCTTTCCAGGAGATTGACCCCAAGACCCACCAGTGCTGCATTCCAAGGCCAGTACTATGCCTTTGCTGAGCCCAAGAGAGAATCCCCCGTGAGCTTTGGTATAAGCAGCTTCTCTCTGCTCTGGCCCCACAGTTTCCATTAGGAACCATCTCAGATCCAAGTGTCGTCCATGTGGGAAACAGAAGGGCAGAGGCTGGGGGGCCCTCTCAAATGGGAAATGAGGAAGCCTCAGAGGATAGAGGGGAGGCCCCCAGCATATGATCCCTCTCTTCCTTCTACCCACTGGAAAAGAAGATCCTTTGTTAATGGATGAAACCTTAGTAGCCCCAAGGCTGCAGCTAAGCAAGACATGGGATGGAGTACAAGGTCTAACAAAAACCCTGCTCGCTACTACTTTCCCCAGACTGAAGGCTAAACCCATGCAGGATGGCTTGGTGAACCATCTGCTGCCAGCCCCTTCAGAATGGCCCTCCATGTCCTCTCTGCTCTTTACACATAAACAGGAGAGAGTGCTGGGGTCCAGAGTTGCCCTTGAAGAGAGGGATGGAAAAGTGGCTCAGACACGGGAAGGGGTGACCAAAAGAGAAAGCCTGGACTCCTCACCTGCCCCATGGGACATCAGTTCTCTCCAAGAGGAGCCTCTGGATTTGGAAAGTGCTCAGGAAGGCAGGATTGAGCACCAGACTGCCCAGAACCCTCCACCTGCTGGCAGCATCTAGGCCAAACTCTTGGGTTTGAAGAGTGAGAGTGCTGAGCACTAGGCTGCTCTCTGGCTTTGGAGCCAACCCACTGGGCCACAGATAATCCCTCAGCAGGTACTGTTGGAGACCATACCCTTGTCCCAGCACCAGAGCTCCAGGAACACCAGGACATGAGACATAAATCCACGGTGCTTCATCTCTCTACTGGGGCACTGAAGATCATGACCATTCATCTCAACCTCAGGTCTCAACCTCAGGTATGGGCAATGGCCAGTGGGAAGGCCTGGACACAAGGAGCTGGCATTCTGTTAAGCATGAATGTGGAAAGGTTACCCAAGTGCATAAGGCTGTTCTTGTGTTGCTATAAAGAAATACATGTCTGGGCACAGTGGCTCACACCTGTAATCCCAGCACTTTGGGAGGCTGAGACAGGAGGATCTTCTGAGAACAGGAGTTCAAGACCAGCCTGGGCAACATAGACTGTCTCTACAAAAAATACAAAAAAGTTAGCCAAGCGTGGTGGCGCATGCCTTTAGTCTCAGTTACTCAGGAGGCTGAGGCAGGAGAGGATCACTTGAGCCCAGAAGTTCAAGGCTGCAGTGAGCTATGATTGTGCCACTGCACTCCAGCCTGGATGACAGAGAGAGACACTGTCTCTTAAAAAACAAACAAAAACACTCCCTGTGCTAAACCTGCATGTGAAAAGTCAGCTTTTTTTCTACAGAGATGAACTAAGAAATTACTTGATGGAAAAGAATCCTGAATTTAAGTAAGCTAAATTAATGAACGCAATAGTCCACAATATAGTTTCCTAACTTTACTGTCTAATCTCAGAATCTTTAAAAACAATGTAACATTTCTTTACCAAGTGGTGTTTAGATTGTTTCCTTCTCCTCCCTTTCAAAACATTCCTAGAAAAGATGCTTGTTTTTTTCTCCTCCCTTCCTAAACATTCCTAGAAAAGATGCTGTGAATGTCACGTATGCTTCCTGGCTACACTCAAGTTCTCAAGGAATGGATGTGCCTGATCCCCTGTCTTACCAGATAAGGGCCCTCACTGAGGATGCTCTAGGAACCCACAAGGTGAAGAAGAGGTGCCCCTTCCTTGAAGGTATGGATAGGTCTCTTGGCTGCTGGTGACCAATGGCACGTGCCACACTTGGATTAGGCATGATTCAGCCAGGATCAAGTTGAACTAGGCAAAGTCTCCCGATGCTAGGCCATGTCATTTCCCATGGAGAGCAGACCCTTTCTCAGTCTGCATCATGGGAATGTTATGCTTGTCCCCCAACCCGAGGAAGAATTGGCTATTAATTCATCCATGTATGCAATATATTGTATTGCATTTTACTATGGGTTAGGCGTTGTTTGGGATACTGGGGATTCAATAGCAAACCTAAAAGGCAAATCCCTTCCCTCGTGTACTTCACAGTCTAATCAGGAGATAGACTGGATAAACTACAGAGTATCTGAGTTGATATGCTCTACGAATAACAATCAGATAAAGGGGATAAATAGGGCTTTGTGTATGCACATGTATGTGATAAGGCTTCAAAAGGTGGTGAAGGAAGGCCTCCTTGAGAAGATGATGAGGGACAGCCATGTAGCCCTCGAGGGAACAGGCTTCTGGATGGTGCTGAGGCCCTGCAGCAGGGTTGTGTGTGGTGTGTTCAAGGAACAGGTGGAGGTCAGCAACAGAGGGGAAGAGCCGCAGAGGAGCCTTTGGGACACCCTGGGAGACTGTCCAGAACAGCCTATTTCTTCTGTCTTTAGATGTGAATGAGTGTGAGACAGGCCTAAAGCTCTGTGGTGATCCTCGCTGCCAAGAGGACTGAAGTCCATGCCCCCACGCAGCCTGGCATGCTGTATGTGCATGCTCCCTGCCCAGGTATCGGTTGCCCAGGCACCCTGCCACTGGCTGTGTTTATCAACTGCTGGGATCTCCTGGAAACCCTGTACCCTGAGCAGGTCAGGGTGGAGCTCTTATTCTGATGCCTTTGGCCACAAATACCAGAGAAAACATTTTCCGAAGGATACGGACAAAGTCCAGGAACTGTTCTAGAACTTGGAACATGTTATAAGGTCGTTTACTATGAGGATGTTCATTGTACTGATTTTTCTTTCGCAACTTTGCCTTTGGAATACTTCCATAGGATGCTATTCCTGACTCTGATCAAAGTAGACGTGAGTAGGAATTAACCTGAACATCCAGTTGTTTCCCCAAGGCTCCTTCGTGACCCTTGCTTTTGTCTTGCTTTTTTTCTTCTTATCAAAGATTATATTGGGCAGGGACTTGCACCGGAAAATCGATGTGAGCTCCTTGTGAGCGGGTCCAGCATAGAGCAGTTGGTAATGAATTAACAGATGCCCTTAGCCTTTTTAAGGACTTACTGCTGGTGATGGTAATTCATTTGGTACAGTTACCTCTGAAATAATGTAACCTGCCTGTGCTGCCACAGGCAGATCAATAGACATGATTTTTATTTCCCATCTTGCTAACTTGCTGTGTGACCTTGGTGCTCAGGTCTTGCATATCCCTGTGAAACAAAGGATTAGACTAGATGTCGAAGGCTTTGTTTAGATCTTTGAATGTTAGATGCTGAAATCCCAGCAAAGATGCCATTTAGCACAATCTTTTTCCACTGAACTCTAAGGGCAGATAGGTAATCTTGCCATGCTATTTGCAAGTTTTTTTCTTGAGGTGGGGGTTTCTTAGTTCGTATATGTCAAGAGAAGATTGAGTTTGGCATAAAATAGAAGCTCAGTATATAGTAATTCAATTTCTTATGGCTAGAAATCTACATGTAACTGACTATTTAAAATATTTCCATGTTTTTTTTCTTCCCCTGCCCTCCCAAGTGTCCAGATAAGACACTTGACAAGAGTTAAGTTGGAACGGGGTCTGTGAGGCGACTAGTCATCTGGAGGTTGCAGTCATCTAGCTTCTGTGGATTTTGCTTTAAAGATAGTTTCTAGTTCTTTGCATCCATATAAGCTATCTGATGGTAGAGTACATTCTGAAATACGACTGGCCCTGTGCTTCTCTGGGTACATGGTCTCAAATGTAACAGAATCTTTTTAAAAATAAACAATTTTTGATATGCATAAAATGAAAAATAATTATCAGCTCTCAGGCAATTTAGATTCAGCATCACAAAGGGATGTTAAGCCTTTTCCAAAGTTAACTCTGTGTGCATGCATAGGGTTCTTGAGGGAGCTATAGAGCAAAAATAGGTGGCGAGCCCTTATATTACCAGGTTCATTTGTTCCAAGTCTGGCTTTGGCTTTTAATCAAATGTTAGCATTTGTTTATTTTCTCAAAAAATACTTACCTATGATGTGCCTGACAATATGCTAGGGATGGGTATAAGAGCATAAATCTCTGAAGGTGCTTTTGAGGGCCCATTAGGAAGGGGCGTGTTACTTAGTTCCCTTTAAAAAAAAAATTCCTTTGTGTTTCAGGAGTTGGATTATCCTTTAACTACCTGGGCCTGCTGATTGGAGTTGCTGTGCTTACTGCAATCTTGCATATGTTAGCATTGGTCTTGTGTGACTCGTAACTAGAACGTACGTGAGGAAGGCAAATTCTCTGGGTCAGAACACAGCATCACTGGAGTTCCCACTTACAGCACCTACTTTTGACCTGAGGAATTTCTTTTTTTTCTCTCTCTGAGACAGCGTCTCGCTCTGTTGCCCAGGCTGGAGTGCAGTGGCAAGACCTCAGCTCACTGCAACCTCCGCCTCCTGGGTTCAAGTGATTCTCCTGCCTCAGCCTTCTGAGTAGCTGGGACTACAGGTGCGCACCACCACACCTGGCTAATTTTTTGTATTTTTAGTAGAGATGGGGTTTCGCCATGTTGGCCAGGCTGGTCTGGAACCCCTGACGTCAGGTGATCCACCTGCCTGGGCCTCCCAAAGTGCTGGGATTCCAGGCATGAGTCAGTATGCCCGGCTGACTTGAGGAACTTCTGTAAGCTCCCTCCCTTCATCTCCTGCCAACCTAAGCTGCATGCCAAGGTTCCAGATGGTGCTCAGGGCAAGAAGGTTCATCAGAGTTAGGAACCACAGGTGTGGAGGGAGCAATCAGAGGCCTGCTGCCTCCCTGATGTCTGTCCATAAAGCAGGGTGGGAGAGAGGACCACCTTGTCTCCTGTTGGAGGTGCCATCAAGTCACATAGATTCTCTGCGAACTTAGGAAGAAGCAGCTTGAGTCCCATCCTGTGCATCATCCTTGTTGTCTGTGATGTAAATTATGCTGGGCTCCTGACTCTTTCCCTGGGAGAAGGCCTGTATGCTGTATGTTCTGCATCAAGACCCAGCCTGTAGTCCCAACAATGGGCTGAGGTAGATCTCTGGTGACTCAGATACTCCAGTGATGAGTGTGGTCTGCAGGAGGTGTCCAGGGGAGCAGGAGGCACACGGCACCAACTTGGAAAGTTAATGAATGAGTTTAGTGATGGACACACAAGGAACTGTTAACATGTTTTAGAAAACTTACTTGGCCTCAGCACTTTCTTCTCCTTTTAGGCTGGGTGCGGGGTGAGACCTCCTCCTCCTTTTTCCTTCACCCTCAGTTGTATTTTATTGGATTACAAGTTTGTATTTATTTTGTATTACAAGATCCTGTCTTCTGTTCCTGTTTTGGCCACTGTCTATGCCAGGCTGCTATTAGAGCCTGACAGCTTCACCCTAAATAAAAGAAAACCTTTTATGTGTAGTTTAAAAAAATAAACAAAAACCTCTGTAGACCTTTTTAAAATCTACCAGCAATGTTTGACTCCTTTACTCTTAAAAGTGGGGCTATTCCCATTCCTCTGTTTTAGGCCTACACTTGTCATTTTGCAGGGGAGACCATTGGAGAGGATGCTAGAGGTCTTAAATATGGTTCTCACCCACGGTTTGCTTGCTTTTATTAGACTGAGCTAAAGGGTGGGGGAATTCACATGCCATGAGAGAATAGATACTTGCCTGTGCTTGCATCTCATGGAGGTAAGAGTGGGAGAAATTTGTAAAGTAGATCAAGAAGAAAAACTTTGAGTTAGGCAGGGTGGGTCCTGAGTTTCTGGAAGCAGGGCCACATTCTCTGCAGTGCCAGGCATGGGCCTGTTTTCTAGAAGGAACTCTTTTACTTAAAGGAAAGCTTCAGGATGAGGGGTGCCTGTAAGCTGGCCTTAGCGTTTTGAGAGATGCAGAGCTAAATGGGATTGGCAGCTCTGATCTTGCTGCAGCAGCCTCCTGGCCCAGCTCCCACATCTTAACCTCCCTGGAGAGCAGCCTAGTCGGCAGAGTGGAGCTGGGGAGAGCTGGATGGGATGAGGTGCAGGACCCTACTGAGAGGAGGGGAATGCAGTGTCTCCACAGACCCAGCTCTGGGGGTGGGAGGAGCAGATTCCATGCCTCCCTCGTGGAAAGCAGAGGCATCAGGCATGGGGTGCTTTTGTGTGAATCGTGGCTGCATGAAGCATGTACTGGCTTCCATGTTGAGCCCTGGTAAAGGTATGAGGCAAACAGTGTGCAGCTCTGTTCCCACTGCTCCCCAGAATGTAAAAGGTGGCACAATATAGCTGCGGTACAGGATGGTAGGGCTGCCCACTGGGATGATCCAGAGAAGTGCTGGGCCATAGTCCCCAGGTGTGGTCTGTCACCAGGCTTTCCATCATACTGTAGGTTTTGAAATCTTTAAGGTCCCGCTCTTAAAATGCAAATACTCCTGTGAGGTTTGAGGTTTTATTATCCTATATCCTAGATTTGCCTTTAATAAAACAAAAAACCCAGCTTTATTTATTTATGTATGTATTTATTTATTTATTTTGAGATGGAGTCTCACTCTGTCGCCCAGGCTGGAGTGCAGTGGCACGATCTCAGCTCACTGCAAGCTCCGCCTCCTGGGTTCACGCCATTCTCCTGCCTCAGCCTCCTGAGTAGCTGGGACTACAGGCACCTGCCACCACGCCTGGATAACTTTTTTGTATTTTTAATGGAGACAGGGTTTCACTGTGTTAGCCCAGGATGGTCTCGATCTCCTGACCTAGTGATTTGCCCGCCTTGGCCTTCCAAAGTGCTGGGATTACAGGCGTGAGCCACTGTGCCCAGCCGAGACCCAGCTTTATTGAAGGTCCAATTTGCATATCATAAAATTCATTTTGAGTTGTGCCACCATCACAATCCAACCTTAAAATGCTATCACTCCAAAGATACTCCTACTTGTAGCATTCCCATTCCCATTCCCACCCTGTCCCTGTCCCAGGCAACCACTAATCTTTCTGTCTCTATGGATTTGCCTCTTGACATTTCATATAAATAATACAATATGTGGTCTTCTGTGTCTTGCTTCTTTTGCTTAGTGTAATGTTCTTGAGACTCCTCCATATTGTAGCATAACAGTAATCTGTTCCTTTATATTGCTGAGTAATATTCCACTGCAAATACCACATTTTCATTCACTGATGGTGAACATTTATTTCTAGGTTTGGGCAGCTATGAATAATGCAGCTATGAACATTCATAGCTTCTGTTCTTATATGCACATATATTTGGAGTATGTGCTTATTTTGGGTAAATTACTTCTAAAAACTGGCCGGGCACAGTGGCTCACGCCTGTAATCCCAGCACTTTGGGAGGCCAAGGCGGGTGGATCACCAGAGGTCAGGAGTTCAAGACCAGCCTGGCCAACATTGTGAAAACCCGTCTTTACTAAAAATACAAAAATTAGCTGGGTGTGGTGGTGGGTGCCTGTAATCCCAGCTACTCGGGAGGCTGAGGCAGGAGAATTGCTTGAACCTGAAAGGCAGAGGTTGCAGTGAGCCGAAATTGCACCACTGCACGCCAGCCTGGCCGACAGAGCAAGACTCCGTCTCAAAAAACCAAACAAACTACCAAACTATTTTCCAAGTCAGTTGTACCATGTTACAATCTCATCAGCAATATATGAAAATTATAGTTCTTCCACACTTTTGACATTTGTTATTGTCTTTTATTATAGCCATCCTAGTGAGTATGAAGTGGTATCTCATTGTGGTTTTAATTTTCATTGCCCTAATGCTAATGATTTTGTGCATTTTCTTTTCATGTGTTTATTGACCATTCATATATCTTTGATAAAATGTCTACGTGGCTGTTCCTTTTTAAAATCCAGAGACAGAGAGATGGTCAATTTCCCTGGGAGGTGTAGAGGTTTATCGGGTTCACTGTTTGATCCCAAGTGCTGAGTACAAGAGTCAGAGAGTAAAGGGTCATGTATTAGCGTCCTGTGGCTGCTGTAACAAATTGCCACAAACTTGGTGGCTGAAAGCAACACACATTTATTCTCTTTCAGTTCTGCAGATCAGAAATCTGAAATCAGTTTCACTGGGCCAAAATTAAGGGGTAAGCAGAGCCTGCAGGGGCTCTACATTTCCTTGCCCTTTCTAGCATCCAGAGCTGCAGTGTTTGCATTCTTTGGCTCTTGGCCTCTTACCCATCTTCAAAGCCAGCAGCATAGCATTTCCAAATCTCTCTCTCTGTCTGCTTCCTTTGTCATATGGCTTTGTTTGTCTTCTGTAGTAAAATCTTCCTCTGCCTCTCTTTTAGAAGGACCCTTGTGATTACATTTAAGATCCATCTGAATAATCCGGGATAATCTCCCCACTCAAGGGCTTTCAGTCACACCAGCAAAGTCCGTTTTGCCATGTAGGGTAATATTCACAGGTTCCAGGGGTTAGGACCTGGCTGTCTTTGGGGGCCATCATTCAGCCCACCCAGTCAGTAACCTGTGAAATGCACGTGGCCCCATCAGCTCATGGTTCGGGGTTGGCTGGTCTTGAGGAAGACATCAGGCTGAAGGAAGTCTTCTGGAGGTAGGCCCTGGAGGGAGACCAGAGCCAGTCATGCTAGAGACCTCTCACCTCTTTCTTCTGACTCATCTCCTTTCTAGAAACTATGATATGAGGCGTTTGATAGCACGTGTGAGCCTGGAGGTGCTGAGGCAGCTAGCACTGTTACCAGGGTGGCGGCGGGGACAGGACCAGAACTTGGGGCCTCGCGCCCAGGTCCTCCCGTCCTTGCCTTCTCCCAGCTCCCCTCCAGGCTAACCACCTCCACGCGGGGGCCGGGTGCTGCTGCTGCCCTGAGAGCTCAGCCCCTTTCCCGGGGCGGGCACCGCTTCCCGGTCCCGGGCCTCTCTGCTCTCCCGAGGCGATAGCCACCCTGCGATCTCTCGCGCGGCCAGCAGGGGCCAGCATCCCCCGCGGAAAGGGTCGCTGGGCTGGGCTGGCCGAGAGCCGGGGATCGGCGACCCCGGGCGCCGCTGCCAAGCCCCCTGCCGTGCGGGCTGCTGCTTCGCCGTCCCAGCCCCGCAGCCTTTTGTGTCTTTCCACTTCTCCCCTGGCCCGCTGCGCTCTCGCTCTAGAGAAGGCAGAGACTGCCTTGGGTGTGGCAGCCAGGAGTGGACGGTTGCGGGCTGGGAGGCTGGCCGGGTTTCCTCCCCGTCGCGGACCTGGAGGAAGGGCTGGGTGCGGCGGGAAGGCCCCGGAGGGAGAGCTGAGCCTGGGTTGGTAGCATGGTGAGGAATAGCGGCCTCAGGGGCAGAGATGTCCGTTTCTTTGTGCACCGAAAGCTCTGAGAAGGACATCCCGATACCAGTGAACTTCTAGATTTGGAATGAGCTTCTTACCGAGCATCTCACATTCCAAAGTGCATCTGATTCGGAAGTCCTCGTGGTTCTACCTTCGGAAGGTGGGGGTGGGGTGGGCTGCCTGGGTGCAGAGGGCTGAGCCAGGCTGGTGGGAACTCCTCAGCGTCCAGCACCTGTGGGGCTGCAGCAAGCTTTTGCTGCTAGGCTCTAAACGAAGCCTGTAATTAAGGCCTTAGTTTAACTGGGTGCGCTCTCACTTTTATCTGTGGCCTGGCCTGAGCGGTTGCCTCCAGCAGCCTCAGCTACCCTCACTGCTTTGCCGCTGAACCCAGGAACGGCTATTCCACTGCAAGGGAGCTAAGACCTTCATTTGTTGCACCAACGTTTTCCTCATGGCTTATGTCTCTAGCCTCAGAGAAATCAGAGATTAGAGCCCAGATCTGGGGTCAGAAAAAGACCCGGGTGTTAGATCTGACTTTGCTACTAGCTGGGTGGCAGAAGATGGGGGAACACTTCGCTCCTTTCTACCTGTTTCCTCCCCTTGTTAAATGCGGAGGCTAATGACACTTACTGCAGATGGGGAAGCTAACAGCACTTACTGCAGAGGGTGTTGTGAGGAATCACTCAGCAAATTCTTGTAAAGGGCCAAGGTTAGAACTCAAGCCTTTTAAAATCCCATCTCTTAGTCTGGGCGGATCCCAGGAAGGTGTCAAGTCCAGCTGATGGGCATAGGTGTGTCCGTGAGGCAAGCCTGCTCTTGATGGAGCACGACAGGAAATGCAGCCTGGCCCAGCTGACAGACCTATCTACAGCGCATGTCCTCACAGGACCAGACCCTTCTGCTCCCCTTGGCTCCAGCTCCTAGATCATTCTCAGCAGTTCATTCCACGTGTAAGTGCACGCCCTCAGTTACTGTAGGAGCCAGACCACGTGGGTTCAATGTCAGCCCAAGATCCACCAGCCATGAGGCTTTGGGAAAGTCACTTCACCTCTGTAGGGACTGATTTCCCCATCTGCAAAATGGGCAGAGCGTGACCCATCTCGAAGCATTGTGGTAACGCATGGGGTGCTGCTGAATGGGACTCATTGCACTCTGCAACCTGGCTCTGGCGATTCAGACCGTGAATGCTTGGATTTTGATGGTAAGGCCAGAAAATGTTTAAAGGAGAGAACCCAGGATAAGTTGGGCCTTCTGGTGAGGTTCTTGCTACTCCTGGACAGCGTGCCCGTGTCTGTAGCAACTCAGGGCGAGGCAATGCTCTGGGGTTCCCAGACATCTGTGAGCGTGACAGCTGGTCCAAAGCTGTCTTGGATGTGTTTGTCCTCTCTAATCAAAAGAGTCCCTCGTGATGCCAAGATGGAACTCTGCAGACAGTTTGAGGAGAAACTAAATTCTGGTTTTGAAGTAAACTTGGCCTCAGTCTTTAAGGCAGATTCACAATCTATTATGAATAAAGCTGCTAGGAACATTTGTGTACGACTTCATATGGACATATGTTTTCACTTCTCTTGGATAAATATCCAGGAGTATAATTTTTGGGTCATGTGGTTTCCTTGCTTGTAGAATTTCTGACTGAAAATTGTAAGATAGTTGGATAATTGTTCCCTGGAGGGAGACATTTCAGATATGACAGGGAGAATGCCACAGGTATTGGGAGTCAGAGGTGGTTTTCATGAATATCAGGCAGCATTTCTGTAGTTGAGGGGTCTGCCTTCCACCTTGACTCAGCTCTTGAGGGCAGCAGCTGCAGCTGCAAAGAGGCAGGCCTTGTTGTGACCCTCAGGGGCCCCTTACTTACGTCACTGAAATCCACATCACTTGTTTCTTCGGAATGTCCTGATTATCAGCATGGTTCAAGGAATAGTTGAGGCCTTTGTCCTCAGGTTGGCCTGGGTCATGGTGACTTGCTGCTCGGGCAGGGCCCATGTTTCTGACCTCCTGACCAAGTTTCTTGACCAACTGATTTGATAGAGCATCAGAATTTTCATTAACTCACTTTCCCGGCTGTCACAACAAGGGATTTTACAAGAAGCTTAACCAGGGCTAATGCTTTTAATCACTACAAACTAACTTATTTTACACACTAACTTATTTTACAAACAAACTGTAATACTTAATTTTCATGTAGTCTGCATAAGCTCCTAACCTGAGAGAAAAAGAGAATGCATACAATCAACCCAAATGCCATTGTATATTGTTTTGAAATATTGTTTTGCTATGATCATTTTAAATGAATTTATATTTATTCTGTAAAAATAGAGATGGGGACTTGCTATGTTGCCCAGGCTGGAGTATGGTTGCTGTTCACAGGTGTGATCATAGCACACTGTAGCCTCTAACTCCTGGACTCAGCTGATCCTCCCACCTTGGCCTCCAAGTAGTTGGGACTGCAGGTGGGCACCACCGTGCCCCACTCATAATCATTTTTGAATACTAGATTTTTCTCAGGTCCTGATGAAATGGTTTTCCTTATGCAAGCAAAGTAAGGTAAACGTTTCATAAAACCAGAACATGATGAAAATAGGGGAGAGTGGGGCTCATGCCTGTTACTGTGAGTAACTGAATAGTGCCTCTGTCTTCTACATCAGCCTGTAGATAGTTACATATAATTAATCAGGCCAAGGTACTGTGTACTCTGGTCTCAGGAAAAGCATCTACCAGCGCTGCTGTGACCTTATTTAATCCTCACAACAAACCAATGGGTAGGAATGACTGCTGCACACATTTTACAGATGATGGAATTGAGGCTCCATGAGTTGATCAGTTTTCCCTCCTCCCTTTGCAGCAGTTGAGTAGCTGAGATGAGCCATCATAGGGAGCCATGGAGCGCCATGCCCACCCAAGCGTGGCTGCTGGGTCTTTGTCTCAGTCATTGAGCTTCTAGTTTTCTTTCTGCCACGGTGCTCCCACGTTTTTGTCATAAATGTCTCAGGGCCATTAGTCACTCTCACCCACAAACCTTTTACTCCCTTTTTAAAATTCAACATTTCACCATTATGTTCCCTCTCCTGGAAGCCAGTTATCAGAGCTGGGCATCCACCTGAATAGCAGACCATATTTGTATTTTTAAAAAAATTTTTATCCACTGTATGTATAAAAGGTTGCTCAGAGGCTATCAGATAAACTTAAGAACAGGCATTTTAGTCCTGAAGGTCGCATTTTTTCCCAGTCATTATTTTTATAAATAGTGAAATAAACTCTGAGATAAAGTCCTTTTAATATGGGCTGCACATGTCCCCTCCTTAGCACTTTTGTCTCCAGACAAAACCTTTTGAACTGGAACCCTTGCCTCATTCAATGCTATTTTCGATTTGATGAACACCTGCTGTGTGCCAGGCACTCCGGAGAACAAAGGTGGAACAGCCCCTACTTCTGTCTAGTGCAGGAGATGGACATTCAAATGGCTGGCTAACAAGGTTGTAGAGGAAAAAGCAGGTGATTGTGGCTGGGGAGATGAGGACAGATTTTGGAGGAAGGAACCCTTGAAAGATGGGGATTTGGAAGGCCCATACCCAGTGAGACAGACTGGGACCCAGAGCTATAACTTACAGAGTGTGTGTGCCTTCCCACAGAGGAACTGAGTCCTGGGCTCTCTGGCCAGCCTCTTGGGCTCCTGTGACGTTTCTTCAACTTGTCCATCTTCTGGAATTTGAGAAAACACAAAGTGCTTTTAGGGTTCAGGTCCTGAACTCTGCTCCCTGATTACCAATATGTTCAAATGAGCTTTGGCTTGGTTGGGATTTAACGTAAACAGGCCAGGCCAAGGAACGGGGGTTGGAGATGAGTGGGACCTCAAAGACCTAAACAGATAGTGCAGCTTGCCCTCAGCCGCAGGCTCTGCACCTCCAGTTCAGTCCCCCCAGTCTTGACTGCCAGGGCTGGTTTTCTGGTTCCCTGCTAGTGTCCTGCTTGGCCATTCCTGCCTGGTCAGTGGAGGATGCCCAGTCTCTTCTCCCACTGGCCCATCCCACACTGACTGGCAGGGGGTACCAGGAAAATAGCTGTCTTCCTCTCCTTGGCCCAAGGTACCTGGTTTTTTGCAGGGAAACTTAAGAGACCCCGGAGATGGCCAAGTTCCTGTTGGTTAAAATGTGGCCCAGGACTAAGGATGGCCCAGAACCCTCTGGGGGCGTCTATTAACAAGGCATGTCCCTGAGCCTCATTCCAGACCCCCTGAACCTGATCTCAGGTGGGCCTGGAATTTACCATCTCATTAGCTGTCCCGGTGATTCAGACTGAAAACCTCGGAAGCAGCCCCACACCTTCATTTTGCATCCAGTGAGTAAACCAGAGCCTGACAGGTGAAGATACTGCCTGTAATGGCCGAGCTGGGCTGAGAGCCCAGGATCACTGCTAATCCAGAGTTAGTCACTCCACTCAACACTGCTGCCCTGCTCTCTTTCCTCTGACTGTGCAGACCAAAGTCTAGGTCCTGGGCATTCGGCCCTGGCAGTCAGGCCAGTGGGCTGGCATTACTGTAGAAGAGGTGAATTCAGGAATTGGAAACTGAAGTCTGCAGCTGGCCCCTGGAGGCTGTTTCTCAGTGTTTTCAGCCTGTGGCTTCCTTGTGAACAATTCTCTCCTCCATCCAGTACCCCTCCGGTAGGCCTAGCTGTCACCCTTAGCCCTGGTCCCAGCCCGTGCCCCAGTCCTGCACTCAAGTGCATCTCCATAAACACCCACATCACACTCTCTGACCTCCCTTTGCCGCCATAGGGGTCTCAGGCCACCCCACCCTCCACTCCCTGCATCAAAAAGTAAGTAAAGATGAATGAGGAACATGTTTGAGCACAGGAAGAGCCCTGAAACCAGCACTGCAGGACCCAAGTTCCAGCCTTGTGTGACTTTGAACAAGTCACTGACCCTCTCTGGACTGTGCACTTGTCCCTTTGGCTTCCCATTCTGGCTTGGTCTACCCCACCCATAGGCCGCAGGGAAGACAGATGAGAAGAAAAATCCACCCCTCCCCACTGGGCTAAGGTGACCTCTGCTTTTGCTTACAATTTCATTCCCAGTACAGTGCTACCCCATGGAAGGTACTCAGTATTTGAATTATAGATAAATGTGAATTTAGAGACACAGAAACACTGGTAATCAGGGGAAGCACTTGAGCTGAAAAGGCCCCTCGAGGCTACATTTCCTACCAATGAGTTGCAGTGAACTCCTTCCCTGAATACTTTCAATAAACCCTACTTTGCACTTGAGGGTCTGATTATAATCAATAAAGCCCTAGAACGTGGTCTTGGCCTCCTCACCTGTAAAATGATAAACTAGATAAGATGGTCCCTCCTCCTTTCTCTACCTTTTCTCTGAAACTTTCTCCCACCCATTCCCACTCGTTATCCAGCTGGTATCTGCCCTCCTGAGCCCTCTGCCCCTCTGCAGAGGCCCTGCCCACATTTTTCCTCTGTCCGGACTTGGGTATGTCCCCACCTCTTTCCTTGTGACCTTGTGGGCTGGGAAAAAGGAAAGAAGCTGGATATTCTTTAGTTTCTACCTCCTCCTCTCAACACAGGTGGCCTTTTCAATCCTTCCAGCTACCAGTCAGTCCACAAGCACTTATGGGACACCAGACCTTGCCTGGAGCAGCCTTGGGGAATCAAATAGGAGCCAGTCCCTGCCCTCCAGAAACTGTGTGTCTGGGGGAGAAGATCACACACAGGAAAATCAAGTGGTGACAAGAGGTGCCATGAGACAGTATATAGTTCATTTCCCCACCGCAAGAGTAAAGGGCTTAGGGTCAGAGGCTTTGGTGCCTGAGTTCTGACTCTGCCAATTATTAGCATTGGGACCTCAGGTAAGTTACAGATCTGAGCTGTAGTATCTTGTCTATAAAGTGGGGAAAACAGGGACCCTCGTAAAATACAAAATCACCATTAGACCAACATTATAGTAATAACTACTGCAGGCAAGATCTGCTGGTGGATCTAAATTCAGTGGACAGGAGTTAGAGAAGAAATAGGCTATTCATAGTCTCAAAGTATCTCCCTCAGGGTGCTTACCAGTTATGAAAAGAAAAACAATAATTTTACTATGGAGAATCCTACCAGATACCACCTTAATCAAGTGATCAAGGTTGACACAACCTGTAGTAAGACAAATCAGCATGAGGTACCTGCTAGTGATAGGGACAGGAGGCAGAGAAATTCTAGGCAGAAAAGAGCGGGTCCCAGCGAAAACCCCACCCTCAAGCTGAAAAGCCTGAAACCATGGCCCAAAGTGAGAATTTCTATTCCTGTTTTCCCACTCAAATGTTGCGTTTTCCTAAATCACCCATGGCCCTGCCCCACCCCATCCTGTGCCTATAAAAACTCCAGACTCAGCTGGCAGAGAGGAGAAGCAGCGGGACATCAGGACTATGGCTGGACGTCAGAGAGAAGCAGCTTAACTTCAGAGGTGCAGCTTGATGGTGTAACTTAGGAGAAGAATCTGACTGGAGACGGCCAGACTTCAGAAGAAGATGACCTACCCCCCCATCCCCTTTTCAGCTTCCCTTCCCGCTGAGAGCCACTTTTATTGGCAATAAA
Source organism: Homo sapiens (assembly GCF_000001405.40). Lineage (NCBI taxonomy): Eukaryota > Metazoa > Chordata > Mammalia > Primates > Hominidae > Homo > Homo sapiens. Next base: position 62,464,049 of record NC_000002.12, read on the forward strand.
ATCCTCCACATTTACCACCTTTCAATGTGTTCATGTGACTTCATTATTCCTGGACACCGGACAAGAGCTCAGGGGCCACAGGTGTGGATATGAAAGGCTGCCACACTGGCCCTTTGCCCTCACTGGTGGAGGGCAGCTGCCCCATGCGACGAGGTAAAGGGCCCACTGAGCTGTTAAAACTTAAGCTGTCTGTGGACAGCAGAGCTAAAAGAGCACTGTAACACGCCCTGTGGGGCTTTTGGGGGTCACAGCCCCCATCTGGATGCTGCTGCAGGGCCCTCCTACTGGCACCAAAGCAGCCGGCAGTTCCAGCACTCGTGCACTCCAGTTCCCACCTCATTCACTTGTGTGCTACCTCCTGTGAGGAGTTGAGCGCAGCGGGCTGAGTAAACAAGGCACCCCTGTCACGAGTCCCACAGAGGGGTCAGGGAAGTATCCTGCTTCATCAGTATGACATACCGAGAAAGACAAAACTTCACTTCTGTGGTATTCTTGCCAAAAGTGCATAACCTCCATCTAACTGTAACTGCCCAATGGGTTCACCTTGCCTGCTGCCTAGACAGAGCCGATTTATCAAGACAGGGAAATTGCAACAGAGAAAGTGTAATTCACGTACAGCCGGCTGTGTGGGAGACTGGAGTTTTATTATTATTCAAATCCGTCTCCCGGAGCATTCAGGGATCGGAGTTTTTAAGGATAATTTGGTGGACAGGGGTCAGTGAGTCAGGAGTGTTAATTGGTTGGGCCAGAGATGAAATCATAGGGAGTTGAAGCTATCTTCTTGTGCTGAGTCAGTTCCTGAGTGGGGTAGATCAAGTGAGGCAGTTTATTGATCTGGGTGGTGCCAGCTGATCCATCAAGGGCAGGGTCTGCAAATATCTCAAGCGCTGATCTTGGGTTTTACAATAGATATGTTATCCCTATGAACAATTTGGGGAGGGTCAGAATCTTGTAGCCTCCAGCTGAATGACTCTTAAGCCATAATTTCTAATCTTTTGGCTAATTTGTTAGTCCTACAAGGGCAGTCTAGTCCCCAGGCAGGGAGGGGATTTGTTTTGGGAAAGGGCTGTTATGGGTCTTTGTTTCAGAGTTAAACTATAAACTAAGTTCCTCCCAAAGTCGGTGAGGCCTACAATTAGGAATGAACAAGGACAGCTTGGAAGTGAGAAGCAAGATGGAGTTGGTTAGGTCAGATCTCTTTCACCGCCTCAGTTATAATTTTGCAATGGCAGTTTCATAATCATGAGAAAAACATCAGAAATTTGTGGAGGTATGAGTTAATAGTATTGTACCAATATTAATTTCCTGGTGTTGATAATTGTGCTATATTTGTGTAAGATGTTAACATTAGGGGAATGGTACACAGAACTCTGTACTATTTTTCCAACTTTTCTGTAAGTCTAAAACTTCAAAATGAAAAGTTTCTTAAAAAGTGACTCAGCAACCGGGTACAGTAGCTCAGGCCTGTAATCCTAGCACTTTGGGAGGCTGAGACAGGAGGATCGCTTGAGCTCAGGATGGGCAGCATAGTGAGACCTTGTCTATATTAAAAAAAAAAAAGACTCAGCATTTTGTGAGGAGTAAAAGAGATGACACATATAAATAAGGTGCTTAGCACTGACACAGTAAGTGCTCAAGAAGTTTGTTTTAAAGCCCCATAAATGCTCAAGAAGTTTGACCCTCTATTATTTTTGTTATTTGACTTGAAAAATAGTAAGGGTGGCAGGTAAAGTAAAGGGCAATCCATTCAAAAACAGGAGGACTAGCAACAGCAGATACTTAGATGTGGAAAGGTACCCAGTACGTTTAGGTGGGTAGGGGGCGTAAGTTGACCAGACAGGCAAAAGCAGAAGTCTTTTAATTTTTTTAAAATAGGGAAATAATGGGACATGAGGCAGGAAAGGCCTCAAATGCCAAACTGGAGAGCCAGTTTTAGTTGGAGAAAGGCAGTAGGAAGTACCTTTGTTCAAAAGGGACAACAGAACTCAAGAAGTTCCTGCCTTTCAGAAAGGCCCAAATCAGGAGGGGTCCCCACTACCCTGCAGAGCTCCCTTGTCATTGATAAAGGACAAAGGATCTGAGAGAGAGGAAACCTTCTGAAAAGTTTTCTAGGAGTTTGGAATGTAAAGTTCTTCACCAATGAGTGAAGGATAAACTCCAGCCAGTAGGGTTTGATTCTGCAGGGTGGTAGTGGTGGGGGAGGGGTTCTGTGGCTGGTGCTCTGGGGTGGGAGGCAGTGAAAGCGGAACCTTCCTGCAGGGGCCCCTGGAAGCTGAGCATCCTTGGTGGAAATCCAAGCTCAGCCTGCTTCCTGCCTGCTGGTCCCAGACGCTGAAGCGCAAAAGGGAGAAAATGGATGTTGGGAAACAGTCCAGGAACATTCAACGTCGGCTGGGAAGTTAAACCAAATGCGATGTGAGTGTGACTTGCTATGTTCAGAGAGGTGGGAGGCCTACTTGGCCACATGAGGAGACAGAAAATGAGGCTAAGTTCAAGCTCACCATATGGGGGAGAGGGACTGGTCCTGTCTGGAACTTTCTGGATGTGCAGATGCCACCCTCCCTGAGCTGGCACACTTGGCCCTGGAAGCCTTAGGAAGCAGCTTATTTGAGGGTTCCACCTTTCCAGGCAGAATAGACCAACTGGAGGACCTGGGACTGCAGCCTGGCAGGGCTTTGCGCTGACCCCGCCCATCATCTCCCCTCTGAGAGGGGGAGCTACAGCAGTAGAAGGTCAAAGCAAGTGGGACCTGAATTTGACTTGCTATGTTTGGTGGAAGGTGTGGGTGGCTCAACTGCTCAGCTGCATGCGGGGCCATGGAGAGTGTTTCGTCCAACATTCTCAGTCCTGGCTGCATATTGGCATCACCTGGGGACTCCTTTTTCGAAACACTAATTCCATGGCCCCGAGCCCTTAGACATTCCATTTTATTTAATTTATTTATTTATTTGAGATGGAGTCTCGCTCTGTTGCCCAGGTTAATAGGTTCCAGGTGAGACCCAGGAATCAGTGGTTTGGTTTTTCTTTTTTTTAAGCTTTTTATTCTGAAAAACAGGGAATGGAATGACCCCACCCTCTTACCCCCAATTTACGTATTATCCCATTTAAACAATTTCAACACTTAGCCAGTCCTGTTGCAGCATTTCCCCCCGCCCACGCCTCCCCACCCCTGCACCTGCCCCTTGTTTACTTTGAAGCTATCACAGACATTCCCTGCCCATGATTGCAGGATCCCCAGGTGGTTCTCTTGTGCAGACAGGATTGAGACCCACGGATCTAGTCCAATCCCTTCATTGTGTAGATAAGCAAACTGCAGCCCAGAAAGGAGAAAGGACTTGCGAAAGTCCCACAAAAAGTCCCTTCCTACTTTAACATTCGATGAACATGTGAACTTGGAAGCACTATAGAGACTTCTGAAGTGTCTTTGTCAAAACACTTCTGGGAAAGTTCACCCAGGAGCCAAGGCCTCATAGAGATAGAGTGGGCTCTGCCTCAGGTGCCAACTGAGCACTTGTCTCTTCTGGTTCAGTCCTGCTTTGTTCTGCTTAGTCTCATTGAAAGACTGAGCAGTAATGACCCTGTTTGAATCCTCCCAAACTGCGTGTCCCTTTGGTTGAAAGTCAGCGGCTCTGTTTTCTGGCTGCAGGGCCAGGTGGAGCTGTGATGATTCAGGGCTGGGAAAGTCAGGGTTTCTGGCCTAAGGAGCTCCTCTAAGCTCCAGAGACATGGAGGCCAAGTAGTCTCAGAGGTTCACACAGTCTGCAAAGGCCAGGTGGCAGGGCCTGGGGTGGTGGGTGAGCTTCCCTGCAGGAGCATGTGGGCATGCCATCTCTCCTTTTTTTTTTTTTTTTTTCTAATCAGAAAACAGATGCGAATTGTGAAACCAAGTGTTTGTTGACTCAGGACTCAGGACGTCTTTCAGAGGAAGCAAATCCTCGGGGTACTCAGCATGCCCTCTGCTGGGTCTGGTTAGGAAGGCTTGGGGTTGAGGAGTTGTTAGTGGTATAACAGTAGCCCCAGAGTTTGATGTGGCTTTGGCAAATGTGCAGGGGGCTGGAGTGATTCCCTTTCCCTCCTCTAGGAAAGCCCCTTTCCACTTCACCCCTGCTGGGTGAGCCCTGTCCTGGTGCTCTTCCACGTGACTCTACAGAGGCAGCCAGCAGCCTTACTGGCTGGCTCTTAAAGAGGCTGCGGTTTGGCCCAGGGCTGAGCAAAGAGAGAAGGCCGTGTGTTCTCTAGCCTCAGGAGAGCTGGGGGCAGGGTATGCCAGCACATCCCTGGACTAGCCTACACCCTGTCAGGTTTTCAAAGCATGGAAAAGACCCTAAAAATTAGAAGATTGGGACCCCACATCTTCGTTTGACATTTAGCCTGAAGTCCAAGGGACAGTCATCTTTGGCCCCTTAAAATATCAGTGACTTCCAGTGGAATTACAGTTGGGGTCCTGACTTGAGCTGTTGATGTTTTTGTCACATCTACGTTTAACCTCTAGATTGCTAGATAGAACTGTGTGTATGTGGGTGCATGTGGGTGTTGGGGGAGAGGGTTGTCACAGTGGACTGAGTGTTCACCATAGAGAGAACTTGGAGACACAGGGGAGAACCAAAGAGTAAAGTCCCAGACTGCAAGACCCTTATGGTTCAGCTGATAAGCAGACAGTCCCATATATGTGCAAGAAACCAAGGATGCTTGTATTTGTGTTTGCCAGCAAGGCCGATTCAGGGGGCTGAAGCCCATCAAGTGTGGCTGTCAGAGAACTGGGGGATGGCTCAGAGGTGGGAGGGGACTAGCTAGAGGCATGGTAGCTAGAGCTAGCAGAGTTTGACAGAGCCAAGTGTTGTCCTTGGAACAAGAACCAAAGGTAACCTAGAAGCCCACATACCCCATTTCTGAATGCAGACCATGGGGTCAATTAGGGTCTATGTCATGTCAGGCCCAGCAATGGCAGCCACCCACCTCTTTTACCCTCTGTCATTGCATCCCCAGATGGCCAAGCCAAACAATACCTTTACTGTTCCAGGAAATGTACAAATGCATTTGATGATATTTCAGGTACACATTTAATTTTTAGTTAGCATAAATGTGTACACTATACAGGCAACACTTAGTACAGAAGAAGGTACATACCTAAATTGGCTAGTGGCATATTCCAACCTCAGGTTCAGGCCAAATAGAACTGGTTGGGCTTGTGGAGATTGCTAACCTCTTCCCTCAAAGAGGACCCAGGATGGGATCAGGGTGGGATGGGACATGTTATGCAAGGCTGGGAGGTCACCTGACCCCGTCACATGTGTGATCTTGGGGAAGTACAAACTTTGCTGAGACTTTTTACCTTCATTTTCAAACTGCATGGGCTCATTTAGCTTCTTGCCAAGATCTTTTCAGCTAATTCTTTTCTTTTTTCTTTAATTAAAAATCCAGAGATTGAATTGCCCTAGAAAATGCAAACATTCAATGGTGTTGCCAAATTAGGATTTCTTCTCCTCACTTTCAGAGCTCTTTCCAAGGAATTTTATTTAAAGAAAACAAACATTTACAGTTGTTGGTTCATCAGTCTGCCTGTTGCCTGTTGCCAGGTGTTGGGAGGCAAACAGCAGTTTGAAGACTATCTGGCTGTTCTTCTGAGTATAGTTGCTGAGGTCAGGAAGATAGAAGGACAGAAGGAGGCACATTCTTGGCTCCTGAGCATAGGAAAGTGTGCAAGGAGGCCCAGGTGGCTTTTCTGTTGGCTGACACTTTGCAGTCTTTGAGAAGACGCAGTGTCTGGTGCTCTAGAAGCAGGCTGTCTCCTGGCCATTGGCTGCCTGGGCAGCCTGGGTCCTGCTGGCTGGCTGCAAGTTTGTCTCAGGTTGTCTGATCTCTTTCCTTTCCGCAGTCCCTGAGAGAGTCCATCCCCACTCCAGTCCCAGGGCCTCTGCCTTTGTATCCCCATGTTCCCCGGGCCTTGATCCACATGTCCAGCATGTCCTCTCATTTTCCTGGCCCCTAAAGAAAAGTTCACCCCTGAGCCAGCAAGCTGCTCCTTCCTTCAGGTCTTGGAGCTCTAAGAAGACACCCATTAGTTGGTTTGTTTCCCTTTGGCATAATTACATCTTGATTAGTCTGCTTCCTCCACTACACTGATTAATCCTTGGCTGGGGGCACCTTTCCTCTGTATTATGAGCACTTCTCTCTCAATCTCTCCACCCCTAGGGTATAATTCCAAGGTCCTAAAGTTCCTCTTCCAAATCACAGGATCCTGGGGCTGGCTCTGGAGAGAGTTAAATGGGACATTGCACTCAAAGACAAATCTACTGTAAGGTTCTGATCTGAATCCCGAAATCTACATGTTCCCATGCAGAGTTCTCAATTCCTGCTTCCTCAATTCCCCTGCCTGGTGTGGCTGCCCTCAGAGGGATAAACATTCATGAGCAGATTTGGGCTCATGCCACAGCCTGTAGTATTTCAGGTGAGTGCAGTGTCGATAGATGAACATTTTCACAAGTGCAGCTGCCTTCAGCTGGATGACAACCAGCCCTCACCTCCTTGGCCAGAGGCCCAGGCACACAGGGTCCTCAGTCACTCACTGTGGCTGGCCCACCACTGGGGGTGGGGTCCACCTTGAAGCAGCCTGCACAATCCCACCAGCTTCTCTTCACCTTCTTGCATTCTCCCAGCAAGACCACAGCCCCTCACAAAGAGCTCCCAAAGAACGGTCCAGGGGAAAATTCAGCTGTCTTTATTATCTCCTGTTCTCCAAATGGCTCATGGGAAAGAGATCAGGTCAACTTCATTTTCTCTCAGGAGGAACACTGCAACCAACACCCTTATTTAACTTAACCACTCCAGTTCCAAGGGCTGCTTACTTGAGCCTGTCTTGAGAACAGAGCCTTTGGAGCAAGCAAAGCCTGTTTGCAAACAGTGAGATGTAGGTCCTCTCCTGGGGGCTACAGGCTGCTGCTTCTCAAAAAGAGGCCACACCAAGGGAATGTGAGCAATGGAGAGGAAGCTCAGCCTCTCTCCAGATGCAGGGTCTGGACTGCGGGTTCCAGGTAGTGCCCTTGGGCCCCGTGACCTGAGGAGCTGAGAGAGGCCCACGAGCAATCAGCAAGTCACTAGTCTTTATTAGGCACTTAATGCGTGTGGAGGGTTGGCAGAAAGGCTGTAGGTAGGGAAGCTAAAATGTCCTGGCCCGTCTTGGGAAGCTTAGAACCAATTGGGGAAGTAAGACCAACACAGAGAGCAGTTAGAGTACATAAAGGCCACTAGCTCACTCTGTGACTCTGGGCAATGCTCTTAACCTCTCAGAGGCTCCATTAACTCGTCTGTAAGTTGGGGATAATATTAACAATAGCCAAGCCAAGGCTGGACCAATCAGGTGAATTTTTTGAGCTTCCTTCTGTTTCTAAGACTGATGACTCTGTGAGATCTACACTGTACTTCAAACTTCTTGTTCAAAGGAGTTCAAAGAACGGTAGCACTTGTGGGCTAAAATGGTCAGAGATTGCTTCCTAGATTGGGAATTCCTTGCAGGTAGGGCTGGGGAGTTTAATCTTTGTGTCTCAATCCCTAGTCCACTCCTGGAATTCAGCAGGTGCTCAATAAATGCACCTATCCTGAAGGAGTGCTGGGGAGGGGGAGGAGCTTGGTCTGAATCTTGAAAGATTAGAATTTGTCCGGTGCCTAGGAGAAGGGAGGGCCTTTTGGGCAGGGGGCAAGGCTGAGGCTGGAAGCCAGGGTAGAAACATGGCATGGATAATGGCTGTGGGCTGGTGTGCCTTGCTGTTTGTTGACAACTTCTGCACAGCAAAGCATTTAATGTCTGAACTCTTCTCCACGGGCTGCTGACTATAGTCGTCTATGGTGTTTCAGCCCATCTGGCAGAGGGACTCTTGGCCCCATTAACGTGCCTTTATCTATATTGGAAGAGCAAGAACTCAGATGCGGAGTCAAGGACCCTGGCTGGAGTGGGGAGCAGCCCAAAGCCCCAGGAGCAGTAGTGCTGAAGCCAACCTTGGCGGGGTTTCAGCCTCGGCAGCAGGTTGCTGAGAGTGTGGGTGGGAATACAGATATTTTGTTCAGGGAAGTGGGAGGAATTTCGAGTTCTTTTTGGAAAATAGGATAGGTTAGCTCATTTATTACTCATCCAGTCTTTTAAAGGATAACACAGACTTAATGCTAATCTAAAAGTATTTTCCAACAAAAGCTCTGAAATGTGAGAGGGACACAAGAAATGTCACAAACAGCTCCCTTTCCAGCAAAAGAAGGGTGGGCATGAAGAACCATAGCAGAGTCTTGGGGCTTTCCCTGCAGCCTGGAATGAGAAGCCCTTCATGGTCCATGTCTATTTGATTACTGCAGACTCTAGGCTTTCCATGCACCACTGAGGAAGTAAAATCGAGGGAGAGAAGGATATTTATTTATTGGCTCTGGCTGGCGTCTCCCCTGTCTGTCTCCCAAATGAAGCTATTTGGGCTCACTCCAAACCTTAGGGAGTGGACAGAGGCTAGTCTGCTGGGGATGGAAGTTTTGCTGGCTGTCATTCCACTCTCCCAACTACCCAAAATCCAAAACAGATGTATTTCCCAACCTTCCTGATCCAGACTCAGATGCTCAAGGTCAAGGGGATCTCCTCAGTATTATTTCTGGTCTCATGGACACTGGGCAATGGGGTGGTAGATTGCTTTTGGGTTCTCCCAGGTTTTAATGTGTCTCTCAACCAATGCCTAGAACTATGTTAGGCATAGTTGGGAGATAAAGAAAATGCACAAGACAGAATTGCTTGCCTCAGGAAGCACATGGAGGTTTAAGATATCAAGATCAACACATTCAAAACAATTAGAAGTAGACTGTGTCAAGGTGGCAATTAAAGGCAACTTTCTTAGAGCTCAGCCGTGGCTGGCCTATTTTGGAGACACAACACACACAGAAAGAAACTCAGGAGTGTCTGGGCTGAGAGATTCTTCAGGAGGCCAGAACTGCCTCTAGCAATAAGAACCAAACTCAGAGATGGGAAAACTTCAGGATGCAGGAATCACAAAAATCAGGTGGCTTCTCACCTAGAGATGATTTACTATCCCCTCCCTCTCCTCCATTAAGAGAATGTTAAATAATAGCCAACATTTATTATGCATCAGGCACTGTTCTAATTGCTTTAACAGAAGTAGGTCAATTGATCCTCTGAATACCAGTGAAGTAGGTACTATTATTAACCCCTATTTCTGGATAAGAAAACTAAGGTACTGGGAGGACCCAACCACACCGCCAAAACCCAGAATCCAGAGTAAGGTTCCTGATCCCAGGCTCAGCTGCTCCCTGTGGGCCAAGCTGAGGATCTGGCCAGGACTTAGGAGGTGAGAACATAGTAGAGACTGCAGCAGAGATGGTAGCCTGAAGCAGAGATGGCCCCTTGGAAGTTCTGGAGGGATGCAGAGATGTCCTTTCCTGGGAAAGTAGCCAAATCAAAGAACTCCCACCCAAGGCCTCTTGGCTGCAGAACCAGCTTTACCCCTCTCCTCCCCACTCCCTGCTTCAGCTGCTGGGAGTGAGGGAAGCAGCAGAGGATTGCAGCTTCCCCAGGCTTCTTGCTGATGAAATATCTCATCTACACACTTTCCTACTGTTTACACATCATGGTGAGCAGGTGGGCAGACCACAGCCATGCAGATTTTCAGACAGCCTCAGGAATACCAGGACTGGGGCTGGTAGGCAGAGACTGTATCAGCAAAGGACATGTTGGTGGAACTAATGACCTGGTAATTTCCACAAGGGATCACAGAGGGATGCTGGACAATGTGGCAGAGACTCTGCTTGCTTTGGAAACTTTCAGAAGAGAAAGGAGGAAGTAGGTCTTCTTGGAGGATCCCAAGCTTGAACTGATCATTGCAGAAAGAGTGGAAGTAAGAGGGGCTGGGTGTGAGTCTCCTGAACAGAGACGAGAAGGACTCTGCACAGCCACAGGACCATCCATGCAGGGACCCAGGGAGGCCACACTGAGGATGGGGAGGGGCCAGAGTGGTGGGGTGGAGAGGCCTTCACTGTGAGCTTCAGGAGGGCCTGCTTGTCAGGCTTTGGGAGTCCTCAAAGAGCCTAAGAAGGGAGCTGCTGCGTTCTCCACAAACCCTTATTTTACTTGTTTTGAATAAAACTGAAGCAAAAAAGGAGAGAGAATCCTGATTTTCCTTTTATAAGAGACAAAACTTCCAAAATAGTTCAGTTTTGCAGTCCAGTTGCTTTGATAGGAAAATTGTGTGGAGAGGGATATTTAAATGAGATCTATATCTGTGGTGAGAATAGCTCCATTTCCCTGAAATGTTTGCAGCCACAGCATTCCATGTCCACAGGCTTGCAAATCTCTCCCAAAGCTCAGCCCACAACCTGCTCTTCAACCCACGCTGAAGCTGCGTCTGTCTCCAGAACAAATAATACTATGTCTTTCTTCAGGCCATGAAAGCACGGTAACGTTCCTACATAAAATAGCAGCAGCTAAGGGGTCTTTGTTGAATTAAACAGGAGGCAGCAAATTCAGGACTAGATAATGAACACCTACTGTATGGCAGCTACTGGGGAATACAAACATGAATAAGACCTTACCCCTTGAAGAGGATCAGAGGGCCGGTGAACCCATGGGAGACACAGCCCAGGGTGCCCTGGGGGCTGGTAGCATGACAGACTTTTCTAGTTTTGGCTCTGAAAATTCCACATCCCAGGAAAACTACCCTAAACCCATATCCCCAGTCCCAGTTAAACTGGGGCTATTATTCATCTTCCGAGGGTCTCTGACTGTTGGAATCTGTTTCCTCATCTCGTTCCTTGCCTCTATCCCACCCCTGCAAATAGGCTTTTGAAATAAGCCAGCATTTAACTTCAGATAATAATAATGATTGATAATGAAACTAAAAACAGCAACAGCAATCTACCCTTGATGATAGTTCACCACCCCGGCTGCCTATTGGAATCACTTGGGACGCTTTTTAAAAAGATCAGCACCCAGGTCCTATCTTAGAACAATTAAACCTGATGTTCTCCAGGTGCTTTCCATGTGCAAGCAGCAGGAGAAACACTGCCTAGGGTTTAGGATGCTGCAGGAGAAGCTCCAGGAGAAGCAGCAGGAAGGGGGCTGCCCAACCCTGGTGTATTTCCTGGGGTGTTTTCAGCTTCTGAGCCAGACCAAGGCCACTCAAGGATGGTGAGGACAGACCCGGCAGGTCCTAGCACAGATGCTAATTTGGGAAGCAGCCTCTGAGCCGCACCACAGGCACTCCACTGTGTCTGTCCTGTCTTGGGGCACAGCGGCAGAGGCATGCCCACGCAGCCGGGCTCAGCGCCTCTTCGAGAGGGACCGCTGAGTGCGGCTGTCCTCTCCAGTGGGCCCGGGAACCTACGAGAGTCCCTGCCCACCCATTTCCAGCCCCCTGGCCTTGCTTCAACAAGTCACGCCTGGGCTGTTTTCTAGGCTGCTGCTCCCTGGCGGTTCTGGGTTTCCCATTTGTCACCTCCGTGAGAGAAATTAACAGTTTTGCCAGACCCCATATAAACAGGAAGGCAAGCTGTTAACAAGAGCCTCCTGCCCTGCTGCCAAGCCCAGAGCTCACGTTTCCTTTCTCAGAGCCTGTCAATTGTAAAGAGGAGAAAAGAAAAGAATGGGCTCTCTCTGGGCACTGTATGGGTTCTCTTGCGGCCACTTGAATGCCAGTGTCGGGCTCGCTGACAGCTGGGTCTGCAGCTGGCTGGTTTTGTCTGTTTTTTGAGGGACAGTCAGGGATAGCCACTGATTAAATCAGGAACAAAACATGACTACACTTGCGGCTGTGCAGACCAATGCTGCTGAACAGCAGAGAACAATTAATTGCCATGTTGTGGAATGTGTGGATGGGGGCGGGGAGGCAGTTGGCAAATGTAAGAATGTGCAGGAAAATGTCAAGCAAATGCTCGTGTTCATTAGAAGCTGAGGGAGAGGGAGCCAGCTCAGTGTGTTCCCAGGACCTACCACGGTGTCAGAGCTCTGGCCACTGCCTGCGTGCCCAGCAAGCAGCCTTCCCACTGGGGGCGGTCAGCCCACTGATGTGCTGCAAGGGGGTCATGCTTTGTCAAATAAGATAGGGAGCCCCTCAGCTCTTGGGGTGGCAGTTGTATCCATTTTCTTGAATATAGGGCACAAAAATGCCCATTTTCTATGTATGTTGTTGCAGAAAAAGGCTGGCTCCCTGCAGGTTTGCTGTGGGCTTCACTCTAGGCACTATGCAGCATCTACTGTGATGCTCTGGAAGCTTGCAGCCTGACTCTTATCCAAAAACCAGACAGGGAGGGCATTGGTGGGAGGCAGCAGTCCCTCAGCCTTCCACTACCACCAGGTAAGAAGATGGCTGCTCTTCAGTGATGCAGATTCACAACAGCTTCTGCAGAAAGACAGGAGCGGGAGGCTATGTGGATACAGGCACTCTTCAGCTTATGATGGAGCTACACCCTGATAAACCCATTGTAAGTAAAAAATATTGAAGTAAAAAATGCATCTGATACCCTGATAAACCCATTGTAAAGTTGAAAAATCCTAAGTTGCACCATCATAAATCAGGGACTATCTGTATGTATTTAAGCTAGGGAAGTGAAATGCATTCATATATTAAAAGAGATGGAAAAGAAGAAGAGCAAGAATGGTATCCAAAGGGGTCTGGAATAGCTGTGAGATGGTTTGGGGCCTGGACAAGGGGAATTTAGAAATTGTTGGATGCTTTTTGACATATCTCTATGAATGTTAAAGACTGAAATTCCTTTTTATAAAAGCTTTATTGCTTGCTGAGCTGTGTATTGGACTTCCTGCTGAGACTGAGCCCCACAAGGCCCTGGCATTTATTGGGGTTACAGAAGAATGTTATCTTTCCTATCCTGTGTCCTCCCTGGAGAGTTGAGCCCCAGATAAGGGATGGTGTGCAGGTGGTTTATTTGGAAGTTCTTTGGGAGGTGATCCTAGGGGGCAGAAGTGAGGGACTGGGGAGAGAGAGGGAAGGAGGGATAGTCAACATACGGTGTGTTATTGAGGCCATTGCCGAGCAACTGCAGCTTAATCCCTCCCAGGACCTTCTCTCACAGCCGGGAGCAGTGGCTCACGCCTGTAATCCCAGCACTTTGGGAGGCTGAGGCGGGAAGATCACCTGAGGTCGGGAGTTTGAGACCAGCCTGGCCAACATAGTGAAACCCCATCTCTACTAAAAATACAAAAATTAGCCTGGCGTAGTGGCAGGCACCTGTAATCCCAGCTACTTGAGAGGCTGAGGCAGGAGAATTGCTTGAACCCAGGAGGCGGAGGTTGCAGTGAGCTAGGATCGCACCACTGTACTCCAGCCTGGGCGACAGAGCGAGACTCCGTCTCAAAACAAACAAAAAAATCTCTCAGGGTTGTCTATCTGATGGTCAACCAGAAGAGGCATTCATCTGCAGCTCCCACTGGCCCCTGTTTGAGGGTTACACTGGAGCCATTAACTCCCTCACAGTCAGAGCTGTACATATGCGAGTGCTAAGTGGGCTCCCATTAGTGTCCACAGCATTGTAGAGATCCCAAAATAGAGAAAGCAAAAGACATGGGCTGGCTCTTAAGGCAAGAGGCTGTCAGGATGAGGCCAGCATAGACTGCAGTTAGAATCAGGGGTGAGGCTGAGATGGGAGGCAGAACACCAGAGGTATCTGATCTATTATCACACAGAATGTGGGCCAGGCCCCTTCCTGACTTGACCCTTGGAATGACTGAGATACAAACACAGGAAGGGTACGTGGCCTTAGGCCAAGCTGTGGCAGAGAAAACTTCAGAGCATCTCTACATTCCTTTATCTGCTGTCTCCTACCTTGAGGGGCCGCCTGACCTGCAGACTTTAAGGCACTCATGTAGTGGCAGCTCCTGGAACTCCCACTGCTTCACCGCCTTTCTGCGGGGCTCCCCTGCCCTACTGCCTGGATCCTACAGCTCCCCAGTAGTCCCACCAATTGCCATTAAACCTCCCAATCTTTACTGGGAGGATCTCTACTTACTGTTTCAAGGCAAAAAGATGATTAAACTATCTCACATGGTTGTAATTTGGGCCTAAAATAAATGACTCTAGTGGTAGCATTTCATGTAGGCAGGTCCAAGGAAGACAGATTTGTAGACAGAGTTGGGAAAAGGGTCAAAGAGCCAATGAGTCTCCCTATCCTGAGGGATGCCTTGACGGAGCCACAGCATGAACTCATGTTTTCCTGAATCCATCTCAGTTCATGTGACAGGATGGAAATGCTTCCTTTCTTAGCCAGTGTTGCTTGTAACGAGTTCCCTGCAGCTCAGGGAAGGGAGCAACATGTACTGCTTTGTTGCTTCCTGTATAGAGAAGGCAGGAATGAGGAAGTTCAGAGAACACTGTCCTGAGCAGCTGCCACAGGAGACCCAGCCCAAGCTCTGCATGCAGAAAGGCACATGGCAAGAAATTCCCATCCTGCACACGTGGATGTGATGGACACCCTCACTCCTTAAATTTTGAGGCAACTAGACTGAAAAGGGCTCTTGCTTGATTTAAACAATTGAACTCTTCCTTTTGGCTCAGGCATCTTGTTGCTTCTTGCACTGGCTTTGCCACTGACCTTGGGTAAGTCTGAGCCAATGCTGGATGAATAACAGAAGATGCTGGTCCCATTTATTTCATGTACTATGCTTCTGGTAGGTTGTGGTTAGTGCTGTGGTATTTTTATTTTTCTAGCTTTCTTTATTTAAAAAAAAAAATTAAAAGATAAGTTTTAAAAATTATTATTTTGAAGTTTACCGTAACTATTAGCTCTAGTTCTATCCTAATTTATGCTTCCTTTGAAACAATTCCCAAAGGGTCTTCTTTCCCAAAAAGGAGCCCAAAAGGGAGATTGGGGGGAGTTTAGAAAACTTAGATTCTGGGCTTTTAAAAAATTGACATATAATGATTATACATATTTCTGGGGTACATAGTGATGTTTTGATACATATAATGTATAGTGATCAGGGTAATTAGCATATGCGTCATCTCAAACATGTATCATTTCTTCGTGTTGGGAACATTCACTATTCTCCTTCTAGCTGTTTGAAACTATATATTATTGTTAACTATAGTCATTCGGCACTGGCAGAGAACACTAGAACTTAGTCCTCCTATCTAGCTGTAATTTTGTATCCTTTAACAAATCTCTGCTTATCACTGTCTTTCCCCTACCCTTCTCAGCCTCTGGTATCCTTCCTTCCACTTTTTACTTCTATGAGATCAACTTTTTCTTAGCTTCCAATATGAAGGGGGACATGCAGGGAGAGTGTTTAACTTTCTGTGCCTGGCTTATTCACTAAACACAATGTCCTCCAGTTCCATCCATGTTGCTGTGAATGACAGAATTTCATTCTTTTTTTTGTAGCTAACTAGTATTCCTGATGTATATATACCACATTTTCTTTACCCATTCATCCGTTGTTGGACACCTAGGTTGATTCCATATCTTCATATCTTGGCTATTGTGAATAGTGCTGCAATAAACATGGGGGTGTGGATGTCTCTGATATACTGATTTCCTTTCCTTTGTATAAATTCCCAGTAGTGGGGCCGGGCACAGTGGCTCATGCCTGTAATCCCTGCAGTTTGGGAGGCCGAGGCCAGCAGACTGCTTGAGCCCAGGAGTTCGAGACCAGCCTGGGCAACATGGCAAAACCCCATCTCTACAAAAAATAAAAATAATTAGCCATGTGTGGTGGCAAATGCCTATAATCCCAGCTACTTGGGAAGCTGAGGTAGGAGTATCGCTTGAGCACAGGCTGTTGAGGCTGTAGTGAGCTGAGGTCATGCCACTGCACTCCACCGTGAGTTAGTGACAGAGTGAGACCTGTCTCAAAAAAAAAAAAAAAAAAAAAAAAGATAAATTTCCAGTAATGGGATGGGATTGCTGGATCATATGATAGTTTTATTTGTAGTTTTTTGAGGAATCTCCATACTATTCTGCATAGTAGTTTTATTAGTTTACCCACTGACAGTGTATAAGGGTTCTCTTTTCTCTGCATCTTTGCCAGCATTTGCTATTTTTTGTCTTTTTGATAATAGCCACTCTAACCGGAGTGAGATGATATCTCATTGTGGTTTTGATTTTTATTTCCCTGATGATTAGTGACGTTGAACATTTTTTTCATGTCTTTCTTTGTTGGCTATTTGTAAGTCTTCTTTTGAGAAATGTCTACTCAGATCATTTGCCCATTTTTTAATGAAAAAAAATTTTTTTTTTCCGTTGAGATATTTGAGTTTCTTGTGTATTCTGGATATTACTTCTCCTCCATTGTGAATAGTTTGGAAATATTTTCTCCCATTCTTTAGATTGTCCTTTCAGTCTGTCGTTTTCTTTGCTGTACAGAAGCCTTTTCAACTTGATGTGATCCCATTTGTTACTTTTTACTTTGGTTATCTGTTCTTTTTGAGGTTTTACTTAAGAAATCTTTGCCCAGATCAATGTTCTAAGTTGTTTCCTCTATGTTTTCTTCTAGTAGTTTTATAGTTTCAGGTTTTAGATTTAGGTCTCAGATCCACTTTTTGATTAAGGGTGAGATGTAGGGGTCTAGTTTCATTCTTCTGCATATGGATATCTGGTTTTACCAGCACATTTTATTGAAAAGACTGTCCTTTCCCCAGTAAGTGTTCTTGGCCCCTTCGTAAAAAAAAATCTACTGGCTATAGATACATGGACTCATTTCTAGGTTCTCTATTCTGTGCCATGGATCTATGTCTGTTTTTATGCCAATACCATTCTGTTTTGGTTACTACAGCTTTGAATATTTGCAGGACTGGTAGTATTATGCTTCCAGCTTTGTTCTTTTTGTTGAGGATTACTTTTCCCTGAGGAGGCTATTCAGGGTTTTTTGTGGCTCCATACAAATTGTAAGATTTTTTTTTCCATTTCTGTGGAGTATGTCATTGGTATTTTGATAGGGATTGCATTGAATCTATAGGTGGCTTGGAGTAGTATGGTCATTTTAACAATATTAATTCCAATATTCTTCTAAACCGTGATCATGAGATGTCTTTTGATTTTTTATTTTTTGTATTCTCTTTAATTTATTTCATCAGTTTTGTAGTTTTCCCTGTAGAAGTCTTTCACCTCCTTGGTTAACTTTATTCCCAGGTTTTGTGTTTTTTTGTTGTTGTTTTTTGTTTTGTAACTATTGTAAATGGATTGCTTTCCTGATTTCTTTTTCAGCTTGTTCATTGCATATAGAAACATTAGTGATTTTTGTATATTTATTTTGTGCCCTGCAACTTTACTGAATTATTTCATCAGTTCTGAGAGGTTTTTGGCAGAGTCTACAGGTTTTTCTATATGTAAGATCACGTTGTCTGCAACTGACTTCCTCCTCTCTAATTTGGATGCCCTTTATTATTTTTTTTCTCTTGACTAATTGCTCAGCTAGGACTTCCAGTACTATGTTGAATAAGAGTGGTGAGAGTAGGCATCCTTGTCTTGTTCTAGTTCTTAGCAAAAAAACTTGCCGCTATTCCTGGTTCAATATAATGTTAGCTGTGGGTTTGTCACACATGGCCTTTATTGTGTTGAGGCACTTTCCCTCTATACATAATTTACTGAGAGTTTCTGTCATGAAGGGATAGGTCTGGTTTTATTAGTCAGAGTCTAATGAGAAAAACAGAACCCCTTAAAGGTGTGTGTGTGTGTGTGTGTGTGTGTGTGTGTGTGTGTAAGGGGGGAGCATTTAACCTTCTACAATTATGGGAGCTGGTTAAAGAGTCTGCGAGGCTATCGTCTTTGTGTCTAGTGATGGAGTTTGAAGTCCTTGGAAAAGATAGTTGGCAAGTGCAGGTGAGAAAAAGGACAAGCTGGAACCTACAAGCATAAAGTGGAACCTATGAGGAAGGATAGAAATCAGTGTCAGTTCCACCACTGCTGACTGGATGGTTTGTGTGTCCTTCAGAAAAGCTGGCATCCTCTGTCATGGAACTAAACACACATTTAGCCTGGAAGTTGGAGAAGCTGAAGAAGGATCCAGGGGAAGGTAGAACTGCTGTAGACTTGACCACTACTCCTTACCAACAAAGTGAACCAGTGGATAAAGGATAACCTTTGTGAGTGACAAAATGGCTGCTGCTTAACTTCCAAATCTCACACACGAGTTTCTCTATTGGCACAGCCTAACCAGAAACATATAGGAAAGGGAATTCTGTGAAATGTAGTTCAGCCTAGCCAAGCTGACATATTACAAAGCCACCACATGTCCTAAACAAAATAATAGTAAATTATTGTTCTGCAAAATATTAGCTACCATCATTTGAGCAGTGTTCCAGATGCCTTTATATAAGTTATTTAATCTCATCCTCATCCTGTGAGAAAAGTATTCTATCCCTGTTTGACAGGTGAGGAAATGGAGACTGAGAAGTTGTAGTGAGCATGTTGTTATGTACCATCTGGAACCCAAAACCCCTTTCCTGTGGGGAACTCATCCAGTGCAGTTTAAATTATTCAGTCTACCCTTAGTCAGAGGGATGAACATGTATCCAGGCTTGGTCAGTCAGAACATCTTATTCTGTTGGTCACAATGAATGGTCCATCGATAGGCCTTGACCCAGGCTGGGTCAAACAGAAACTTCCCTAGAGCTTTTCTACCAGGGAAGATGTGATCCTTGTCTCCTGAAAGTTGTGAGGTAAGTCTGGGGCTTCTGGTGGTCACCATTCTCAACATGTCGAGCACGCTCATCTGAAGGGTAGAAAAGAAAGATCATTTGGGACCCTTGATGCAGCCATGCCTGAAGTTTTCTGTGCTCTTGAATCACCCAGGTTGCATAAGCCTATAAACTTTATATTTGCTGAAGCTAGTTTGGGTTGGAGTTTCGTCAGTTGCTAAAAAGAGACTAATAAACAAATTGGTATCAGAAGAGGAGTATTGTAAGGGATCCCAAAATGTAGATTCCTTATGCATGGGGAGCAGACCCCTTGGGTTTTCCAAGTACATAAACCAATCAACTTTCAATTCTTCTGAAGAAAATGTAACTTGAAATCAAGAGAGTTATGTCTAATACGAAGGTTAAGTGACTTGCCCAAGGTTACCCAGCTAGTTAAGAGGAAGTACTGGAACTCAAATCCAGGGCTGTCTGATTCCAAAGTGTAGGCTCTTAACTGCTGCATCATGCCATAACCATGCTAATTTAGTCAACACATCTGGGCTTACAGCAGGCTCTGTCTCTGGAGCTTCTCAATAAAGATGGAAAAAGCTGCTTGAAGGAAAGTTTGAGGGGAGCTTTTCTAATTCCCTTTGGAAACAAAGGAAATTGTGGGGTGAAGCAAAAGTCGCTAGATTTTGAGGTCAAGAGCGAAGGCTTTGTTTTGGGATTACAGGCTCTGTAGGAAAAGGCAAGCAAAGCAAAAACCTCTGGGATTCATGCAGCAGTCCTTCCTTATTTATGCCTGTCATTTGCATTCTCCGTATGGAGGCCTTGAACAGACAAAGCAAATAGATGATTAAGGTGAAGTTCATTCTAGTCAGTCCCCCAAATCCTAAACCCTAGATATTAAGTTGCTACCTTATTTTTATGTATTTCCCAGGATACATTTTTTTTTTTTTTTTTTTGAGACAAGTTCACTCTTGTCACCCAGGCTAGAATGCAATGGCAGGATCTCAGCTCACTGCAACCTCCGCCTCCTGGGTTCAAGTAATTTTCCTGCCTCAGCCTCCTGAGTAGCTGGGATTACAGGCACGTGCCACCGCGCCCGGCTAATTTTTGTATTTTTAGGAGAGACAGGGGTTTCACCACGTTGGCCAGGCTGGTCTTGATCTCCTGACCTCAGATGATCCACCTGCCTCGGCCTCCCAAAGCACTGGGATTACAGGTGTGAGCCACCACACCCGGCCTACGATACAGATTTGAAAGTGTTCCTTCCCATTCCAGCATCCAGTCACCTCACAAGGAAAGGAGAGTTTCTCTATGACTAAGTTAAAATTTCCTGCCTTAGCTCTTCAAACAAGTGGAAAAAATCTGGTCTTCACTCAACAGTTATCACCATTTTAAAGCCTAAAGCCACTCTTCACCATTTTCCCTTCAAAGCTTAAGAAAGTTAATTTCACTTTTATTGCATTTTTCAAAGTTTCATTTCCCAATGATTTGGTTGGTGTCTTTCCAGACCATCTGCAGGGCCCTCTTTCTCTAGAGCAGCACCATCCATTAGAACTTTCTGCAATGGTGGGAACCTATATCTGCGCTTTCCTGTTCCAGGGGTTAGGGGATGTTCCCATTGAACAGTTGGGATGCATATGAGCCTCCTGTCATTTTTAGCATGGGCCCCTTCTCAGGGTTCCTGGGAGCAGCTCCGATTCCAGCTATGCCACACTCTGATTGGCTGCCATGTTCCTGCTGGACCTACTGTCTTGCTGTCTTTCTCTTATCAGCCACTATCAGCCACAGGAGACTGCTGAGCATTTGAAATGTGGTGTGTGTGACCAAGGAACTGAATTTAAACTTTTATTTACATTTAATTAATTTTTAAATTAAAAATGGTCACATGGAGCTAGCAGCTAACTTCCCCAATTACATGCAGTGCACCCATGTTCTGGTCTTGTTTCTAGCCTCCCAAGGATTATCCTTGCTCTTCTAAGACCTGCTGACTTTCGTTCAGTTTGTGGCCCACTAAGACCCTTTACGTTATGTAAACTCTTCATGGTTTCCAGCTTCTATTTGAGGGTTTTGATATGTTCTCATGGCTTCAAGTCTGTATTTGTCACTACTGAAATCCTGTTTTTACTCCTGTTTTCCATATTGTTTGGAATAGTTCAGCTTTGACCAAAATGGATGGTCATACTATAGAGTGAGCTGGTGGAGAATTACATAAAAATTCCTCAGACAAGCAGAATGAGATATAAATGAAGAGCAGTCATGGCTTTCCCAACTAATTCATAATTTTTTTGTTTTTTGAGACAGGGTTTCACCTGTCACCCAGGCTGGAGAGCAATGGCATGATCTCAGCTTACTGCAACCTCCGCCTCCCAGGCTCAAGGAATCCTCCCACCCTAGCCTCCTGAGTAGCTGGGACTACAGGTGTGTGCCAACACGCCCGGCTAATTTTTTGGGTAATTTTTGTAGAGATGGGGTTTCACCATGTTGTGCAGGCTGGTCTTGAACTCCTGGCTCAAGTGATCCTCCTGCCTTGGCCTCCCAAAGTGCTAGGATTATAGGCATAAGCTACCACGCCCAGCTTGATTCATAATGTCTATTGCATCAGAGGATGCCATTGCTGTAAAAGTGGGGAAATGATAACATTGATTAGACTTCTACATTCCCTTATTTCTTCCCCCACTTCTTTCTCCCGAAAACCTACTTCCCTGATTGTCCTGCTTGTATATGTATTATCTTACTCTAGTCTTTGGAAATATTATCTCAAACTGGCCTTTCTAATTCTCAGAGGAGATGATAAAACTTCAACAAAAATATTCATGCAATGGAAGTAGCTCAAAAGGTCTAATAATGAGTATATTTTCCACCACGACTTTGCCCTTTTATAGTCTTATTGGCCTGTGCTTTTGACCTTGCTTTATACAACAGAAGAGTGGGACGCAGCTTTTAATATAAGATACAGGTTCTAAGACCCAAGAGATCAGGAAGTATACCTTTAATTTGATTAACACAATGTATCCTTTTAGCAGTTTTACTGCTCAAACTTAGTAAAATGTGAAAACCTACTGAAAGTTGATTTTGGAGACACCAACAGAAGACAACTGGTTATTTGCTGTCATTCTTTGGCACCGCTGAATTATGCTTGTCTCATGTTCAGTGTCTGCCCCAATCAGTGAACGGTGCTCCTGAACAGCCCCAAGAATCCTAGTCCCTCCACCCTCTTGTACAGAGCCAGTGCCTGTGTCATTTCAAGAAGATTTGCACGGAATTGACCTTACAAAGTGAATGTTTAATTTTAAAAACTGTGCTTTTTTTTCCCCCATTTCCATTTTAGTAAGCAGACCAGATGCTTTGCCAAATTTACCCTCAGCTAATTGCATAGTTCAATGTCCTGAAATGTGCCCTTGTTTGCTTAAAACCTGCTGATTTGCAAAAGAAATCGTTCCAGGAATGTGGGTCAGAGTGGACGCTCCTGTGGAAGCTGAATTGACCAGGAAAGAATGGTTCAGGCCTGGCTGGGGTGCTGGGTGCCTGTAAATCTGCAGGAATAGGGGACCCTCCAGGGCAGGATTTTCATTCTAATGATAAGGCTGCTGGAGGTGAGGGAGAACTGGGGCCTGAAGATGTGGACAAAAATCAGTTTGGCTCTGATCCACCTTTGGAATTCCCCTCAAGCTTTATATCTTGAGCAGGCTTTGGGTCAAGACTGAAATAGAATGTTAATGCACAGCCAGAGGAAAACAATTTTAAAATCTGGCATTTGCTCTGCCTCTGTCCCTGGAGGCCCTCTGATGAGATGTATGTGAAGTAGGAATGATCTTCCAGCAAGAATAGAATAAGAATGAAGTTGCTCAGTTACTTTTCCCTGTTTGTGAATCTGGAACCTGACTCACAGAGGTGTTCCTGGGCATTTGGCCCTAGGGGATTTGGTAGACTCTTGGCTAGCTCCAACTCCTGCTAACAGGGAAATTAGTTTGGAGAAGCCTGGAGGAGACTGAAAATAGAGGGAATGAAAAGAGACAAAGTGGATGCTGTTCTAGTGGAAGGGACAGGATGCAAGGATCATCTGCCTACTTTGGTAACAGTGGTGGTGTTCCCATCGAATATATGGGACAGATATGAGCTTCCTGTCATTTTTAGCATGGGCCCTTACTCAGGTATCCCAGGGACAGCTCCAATCCCAGCTACATCACTCTCAGGTTGGCTGCTGTGCTCCTGCCGGACCTGCTGTCTTTCTCTTGTGGATGCGCTTTGCTGATCTACAAGGCAGACACTGGGGGGTAAAGGGGGTGATGTGGGGTCGGGGAGCTGCTCAGTGTATTTCACTCAGCTCTCAGAATCCATCTAGAACTTGTTTCAGTCCTTGGAAGTTCAATCATCTTAATAATTGTGTTAGTTTCCAATGGCTATGTAACAAATTACCACAAACTTAGTGGCTTAAAACCATGCATATTTATTATCTTATAGTCCTGGAGGTCAGAAGAACAAAATGGATCTCACTGGTCTAAAATCAAGGTGTCAGCAGGGCTGTGCATCTTTCTGGAGGCTCAAGGAGAATCCATTTTCTTACCTTTTGCCACCACATTCCTTGTTTCATGGCCTGTTCCTTCTTCAAAGCCAGTCATAGCTGGTCGGGCCTTTCTCACATCACATCACTCTGACATTCACTCTTCTGCCTCCCTCTTCCTCATTTCGGTTCTCTTGTGATTGCATCGGATAATCCAAGATACTCTCCTTATTTTAAAGTCAGCTGAATGGCAAGCTCAGTTCCATCTGCAAACTGGATTCCCTTTTGCATGTAACCTATTCACAGTTTCTAGGGATTAGGATGTAGACATCTCTAGGGGATCATTATTCTGCCCACCATGATAATAAGCCCTCACTTTTTTAAAAGCCCTTTTAAATACCTCATTTGACCCTAAAAATGCCTGTGAAACAGGTGAATGGGTGGGATTATCCCCTTTAATGGATAAAGAAGCTAAAGTATGAGTCAAAAAAATTAAAATAAAAAAATAAAACTTGCACAGGCCCCACTCCAAGTTTACTTTGTTTGTTCGAGACGAAGTCTCGCTCTGTCGCCCAGGCTGGAGTGCAGTGGTGCGATCTCGGCTCACTGCAACCTCCACCTCCCAGGTTCAAGCAATCCTCCTGCCTCAGCCTCTGAATAGCTGAGATTACAGGCTCATGCCACCATGCCCGGCTAATTTTTGTATTTTTAGTAGAGACGGAGGTTTCACCATGTTGGCCAGGCTGGTCTCGAACTCCTGACCTGAGGTGATCCGCCTGCCTTGGCCTCCCAAAGTGCTGGGATTACAGGTGTGAGCCACCATTCCTAGCCCAAGTTTACTTTGAAATAGAGGTGGAACGGAGTTAAGCTATGGGCCACGGTGTTCAGTCTATTTCGAGGCTATTGCTCTAGATGACAATGCCTATCAAAGAGGAGGGATGTGGGGAAAGTATGACTTTGTATGGCCAGCTGTCAGACCTGGATTCAGATTGTATGTTCACACAAACTTGATCTACCTTTGGAATTCGTCTCGAGCTTTGTCATTTCCTCTTCTTGAGTCTGTGAGTCCTTGTTTTTGCCTTCCTGGGTGGCTTTGAAAGTGATCAATATGATAATTTTAACACAGATAGCTACTGTAGATAGGTATGACCCAAATGCAAAGTTACTTATATTTATTAAAATGAATGTCATAGAAAGATGCTGAATGGAGAATAAAAACCATGGCCCTGATACTGACATTGTTGAATTTTCCATGAAGGAGGAGTAGACAATTTGTAACAAGCAAGCAATATATGGACAAACTTTTTTTTTAAATAAAGGATGAGTTTTGAAAAAAAAAAAAAAAACTTAGAGAACCTATGATACTTAGGACAATCCTAAAAGCAACTAATAAAGAGGAATTCTGACAGCTGTTATGACTGCCATCCAAACATATAGGACCCAACTATGTGGTTCTCCCAATAAGCTTAATTCCCTCTGCAACTCGACTAGGAAGCTTAGGAATTGGATCTTGAATCTACGGAAATAAAGGAATAAAGAAACAAAAATCTCCAACCTACAAAGAGGCTGGATTTAAAAGGTTTACACTGAGCTGCTGTTTGCTAGCACTTCCTCTCTGTTTTATTCTACTTTTTTTTTTTTTTTTTTTTTGGAGTATAATTAAAAACTTCTCCAACCTTAGCACAGCTTCTCTGCTTAGGGGTCAGATTTAAAAAAAAAGCAAAACAAGACACACACAGGAACACCCTATTGGGGTACTTGATTGACTTTTAGTCAATAATACAGGGATGTAGGCTTTTAAGCCAGGAATTAAACTTGAAAACAATGGTGCCTTCCACGGACACCCTTACCAGGTGACTCAAGGTTGGCAGAACACATCACATATATCCCCTCAGGTATGAAAATGGTAAATGTATCCTGGAGTGGCCCAGCATCTCAGAAAGCAATTATAATAAAATATTCCTAGGATGTGTTTTCCCTGAGGATGAGTGATGACTTTGACTCTTCATCTTCTAACTCCAAAGCACTGCTGTCTCAAATAGTCAAAATGACAAGGGAAGGAATGTTTTCGTTGGAGAGTCTCAACGCTGTTTCCAGCACATTTTTCCATTTGCCTGACTGCTCTTGGCCCTGAATGGAGTCGGAGGTGGAGTTCTTTCTACTGAAATCATAAAAGTCTCTTTATTGGCATGTGTGCATTCAGATATGCTCTTGGTATTGCTCATGTTGTTAGCTGCAGCTGGGTTTGCTGTGAGTGAATTGTTTTTGTCTTTAGTTAGGATCACATGTTGACTCATGACTGCCTGTATCCTGCGATTGGAGTAGGCATTTTAGTAAGGGGCTTAATTATTCTTGTATTTTTGTTTTGTCTTTTTCACTCTTCAATCCATATGCTTATTTGGGCTTGCTTGCAAAAGGAAGAAATATTTGGTTCATTCCATTTTATGCAATAAAGGCAAGAGCTTACTGGGGGCTTGGGAGCTGTTTTTATAACATAGGGGGCTGTTTTCATGACCTAGCAGACTGAAGTTTTCAAAATAAATTGGGCAAGCCTTAGGCGTTACTAAAATGTTGTGAGATAAGGAGTGCACTTGTGCCCCAATTTGAACTCTGTTAAAAAAATTTTTAAAAATCAAAAATAAAACAAAAACCTTGCATCAAAGTGTTAATATGTAAGCCTGTACATTTGAGCTCCACAGTCTTTACACATATTAAATCAACAATCAGTCAGCTGGGCATGGTGGCTCAGGCCTGTAATCTCAGCACTTTGGGAGGTCAAGGTGGGTGGATCACTTGAGGTTAGAAGTTCAAGACTAGCCTAGCCAACACAGTGAAACCCTGTCTCTAGTAAAAATACAAAAAATTAGCTGGGTGTGGTAGTACTTGCCTGTAATCTCAGCTACTCAGGAGGCTAAGGCACAAGAATCACTTGAACCTGGGAGGCAGAGGTTGCAGTGAGCTGAGATGGTGCCACTGCACTCCAGCCTGGGTGACAGAGCGAGATTCTGTCTCAAAAGAAAGAAAAATAATCAATGAGTTCCTTATTATTTCTGTAGGACCAAAAATTGATTTCAGAAAATTAAAGTCTGATGCATGTGTGTATTATTATTATTATTATTTTGCAAGGTCTCGTTTTGTCACCCAGGCTGGAGTGCGGTGGCACAATCCTGGCTGACCGCAGCCTCAACCACCCAGGCTCAAGAGATCCTCCCACCTAAACCTCCTGAATAGCTAGAACTACCAGCATGAGCCACCATGACTGGTTAATATTTTTATTTTTTGTAGACACAGGGTCTCACTATGTTGCCAGGCTGGTCTCTAACTCCTGAAGTCAGGAGATCCTTTCACTTTGGCCTCCCAAAGTGCTGGGATTACAGGCATGAGCAACAAGTCTGATATCTTTTAAAACCTTATTATAAATACTGAAGTATAAATATGGTAATTTCTCATATTTCGAAGCTTAAAATTTTAAAACACTTTGGATCATAGATTCAGAGGGCTGTGAAGGAGTCAAGAAGTTACAAGTTTGTGGCAATGGTTTTCTTACTTTTTAATTTTAATAAACAGGCCCCTTACTAGAGAAACAGAAAAGTATGTGGGTATCTTAACTGGTATAGAGTGAGCAGAGATTCAAATGGCGTGGTGGCTCACGCCTGTAATCCTGTCACTTTGGGAGGCCAAGATGGGCGGATCACCTGAGGCCAGGAGTTTGAGACCAGCCTGACCCACATGGTGAGACCCTGTCTCTACTAAAAATGCAAAAAAATTAGCTGGGCGCAGTGGTGTGTGCCTGTAATCCCAGCTACTAGGGAGGCTGAGGCAGGAGAATTGCTTGTACCCAGGAGGCGGAGGTTGCAGTGAGCTGAGATGGCGCCACTGCACTCCAGCCTGGGCAACAGAGCCAGACTCCGTCTCAAAAAAAAAAAAAAAAAAAAAAAAAAACCTCTTCAGTGCAGGAACAGTATCTTACTCATCATAGAATCCTGTGCCTGCCACGCAATAGAACCTCAATTAGCTGGGCGTGCTGGAGTGTGCCTGTAGTCCCAGCCACTCAGGAGGCTGAGGCAGGAGGATCACTTGAGCCCGGGAGTTCTGGGGCTGTAGTGCACTATGCTAATCTGGTGTCCACACTAAGTTCGGCATCAATATGTTGACCTTCTGGGAGTGGGAGACCACCAGGTTGCCTAAGGAGAGGTGAACCAGCCCAGGTTGGAAATGGAGCAGGTCAAAAACTCCCATGCTGATCAGCAGTGGGATCACACTGCATGCACTCCAGCCCGGGCAACATAGCGAGACCCTGTCTCTATTTAAAAAACAAACAAACAAACAACAACAACAACAAAAAACCCTCAGTTAATTTGTAGAACTGAGCTGTGTAGGAAAGCTTTGGAATTAGACATGCCTCAATTTGAATCCCAGTTCTGCCAATTACCAGCTAGGTGATCTTGGTTAACTTATTAGAATACTCTGTTTTTCTCATTTTCAAAATGGGAAATGGTATTATAATTATAAAGTTAACATAATATACAAGTGTTATAATACCTTAGAGGAGTAAATAAGATAGCACATGAAAGCACGTAGCATTTCACAAGGACCTACTTCAGCAAATGACAATCTTTTAAATTACTCTACCAAAGGGTTTTCCCATTTAAAAAAATTAATCAAATATACATCTCTTTAACTTTCAGTCAGCTTTGACCAACATGAAATGACTGAGGATAATGCTCTGAGTTAGTGAAATTCCAACCACAGGCAAAAAACCAAAAAAAAAAAAAAACTCCAAAAAACAAAAAACAGACTTTTTAGTTAGCTTGCTAAGCCTTTCTATAGGTAAACGTATTATTAGATTTTTAAAAAACAATGAGAGTAGCTTCTGGACCCTTTTTTGCCACTTTCCTTGGCCCCTAGAAGTCGGAGGGTCCAAGGCTGAGCAATGTTCCTGCTTTGGCTTCTAGATCGGACAGGTCTAAATCAACCTTAATATATCTTTGGAGCATGTGTTTAGAGAGAGGGAGCACTGCAGAGTGAAAAAGCATGATCTTTGGAACCAGACAAGGTTAGGTCTAAATTCTGTCTTCTGTTTACTTGCTGTGTGACCCTGAGCAAGTTCCTTAACTTCTCCTGAGTTTTAGTTTTAGCTTCTGTAAAATGGGAATAAGATCTGCCTTACAGAGTTGTCATGAGAATTGAATGAGATATTGATAAAGTCCCAGCACACTGCCTGGCACATTGCAGGCATCCAATTAAATGGTGGTTGTTATTTGCATGAGTTTTGGGGATCCAGCAAAATTTGAGCATTTATCTTAACGTAAAAGTGGTTATTGGTTTTAAGATTAGGATTCATTTTCATGCCACAAAGATTCAAATATGAGTAAATGTGGCATTTCTATTTTGTAGAAAGTTTATGAAAAAAAGCTGCTATGTATTAAGAACAGGAGGCAGGAGCTCTGAGTTCTAACAACTTGCTTATTCCTTCATCTGTGCATTCAGTCAACATTACTAAGTGCATAAGCACTGTCATATGCACTGGAGATATCATGAATAAGAGTGGTGCCTGTCCCCAAGATGCTCAGTGACTGTAGGACTGTGGGAGGAACAAATATTCAGAATTCCATAGAAGATGTGACAGTTGAGCCAGGCATTAAAAAATAAGTAGAGTTTCACCACATAGATAAGATTACTACTTCAGGCAGACAGAGCAGTTTGGAGGGAAAGTCTGCAGGTAAAACCCAGAATGGTGCATGGGAAGAACTGCAGCTTGAAGGAGTGGGGAAGAGCAAGATGAAGTCAGGCAGGTGGAAAGAGGCCTAATATGCCAGGCTAGGGAGTTTGGGTGTTATCCTGCAGGAAATGAGAGTCCTTCGTTTGTTTGTTTGTTTTGTTTTTGATACAGGGTCTTACTCTTGCCCAGGCTGGAGTGCAGTGGTGTGATCACAGCTCACTGTAGTCTCAACTTCCTGGGCTCAAGCAATCCTTCCACCTCAGCCTCCAGAGTGGCTGGGACTAGGGGCACAAACTATGCCTAGCTATTTTTTTCTATTTTTTGTAGAGACAGGGCATCACTATGTTGCCCAGGCTGGTCTCAAACTCCTGGGCTCAAGCAATCCTCCTGCCTTGGCCTTGCAAAGTGCTAAGATTACAGGCATGAGCCACGATGCCCAGCCTGGAAATGAGAGTCTTAACAAATTTTAAGGAGAGTAGTGTCATGATCAGATTTGGTTTTAGATTTCCTGATAAACACAATCATAGGGCTGGTATGGTAAAGTTGAGGAGACATTACTACAACAAGAAAGCGCACAGTGAGATTGCTATCCTACTTGATCTGGGCATTACATTTCTATTAATATGTGCTTATCGTCTCCTAGGACTACCCAGATGTTTTTCCCTGAAAAACAGCACAGAATTATATACTAGTGAACTTTTTGAAAAGTACATGTTGGAGAAGGGTGTGTGTGCGCATGTGTAAAATGTATTTGGATCTGGCATTTCAGCTTGTTAGGAGATTCTTTTGAAATGTGATTGTATCATCAATCAAATTAGTTCTCCCTCTCAGCTTTCTATCATTTTCAAATGTGGCAACAATGACTTATAATGCTGTTTAAATATAGATAGACCATTCATCGCCTACAGCATGAAGTTCAAACTCTTTATAATAATCTATTATTTAAAAGACTGATAACTTCCGACGCCAGTCTTTTCAGCTCATCTCAACCCATTCTCTTCTACACACCTTATATTTTAATGACACAAAACTACTTTTGGTTCTGTTCAGGCCTTATATTTTTAAATGTCTATATCTTTACCCATGCTGTTCCATCTGTTGAAAGCCTATCCTACCCTCTAGGCAGGATTCATCACCTATTTTCATCTTTTACATAGCTGTATTACAGTCTTATCATAAGGAATTGTGGTTACCTTAAATTTGTCTCCTCTGCTAGATGGCTGGAAGGGCAAGGACTTAATCTTATTTATCTTTTTCGTCCTGGAGTGTCAAAGCATAGTGGATGACATATTGTTGTAGCTAATTAAATTGTTGACTTTACAGAACAAAATCATAGCGTACTAAAAATACAGAGCGTATCTTCTGCTGCTCTGCTTTGTAAAGTACTGAACAATCAACAGTTAAATCTCCAGCCTTCTTTAGCAAGGGCTTATTGACCACTGGGAGCAATAGTTTTTAGGATAGCACAAATTTTGACTCTTAATAAGCTCTCATTCTTTTTAGGAAAACTATTGAAGCAAAGTCCTAAAACTTCTACTTTCTCGAGTGGTCATTTTAGTATTTCTAGGTATTAATGAATCAAGCATTTAAAAATAATTTTTAAATGTGCATATAACTTTAATATCAAATATTTTTCTCTTTTAGGCTATAATATTGAGCAGTGTCTCTAATGTACTTTGAATTAGAATATAAATAACTCAAGATCAGGAACTAAAAACCTTTAAAAATGAATCAATAATACTTTTCTGCCAGCCAAATATAGTGCTATTAGAGTTCTGAAAAATTAAAGACAAAGTCATTCTTGGTTGATTATTGTTTTTAAAAGTCTACATTTTTGGCCGGACGCAGTGGCTCACACCTGTAATCCCAGCACTTGGGGAGGCCGAGGCGGGCAGATCATGAGGTCAGGAGATCGAGACCATCCTGGCTAACACAGTGAAACCCCGTCTCTACTAAACACACACACACACAAAAAGAAAAATTAACCGGGCATGGTGGCAGGTGCCTGTAGTCCCAGCTACCGGGAGGCTGAGGCAAGAGAATGGTGTGAACCTAGGGGGCAGAGCTTGCAGTGAGCCAAGATCGTGCCACTGCACTCCAGCCTGGGTGACAGAGCGAGACTCCGTCTCAAAAAAATAAAAAATAAAAAGTCTACCTTTTTAATGTAGCTGAGTGCTAAAGACTTAGGTCTGTGGAACAATATATACATTGTGATTGTACATCTTACTAGATTAAAAAGCTCTTTTCAGACAAGAATGTTCAGCTGTGGAATATGTTTAGATAATGCATGTTGATAAGATAAATTTCCAAATGTCTTTGGCTTTTCATAGAATATATGTTCCATGCTGTCCTACGATTTGTATCTTGTTTTCAGGTGTTCCAGCCTGTCTTGACTTGGGTTAAGATGATGACACACTGATGCCTAGCCTCACTTTCAGAAAGATGTAAATCTGTCAGAATACATTTAAATGTTGAGGTTAAACTTATATTTAAACACATTTTTCTAGGGCTTGAATATTTTTAAGTGCGTAAACACTGGGGAAAAAAGATTTTTAGGATGATTCTTAGAATGGCCTCATAACTATTTAGTTTTGCTTTTTGATTTAAAACCCCCAAATTAACAGTCTCTTAAAACTAGAATAAAGATATATACCCATAACAAGTTAGTGTTAATTACACTTATAAAATACAGTAGTTCAGTCTCCTGATACATCTTTTCTATGACCAAAATCTAACATATTACATGCTAACCAATTTACAAGGTAAACTCTTCTGTTTGCCGCTTTGTTTTCTGCCTCCATGCCTACTTTGCTATGCAAAAGCTTTATGTCAATTTACTTTTTGAGCCGTTTAAGACCAAACCAAATTATTCCTTCAGCACATTTTAAACAATCCCTTAAAGACCTCTTTTTCTTGGCTATGTTTCCAATCTTGGCTTATCACTATAATATTTCATGCTCCATGCTTCTGAAAAAATTCAATATTCAAGAACAAAGTAATCCAGAGCTTTACTTCATTTCAGTCTTTTTATGTCCTAGGGCTGTCCCAACTCAATGACCCAGTTTTTATTGTGTCACATCTCACTGTCTGTTGCTGACTGCGACCAGCTTGCCTAATCCTTTTCCCGTCCCTTATCAGTTTTCCCTTAATTCAAAAATCTTTTTTTTATTCTTTCCAGTTCTCCTTTCACAGCTTTTAGATTTTTTTTTTCTCTTGAGACTCAGTATTCCTGTGGTAACTACTCAGAAATACAAAGACAAATGGGTAACTAAAGTCCACAAATCTGTCCTTGTCAAAATATTCATTGTACTATTTTTAGAATTGTGCGTGGTGAATAGTAGAAAGTGGATGTTTTAATTTGGCAATATGCCCTTAAAAATGTCCATACTCTAGGACCCAGCAATTTCACTTCCAGGAATCTGGCTTATTAATTAAAAGGAATCATCTGAGATATGGAAAAAGCTATATGCATGAGATGTTCGTTACAATGTTATGTATAAAAGAAAAAGGAAATAACACAAATATCTAATGATAGGAGAGAAGTTAAATAAATTATGGCCCATCTACTTGATGAAATAACACACAATCACTTAAGATGATGATTGTGTAACTATGTAGAAACATAGGTAAATACTTTTAATGTTTTCAGAAAAGCAGGGTGCACAATTATAAGTGCTTATGATCACAACTGTGTTTTTAAAAAACTATTTGCAAAGTAAAAACATCAAAGAAACATGACATTTGCTAATAGTTGTTATTTTAAGATGGTGGAATTGTAGATTTTTCTTTACTCTCAAATCTTGTGATCCTATTCCTTTAGAGTTTTTAAAAACTATAATCTTAATTCAAGTAAAGAATCATTAGGTAGGTTATGTCAAATAAAACTTAGATTATTTCAGATAGAGCTCTATTTAAGTCTAATAATCTAATGGCTGGGTGTGGTGGCTCACGCCTGTAATCCCAGTACCTTAGGAGGCTGAGGCAGAATGATCACTTGAGGCTAGGAGTTCAAGACCTATGATTGTGCCACTGCACTCCAGCCTTCGTGACAGAGCAAGACCCAGTCTCTAAAAGACAACAAAAAAATAATAATCTAATAACTGTGGGTGTGGGGGAGATAAGAAAGGCGGTGAGTATTTCATTGTGTTTACTCTTATAGGTCATCTCTGAAAAGATGAATTAGAAAAAAGACCCTCCTAATATCTGTTTTAAAATACAAATTATCTTTAAAACACTATAGTAGGTTCTATTCAAGTTTATTTTATTGCCACTGACTTTATCCAGGCCAGCTTGTTCTCGCCTAACTTACTTAATCACATTCCTCCTGGTATCTCTGCCTCTGGTCCAAACCTTTCAATCCATTTTTCACATTGTCTTCAAAGAGATCTTTCTGAAACCTAATTCTGATTGTGATACTCCACTGTTTAAACGGTTCAGGGATTCAGAATAGAGTTCTGAAAAATTAAAGACAGAATATATTCAAAGCTTTAGCCAGGCTTGCTAGCACCTTCCAAGTTTCTCTGCCTTATTCTGCACCATTTCTTCTCATGTACCCTTCCCACTAGCCTCAACAAACTAGTTGTAGTAGTTGAAACAGAACTCACAGTCACTATTTTTTGTTCTTAACACTGAACTTAATACCCACTCATTCTTTAAATCTCAAGTGTCACTTTCTTTGGGAAGGCTTTCCAGATTCGTCATTCATTTAGATGTCTCTTCTCTGTAATCCTATAGGGCCCCACCACACTGCTATCACTGATTTGCTTATCTGCCTTTTCTACCAGACAGGGAACTTTTTGCTTGCATAGGCAAGTGGGATTGAGTGCGTATTCATTTAACCTGAATACTGCCTACCCCCCTCAGACAATGTGGAGCACAGTGAATGCTAAATGGTGTTGATGTAGGGTTAATGCGCTAATCCTGGGATACTAAGTGCTAGGAACAAAGAGGGAAGATGCGCTGGAAGCCAAGGGCCTGTTACCTGTCAGGTACTTAGCAGGTAGAAACTCAGTGAAACTCATTCAACACACTTCCCTCATAAAGTTACGCTTTTTTACTTTGTCTTAAGGTTGTACAAATGTTTTACCTCCCACATCATATCCCTGAGAACTAGGAGCATGTCTTGTCTATGAACCTTTGACTACTCCTTACATATACTAGTCATTCAAGTGTATGTTAAAGTAATAAGTTTCAATGTTTTAAAACAATTTTGATTTAGGTCAGACTTGGTGGCTCACGCCTGTAATCCCAGCACTTTGGGAGGCTGAGGCGGGTGGATCACTTCAGGTCAGGAATTCAAAACCAGCCTGGCCAACATGGTGAAACCCTGCCTCTACTAAAAATACAAAAAAATTAGCCAGGAATGGTGGCAGGTGCCTGTAATCCCCGCTACTCTGGATGCTGAGGCAGGAGGATCACTTGAACCCAGGAGGCAGAGGCTGCAGTGAGCCGAGATCACGCCACTGCACTCCAGCCTGGGCAACAGAGCAAAACTCCGTCTCAAGAAAAAAGAAAAAAAAAACAGAAATAAATAAAAATAAAATAATTTTGGCCGGGCGCGGTGGCTCACGCCTGTAATCCCAGCACTTTGGGAGGCCGAGGCGGGCGGATCACGAGGTCAGGAGATCGAGACCATCCCGGCTAAAACGGTGAAACCCCGTCTCTACTAAAAATACAAAAAATTAGCCGGGCGTGGTGGCGGGCGCCTGTAGTCCCAGCTACTTGGGAGGCTGAGGCAGGAGAATGGCGTGAACCCGGGAGGCGGAGCTTGCAGTGAGCCGAGATCCCGCCACTGCACTCCAGCCTGGGCGACAGAGCGAGACTCCGTCTCAAAAATAAAATAAAATAAAATAAAATAAAATAAAATAATTTTGATTTATACAAAAAATATGTAAAGGACAAAATGTTTGTGAAGTTCAACATTTTAATTAAAAAATTTTCAGTACAGTGTTGTAAATCCTTAGAAGGATATAATATAAATTAAGGATGGATAAATATATTCAAATAAAATGAAAGACTGCCTAACCCCCAAATGTGCTGACATGTTAATATCTCCTCTACCTTGATTTTCATATACTTATATAGGGAACCAGGTATATTCCAATAGAAAATATTGGTTCAGCCTAACACAAAAAACCATGGTTTTATTGTTCAGATGAAAAACAAACAAATGACTTGGTCATGGTCTCAATTTACTATCTTTTTTCCCCCACTGTTACTATATCTGCATTTTAAGCAATATGTTTATTACAGCAAAATTACTTGAAATTTTTGATAAATCAATTTTCTCAAACTTTTTACAGTTTAAAAATTTTTTTATGGTTATGACTGACATTTTGTTATTAATCTCTTAATTTTAAAGTTTAAATGTACCAGAAGTTCTGCTATTTAAAATAAAACTCTGGAAACAATCTTGAAATAGAAAAGTCTCCATCATCCCCTAATTTATCTGCTTTGTAGATTTAATTTTATTTTATATTTTCTTATAGAATCACCTACCTAGTCCTATCTGGGAAACAAATGCAAACAAATATGTTTTAGACAACTATTCAAACAGAATTCTATTTTAAATTCCAAATTATTAAGAGTAAAACTGGTGACTACTTTGGCATGAGAAAGATTAATCAGCCACTGCATGGAGGGAGAAATATTTGGCTGAACTTTATATATAATCATAAAGAGCAGAAATAATAAAATTAGCATAGTTTGGTCAGGAAGAATCAAGAATGAGTGGGAAGTAAAGACATTTTTTGAAGTTCAGCCAAACAACAATGAATAAGGCAAAACCTGGGAATCCTAAGATAAGCATGAATTGTAGAAAAAGAAAATTGAAAAGAGCAGTTTTTAATGCAGCTACAACTGTCCCTCAGTAAAATACATTATGAAGGCCCATTTCCCTATAGAAAAAAAGAAAACCTGTAATGAACATATCATATCCATTAAGACAGTCCAACAGTCACTTAAATATAATGTTCAGATACACCCAAGCAACTTTGTTCTTAACCAATTCTCCTAAAATAGATTTCTCCTATTAGCAAGGGAGCATGCTCATTTAGGATCATGAGTATAGTCCCTTTGGCCATCTTAGCTCTCATATGTATTAAGAGGCGCTCTGGTTTCCAAATCAAGCCTCACGTGAATTTAATGGGTATGAAGCAGTTCTTTGGTGAACAAGAACCTAGTAGATGCAATCACAAGTGCTAATTTAAAATGCCTACTACAGTGCCCACTACATAGAAAGTTCTCTAGGATTTGTTTTCCTTCCTTCTCTTGCAACTCTGTAATAAAAAACACAAATCTATAGCCCAAAATAATTGCACAAGACAAGGATGATTTGCTGCTGATACCTTAAATATTTAATAATTTATTGTAAAAGCATTTTGTATACCACCATTACAAATACTGAATATGGTTTTATGAAAGTTGTAATTTTATAACAAAAATATTTCCTAAATACCAAGGCAATCCACCTGTTTTCTTCTTCATCTCAGTATAACAGCTAATATTAGGGTTAGAATTTAACCCTAGCAGACATGAAAATTTGGTCTCTTGTTTTATTTTTTATTTATTTATTTTTTTGAGATGGAGTCTTGCTCTGTCACCCAGGATGGAGTACAGTGGCTTGATCTCGGCTCACTGCAAGCTCTGCCTCCTGGGTTCACACCATTCTCCTGCCTCAGCCTCCCAAGTAGCTGGGACTACAGGTGCCTGCAACCACGCCTAGCTAATTTTTTTTTTTTTTGTATTTTTAGTAGAGGCTGGGTTTCACCGTGTTAGCCAGGATGGTCTCGATCTTCTGACCTCATGATCTGCCCACCTCGGCCTCCCAAAGTGCTGGGATTACAGGCGTGAGCCACCACACCCAGCCGGTCTCTTGGTTTACAAATATAGACAAATACATAGGAACACTGACTGGTATTTCCATGTCAAGAAACATGGTCATATGTACAGACAAGACATGGATAACCAACAAGTTTTAAAGAAATGTATACATCTCTAGTTAAAGATTCTAACCAGAAATGCTACGAGAGAGCTGGCAAATGACAACCACCAATACATAGATTTCTACACTCCTGAAAAAGACAACAACATCAAAAAAAATTAAGAAATTTGGCATCAGGTGGACAACATCTAGGTTTTAGGGTTAATATACTGTTTCATATACTGTACAAAGTTTCATCATTGCCCCCAACCTTGGAATTTCAGAGTGAGAGCATATACAATTCAAAACACTTGCTTTGTCCCTTTTCTCAGAGCTCTGATATTTTCCTAACTCTTACAGTCTCTAGAATGATCTGTCAGATTTTCACTCAACAACACTGGATCAGATCTCTTCTATACATGACCTCATCCTTCTCATGTCTCCTCTGTTTGCAGAGAGCCGGTCAAAGTCTTGGAGGTGGAAACGAACTGCCAACTGATTAACCATTTTCCTTAAGGTAAGAAATGCTGCAACAACTTGGAAAGCAAGGAAGAGAGTGAAGATGATATGTATCGCTTTTTCCAAGGGCAGATTTGTTAGGCCTTCATTAAAGAGCAAGAAAAGAATTAAAGGTAACTGCAATAGAAGGCTCAAAAGCCAAAAGCCAGCCAACTCAGGAACCTGCAATGACACATATCAAGAGTAATAAAAATCAGTAAAATACAGTTTCTGTTTATACAGATAAACAAGTACTTATCACTACCGTGAACCTACATTATGGGCTCTGTGAGTGATTCCAAAGGAGGATGACATGGTCCTTGTCCTCAGAGAACTTACAGTCTAGATGAGAAAACTAATTCATGTAAAACAATCCTAGAATACTACACTTTAGTGAACAATTAAGTGCAATATTTAGAAGTACAGACTAAATGCTACAAGAAATAAGGGAGTGATTAGGGTAGGTGAAAGAAAGACCTCAGGGAGGTAGGCTTTTTAAGTTGTGGAGAAGAAGGAAGAGGCAAAAAGGTAAGTAAGCAAACACGTGAAATTAGCATGATTGGGAATCAGCACATCAGCCTGGAATGGATGGCTGAGTGAGAAAACAGCAAAACCTACAGTAAGACAGGCTGGGTGGGGCCTTATTATGAAGGGCCTAGAAAACCACGGGAATCTTTAGGCATTATCCCTATACTCTGGTAACCACAAATGCTTAGGCAGCATGATGATGCAGAAAACATGGGCCTGGCATAGGAAATGAATTCATAATTTTCCCCCATTTTCTTATTCAGGATCCAAATACACATGTTTAAGTAACCATGTATTTTCAAGACTGATAAGAAGAGGGAAAATATCAATTTTAAGTGTTTACTACATTCATATACTTTACATAAATCATTTCACTTAATCACAACAAACCTGTGAAGTAAATATTATTTTCCTCATTTTATATATGAGGAAACCAGGGCTCAAGAGATTAAGCAAACAGACCACAGTGACAGAAGTGGTAAAGCTGGAGTCAGGCTTTAAATTCAGGCCTGTGCTCTTTCTGCCACACCTCACTGCCTTTTACTTGTTATGAAAACTGATTTCATTTATATCTATCACTGAGAGAAAGGAAAAAAGAGCTTACCTTCTCCTGTAGGTTACCCACGTAGCCCAGATACAACCGGATGGCTTCAATTAAGGTTATTAGGATGATAACAGTGATCACAATGAATTTGTAGTAGTCAGGTAAGATTGAATACTAAAAGAAAAGCCAAAACATGTTTGTAAAATCTCATGTATAGTAACATTGATTTAAGATAGAAAAAATTATTAAGAACTTGAATTTTATTGACACTCTAACAACGTCAGGGCAGCAAAAGTATTAAAGCTTAGATTTACCTTCATGTGAAGCATCATAATGCTGCTCACCCACCACAGTGGGAAATAGTAGGTATTAAAATAAAGTGACATCTGCAGTGCCAAACTGGAGACCATTTCATTTTCTACAGAAGGAACAGAAAAGGAACAAATGATGAATCTTGGGTTTATGCCCTATATATATATATCCTATTCCCTAGAATTAATAACTATAATATTGGCTCAGTAAAACACCAAATTTTATGCCTATTTATAATCATTGACAGTAAAAGGAATATTCATCCTAATACCAGTTAGGTCAAATATTGGCTATTTGGGGGTACGTTTCATATTTTTCAATTATTTTACCATTTTGCCATTACAGTCTTCTGACTTTTTGGCATATACTACTGGTATAGATTTAATGTAGAATATCAACATAAATCCTATTCAACAGATAATTATCATTGCCTCTTTTGTAGAATTCTATGTAAATAGCATATAAAATTAATGCATAAAATAAATAAAAATGAATCTCCCACAGATAAACTAATCTTATACAAAAACGGATTACCAAGGTTATAATTAGACACATCTCTCTTTTCAGCATACCCTAATCTTAGCCATTCTTTAAAGTCCAATTCAGTGTCATCTTTTCCATCAATACTTCCTTCATCAGTTCCCCCACCTCAGCAGAAATACCTTTCCCCTTTAGGTACTTACCACTCTAAACTGTCAATAAGAAGTGCTAGCAAAGAACCACACTCCCCTCCCCAAAAAACAGTCTGGTGTACTGAACAGATCATGGGCTTCAGAGTTCAAGCAAATCCGAGCTCCCCAAACCTCTGTGACCCTGGATGTCAGACTTGACATGAATTATTTAAACTCTTTGAGCTTCTATTTCTTCATCTGTAAAATAGTGAAATTAAAACTTCCTCACAGGCTGTTTGTGAGAATTAGAGCCAATATAAATTATTTCATCCTAGCACTGTGCCTGGCACACTTAGTAGGCACTCAACAAATATTAGTCCTCTTTCCTTCTTCTCTTCTACTTATCTACAGGCTCATTGCAAGCACACACCATGTCCTACCCTAATTTGAGACCCTCATAGAATCTAGCATCTTGCTTTCCACGCAGTGAATATCAAATACACATAAGAATGAATTAATGAAAGTATACTGTCATAAGGACATTACTAGCATAGCCATTTGTGATACATGAGTTCCATTTACCTAAGGTTGATTCCATAACACTTTCTGCTTTTATGTAAGAGAGCAGGGTCCTA
This sequence comes from Homo sapiens, assembly GCF_000001405.40. Taxonomy (NCBI): domain Eukaryota; kingdom Metazoa; phylum Chordata; class Mammalia; order Primates; family Hominidae; genus Homo; species Homo sapiens. The sequence continues at coordinate 62,503,935 of NC_000002.12, forward strand.
GATTAAGAATTTGATTTTTAAAATTGAGCCCTACAAAATACATCCTAAATTTGACTAAATTCTTAAGAGCAGACACATATATTGAAATCAGTTGCTGTACACGTAAGATTTTAAAGGCTCTAAAATAAATGTCTTAAAAACATTATTTTCTCCTTTTCTCCATAGCTGAGTGTTTTTATCTGTCACTTAATTATTTTAAAATATAAGAAATAGTCATGGTCTCTCACAGCAAAATAGTTTCTTTTAGCTCCAAGAATATGCCTGATTATTATGATCTACTTTTGCTTGCAACTGTTTATTAAATTACCACTGATAAAGGAATGAATTCTTAAAATCTGTTAAATCTGAAGACAACTCACCAGCCTAGGATCTTTTCGATAGCAACAGTACAAAGCTGCGGACATGGTAATGACATAAACTTGTTATTACAGTACAAATAATCAAACCTACTTCCAATCCACAAAGAAGAAAATTTGGGAAAGAATAATAAATTGGGCAAGCTGAACATTTCAGTACCTTTGAGAAGAAACTGTAGTCAAATTTTGCAAAGAATGGTTTTCATGTTAGAAGTATTGTGTGTTAACATCTTAAAGGTTATGCTATGTCCATATTTCAGCAGATCAAACTTATAATCATGGAAATGAAAATCAAATTAATATGTAAATGAACCTTAAAAGCGTAAGACATAAACTTACTAAATTTTGCAAAAGTTCAAGTTGAGTTCTGTAAATGGAATTTAAATTAAAACATACAATATAAATCAGGGATAGGTAAACAACTGGCCAGCTGCCTGTTTTTGTACAGTCAATGAGCTAAAAATGTTTTTTCACGTTTAAATGGTTAAAAAAGTAATATTTTTTCCACACGTGAAATCCATATGAAATACAAATTTCAGTGTCCATAAAGTTTTATTGGAACACAGCCCTGCCTATTCAATAACTATTGTCAATGGCTGCCGTGGAGACCATATGGCCTACAAAGTCTAAAATATTTACTATCTGGTCCTTTTCAGAAAACGTCTTTTTACCTTGTATTATCAGACGTTAGTGCTCATTAAGCCTCATCCTTGGAACCAGAAACGTGAAAACCTATTTTTTTCACATTTTTCTCTGTACATCCTAAATCATAAAGGCCTACATTTGGGAAATAGGCAAGTGATCAAGGTGACAAAATGCAGCTTTGGGAACTGCCTTTACTTTTCTCTGTCCCTTTTAAAAATTCTCTAAAACCAAGCAGAGGAAAAGATTGATATTTCCCAGCAGAGTTGAATGATGAAAACCACATGGGTTTGGTTGACAGTGTGTTGTCTACCATCATGATGTAGGAGGAGGAAACTGTTCTGGAGGAAACTGTGTTATCACTTGACATCAAGTTAAAGGACGCAGAAGCATCATGGTATTTTGTTACCTTATGATAAGAGTTACATATAGGGGAGGAGGAGAAGGCAGGGAAGGGGTGAGTTTTGTTGAACGCCCGGCTAGTATGGCACATGCCAGTGGGAGTGGATGGTGGTTTGAAAGGACTCATTAACTTTTTTTTTTAATGTCTTCTACGAGAAAATGGCCTTGCTTAGGAACATACTTGTTCTGCTAGGAAAAGGGAAAAGGCAAATTTGTTCCCTGGGGTGGGGGTGGGGACGGGGGAGGTGGGATTGCTTGGGCTATTCCTCGTCATCCTGGACAGAAAAGCCGGGGCGGGCGCCGCAGAGGCAAAACAACTTGGGCCTTCGCTCTCGCGGCGCGCGGGGGACCAGCCTGTGCAGCAAGGGCGGCTTTTATCTTTTTATTTTTGGGGTTTCTCCGGGACAATGATGGGCCTTGCGCGGCACAGAGATCGGCCCCACGTCAGCTGCCGCGCTTGCAACAAGCTGGCCAGGGAGCACCACGCGGAGACCAGGCCCGGCCGGGGGCGGGAGGCCGCCAGCGCCTCAGCTCCCTGTCCGGCCCGGCCCCTCCTCCAAGGCGCTCTCCCGCACTGCGGAGAACTGGCTGAAGGCGACATCGCCATTTTAGGTACGGGCAAATTCTGGACGCTCCAAAATCCACGCCAAGCCCTCGGCAGGCCACACCCCCTGCACCGGGCCTCGGTCACTCACCCGGACCCTCATTGGACTCTGGACCGGTCCGATTGGAATCACTGAACACGGCCCGGCTGAAGTTTCCCAGCCGCTGGCGCACCGGATCCGGCAGCTCCATGCCTGGGCCTCAGTATCCCTCACCCCCTCAGACACGGGCTAGTCTGCGGGCGCTCCGAGGCTCCGTGGTTCCCACGGCAACCGGGCGGCGCGAGGCCGGCGGGACCCGGGAGCGCGCGGGGCTGCCCGGCTGGGCTGGGTCTCGTCCGGAGCCCGCGCAACCTGGAAGGGACCGGCGCGCTCAGAGCGCGTTCCAGGCCCAGGGAGCCGCGCGCCTCGGCCGTGTACAAAACGGCAGATCCCTTAGTTCTGCTTTGAGCTCGACCATCCTAAAAACAAACCTATACTAAGAAATGAGCTGGGGTTGGACTGCGATACAAGGAGCCCTCACATTTGCCAGTGGAACTGTAAATCGGTACAACCTTTCTGGAGAGAAATAGAGAACGAATGCAGAGCTTAAAGAATGTCTAGAGGTGTAGGGGTGTGTGTGAGAGAGAGAGACATCATGTGACTGATTATTTTTTAATAAGAAAACAGCAATGGGCAACTGATTAAATGTACTGGAGCACATACATTCAATGGAGTATGTTTCAGCTGCTTATAAAATGCTTGCAAAGGATATTGAATGGTATAGTTTAACTTTATGTAAAAATACAGCAGAAATAAAACTAAATGAGAATGAACCTAATTTAGCAAAATTTATGTGTATGAGTGGAGGGGAGGAGAGAGCGTGTGCACACTGGCTTGAAAAAAAGAACTGGAAAAAAGTCCAAAATGTTAACAGTCGTTTTCACTGGATAGTGGGATTGTAGGTGATTCAAAAATTTTTAAACGTCTTATTTTCTAGCTTTCTCTCAAGATATATTACTTAAAAAAAACTAAGTGTAATACACATACAGAAAAATTGTACACCTTTTGTAAGTAATATATATTACTTAAGAAATAAGTGTAATATATATACATAGACTGAAATCTGTATGTGTAATCAGCACCCTGTTCAAGAAACTTTACAATATTCCCAGAAACTCCCCCTTCCTATTTCCTTTCAGTCACTAAACCCACTCCTCACTCATAACTGACCTTTCCTGAATTCTAACAGCAAAGGAGAGTTTTGCCTTTTTTTTTTTAAATCAGAACATTTATTGTGTGACTAATCTAAAATTTTTTTTTTTTTTTTTTTTTTTAGACAGAATCTTGCTCTGTCACCCAGGCTGGAGTGCAATGGCACAATCTCGGCTCACTGCAACCTCCGCCTCCTGGGTTCAAGTGATTCTCCTGCCTCAGCCTACCGAGTGGCTGGGATTACAGGTGCCCGCCACCACACTCGGCTAATTATTGTATTTTTAGTAGAGACAGGGTTTCGCCATGTTGGCCAGGCTGGTCTCGAACTCCTGACCTCAAGTGATCCACCCGCCTTGGCCTCCCAAAGTGCTGGGATTACAGGTGTGAGCCACCGTACCTGGCCTGAAATTCTTAAGATGAACTGGATGCTGCAGCAGCTGTCCTCTTGGGTTTAGGTGGCATTCCTTTAAAAAATCCATGCCTTAACCTGCTGTACACAATTTTTAAGTGCCTCATTCGACCAGTCCCACTGGTATATTTTTTAGCCTCGGCACTCCAATTATACTTTATCTTGGCTTGGGAGGGTAGCCGCGTTTGCCACAGGCGGACTTTTGAAGGAGTTAGAGTCACAGGGCAGCACTAGCTGTGCATCTTATCGCACCACTTTCTAGATGATGACACTCCCTTTGTCATCTTGCTTCTGTTTTGCATATTTATATAAAAGCAATCATACTGTAAGTACTTTTTTAAAAAACTGGCTTTGTCTTCAACATTACTTTCATGAAATTCCTTCATGTCATTGAGTGTAGATTCTTTTGCCTTGCTCTTTGTGATCATACCACAATAAGCTTACTCATTCTACTGTTGATGAGTGTCTGTATTTTCTAGTTTGGAGCTGTTGTGTATAGTGCTGCTTTGGGGAAAAGATGCCTCTTGGTGAACATATGCATGCATTTTTGTTGAGTGTATATCGAGAGTGGAATTGCCGTGTCATAGGATACGAAAGACCCAGCTTTAGTAGAGGCTGCCTACAGTTTTCCAAAGTGATCAAACCAATTTCTGCTGCCTCCAGCAATGTGTGAATATTTCCATTACTCCATATACTTCACCAACACTTGTTATTTCTTATCCTTTCCTTTTAGCCCTTCTGATGGGTGTGTGGTAAAAGTATTATTTTTACAATCAAAAGGAAAATTACACATTTATATAAATGCAAGAAGAAGATATGGGTGGAAATAAGTTCATGACTAGAATTTTAAAATAATTACACAAACGTTTATTGCATTCCTACTGCTTATTTGGATATCGTGCTAGGCTAATTAGGGATATGGTCCCTCCTCATCAAGAAGCACAGCTCAGTGAAAGAGAGACATGGAAACAAGTAAGTGCAAACACTGTTATTAGACGTGCTCTATTAAAGGACCACGTCTTTTAATTATTAAAGAAGCAATTAATTCGGGTTGAGGATGTCAGGGAAAAGCTGGTTAACTTCTGCTTCATTTCAAGATGGAGTTCAGACCTGAGAATCTCCAAAAAGGCTTCTAGGACCTTCCTGAAATAGCTTAGGTGCTCTCTTCTGTGTTTCCCAAAGCATCTTCCTCTTGTTTCTTTGGTCACAGTGCTGGTCACTCTATACTAAAATTGTCTGTTTATGTGTCTGTGTCTCTTGCTAGTCCTCAAGCTCTTAGAGGTCAAGAATGGACTTTCATCTTTATATCCCCAACACTAGCACAGTGTGGTACCTGGCCATGAGTAGGAGCTGGATGACTGTTGAGTGAGTAAAAGGAAGAAAAAGCCTAATGACCACTCTCTTGTCTTCCCCTTCTAGTTCAAGGACTTAGCTAGCCCTTTAAAAGGTTCACTTTGTAAAATGGTGAATTGGTGTATTAAAACATAGTGAATCATAACAATTTAAAAAACCTTAGCAACAGAGAATCACTTTTCATTTATCAAATGAACCGAGATTTTTTATAAACGGAACAGTGAAGCAGGAGGCCTCAGGCTCAGCTGTTGAATTATAATTTGGCCAACCGCATTGAGACAAGTAATCGGCAATGTATAGAAATAGCCTTTAAAACGTTCCTGCCTCCTTTAACACGATAAAATCTTAAGGCGTGCTCTATTAAAGGAAAATAATCATAGAAACAAAGTTTTATACACCAAATGCTTCTCCAACATTATTGATAATTGTTTAGAAAAGAGGGGAATGGGCATTTGAAGTGCCCAACCACAGGGCCTCATTAAGCAGATTACGATATTTATGGCAAGGTGTTGGGCTGCAGTAGAAAGAATGTCCTTGGAAGCTGAGAGGGCAGGGTTCAAATACCCTAAAATTCTCGATGTACCACTTAACAGCTGTGTGACTGATTTCAGATACTCGTTTTGTAAAGTAAAAATAATGATATCTTACTGTTGTGGTTGATGTGATATTATATCATTAAGGCTCTCTATACATGATAGCTACCATTTACACATCAATTAAAATGAAGTTTATGAAGAAACAACACCTAGAGTGGAGTCAAATAATGCTGGTATTTAATTTTGTAAATTCAACTGGACCTGCTAGGTAATACCTCTGTTGCTTTCCTAATAAAGACAGTGGAGGCAGTTAAGCATTAAAGCACTCCATTATGTTAACCAAAAACCTATGTGAATTCTTATCAAAAACCTAAGTGAATTATTTTAAAGATATTTTCCCCTGGCATTGAAAAAAGATGCAAGATACCTTCTTCAGATTGTAATTATGTTATCAAAATCCTGGAGGAAAAAAAGTGATAGAATTATGGGTATTTTTCCTTCTAATTTTATTATTCAAATTTCCTATATGAGCGTACATTTTCTAGTTAGAAAAAAATCTTGTTAAAAATAAATTGAGAGGAAGAGGCAATGATGATGCAAAAACATTAGAGAAGATAATTTGAGAGGAAAAAAAATGTGGTTTGGAATGAGTCCTGCCATTATTGATGTATCATAAATGGTCCAAGGGGCTCAAAAAAACTTTCCAAATGTTATCTTATTAGTTGATACTCCCAATATTTATAGGCAATTACATTAGAAATACTAAAGGAGATCCTTCAGTGTTTCACTAATGTGATTGCCTATACAGGTGGGCATCCACATTCATGAAAAATGAAGAATTGTATGATTTGGGTTTCCCATCTTCTAGACCTACTACTTACTTAGGATCTAAAGAAAGAAGTATGGGCCAGGCACGGTGGCTCACACCTGTAATCCCAACACTTTGGGAGGCCAAGGCGGGCTGATCACAAGGTCAGGAGTCCGAAACTAACCTGCCCAATATGGTGAAACCCCGTGTATACTAAAAATACAAAAATTAGCTGGGTGTGGTGGCGGGCCCCTGCAGTCCCAGCTACTCGGGAGGCTGAGGCAGGAGAATTGCTTGAACCTGGGAGACAGAGGTTGCAGTGAGCTGAGATCGTGCCACTGTACTCCAGCCTGGGCGACAGAGTGAGACTCCGTCTCAAGAAAAAAAAAAAGAAGTACGGAATCTCTGTACTTAAAATCACGGGAATCATTTTAGGTTAATGAATAGTCCCATAAAGTTTAAACTGCTTAGTTCTTATACCAGTGTTGATGTTCAGAGTAATAGCTGTTTCTGCAATAGTTGTTTAATGTATTTCTTGGGGTTTAATTACATTTATTGTTTGCTTATTTGTTTTCACAAACATTTTGAGACTGATGCAATGATTAGCTTCCCTTTGATAAGGGACCATGTTGTCTGGTAATAATGTATTACCTTATATGACAAGAAACTGATTTGGGGAGTTATTTATTTATTGAGATAGGGTCTCACTCTGCTGCCCAGGCTGGAGTGTAGTGATGCAGTCATAGCTCACTGTAGCCTCAATCTCCTGGGCTCAAGTGATCCATCCACTTCAGTCTCTCTAATAGCTGGGACTACCGGGGTATACCACTGCACCCAGCTAACTTTTTTTTATTTTGTAGTGACAAGGTCTCCCTATGTTGCCTAGGCTGGTCTCCAACTCCTGGGCTCAAATGATCCTCCCACTTTGGCCTCCCAAAGTGCCAGGATTACAGGCATGAGCCACCACACCTGACCTCAGTTATTTAAATTACTCCTTGGCATAAAAAAAAATTCTTTCCACTTGATACTAATAAAGAGTTTAGAAATATTTTTAAGTAAGTATGTCATTCAGTTTATTGCTTTAAAATGAACTGAGAGACATTTCTCAGAATCTAGATAAATTTAAAAGATAAATTATATATTTGGGTATAATATATAATTATGATGATGATATGATTCCACATCGGCATCCACATTAAAAAAATCTTACTCTAAATTACCTGAAATGTAATCTTAGAATCCTCAAATTGTTAATGGATAAGCAAAGATTTTTTGATACAAGTCCCTGGTACAATATATTCTATTCACAGCACTTCTCAAAGGTTTATAAGAAAGAATCAGGCTGTGAATTATACAGAAAGCAAAATCTCATGAAAGGAATTTTTATACTATATTAAGTGATATTTCAAGGCTGACTTTAATATTTTGTCTTCAGAGACATCTCCATTGAGAATTTTTATTAGAAAATTCTTTCCCCTTTAAAATACTGTTTATATAATAGTTTTTTGGTTCGGTGGCATTTCTTTGTGTTGGTCTACCACACTGCTCACCTGCTATATGAAGCAGCTGCTCCATGCGTCAACCATGTGGGAGATGGGAACGTCAAGCCGAGGGAAGAAAATCAGTAAAGCAAAAACCCGCTTAAGGAAACCTCAGATCTGTCAAGTGAATTATGATACTGATTAGAAGCAGGTGGTCATTTTACGGAATAAGTAACATGTTCCATTTTTAGTAGTGATGTCTTACTAAACTAAAAATATTTTATATATTACACTGTGTAAAGTATAAATTATGTTCCCCTTTCTGGAAGAAAATTGACCTGTTATTGACTGTAATAAAATATTGCTTTCCCCACAGTAAATATTGATACGTTGTTCACTGTTCCCTCTGCCTTACTTTAAATTGTGGTTCTGTGCTTTTAACAAATAATATGCTTTGTTTTCAACAGTATACTTTGCATTGCTTAGCTATGTTCAATTTTGATCCTCAATCACATCAAGATTGTAAGAGTAGAAATGTTATAAATAGACAAGTTAGTACTAAAATGAAAGGTGTACACACAGATAAAGAGTTCAAATACATTTGAATTATTTATTATACTTAGGTAGCTGAATAATAAAATTCTCCAAATTTTCTTGAAGGTGTTTGCTTTGCAAAATAGAAAATCATTGCCATTATTCTTGTATCCCATTTCCTTTCCCACTGCATTTTTAGTTACTACAGAATTGTTCTTATTTTTTTTTCCAACACATGGTGTGAAGATTAATAGACGTTCAAGGTGATTGGAGACAAGTGTAATAAGATGTCAACAGGGATGTTCTCTGATCCCTGACTAAGGTTCAAAGCTGTGCACAGAACGGGGTAAGTTCACATATTCTAAGTTGAGAAACCACCTATAGTTAGGCCAGCCTACTAAGAAATGTTGATACAGGGAAACAGTCGTACCACAAACGTTTCCCAAACTACCCCATTTGTACTCATGGAAGTCTAAAGAAAGGGTGGGTAGAGAGGAGGTTAGCCTTTTGTGAAGTACAATGTTCATAAGGATAATCTCTTCCCTTCCTTCACCCCATTCTCACTGTTAAGGGAGAAGATGGAAGCACTTTTTCCCCTCAAAGTCTAGCAAGGAGCCCTCAGGAAAATTACCTATAACATTTAGAAATGCCCAACCATGCCCCCTCTACAAGGTGGGAGATTGGTGATCATCTCATCTCTGACCTCTTCTGGACCAGCTGACTGCTCTGTGCTTGCAGAGCAAGGAGAGGGGACAGAGAGAGACAGCCTAGCTAAGAGAGGAGGCACCACAATAGCCCATATTCCTACCTCCAAGAGATGCTGCTAGCTGGACCCCTCACGGGAGAGGTCAAGTAGGTGCAAGGTATATATCTCAAGGAACTGGACAGTGGAGAGGACCCCCAATGACCTTTGCCAATGAGGGAGCCAGTACTTGGATTCTCTCCAGTATAGAAGACATTGAAAGTCTGACAGGACTAACTAAAGAAGCAGCAACATCCTACAGAGAAGAAATTGCAACCTTTCTAGGAAGCCGTATGAAATATCTACTTCCCTATTCTTGCCCTAATATCAGAAGGGAAGCAACCGAAAGAAAGAGAGGGAAGGATATAAAGAGCAGAGCATCTGCCACTCCACCTTCACACACACATGCACTCCAAGCCACTAGCAGTAGACGTTGACTTTTGGACAAGTCTGGAGGTAAAGGAGGAAAAGGAAGGGAGGAAAAAACAGTTTTAAATCCTATTTGAAGCTTAACTTGAACAAAACGGAGCTTTACATGCTGGAATGAGATGATCCTAATAACTTGAAGAGGTTAATAAATGGAATCAAGCCAGGGTGTGATTAAAAGAGTTGACACCCAGAAAAAAAAAATGAGGGTGGCATATAGTGGGTGGATTTTTTTTTTTTTTTTTGAGATGGAGTCTCGCTCTGTTGCCCAGGCTGGAGTGCAGTGGCGCGATCTCGGCTCACTGCAAGCTCTGCCTCCCGGGTTCATGCTCTCCTGCTTCAACCTCCGGAGTAGCTGGGACTACAGGTGCCCGCCACCACGCCCGGCTAATTTTTTTGTATTTTCAGTAGAGACAGGGTTTCACCGTGTTAGCTAGGATGGTCTCGATCTCCTGACCTCATGATCCGCCCGCCTCGGCCTCCCAAAGTGCTGGGACTACAGGCGTGAGCCACCGCACCCGACCCATGGTGGGTGGGTTTTAAGAAAATAAAGCTACTTCATATTTATGCCCCCAATGAATTGAGAATTCTCAAGAAAATAGTTACATAATCCATCAGAGTTCTGATTTTTAGAGGGGGATGGCATGATCAATTCTGAATAACAGACAGATGAGATGGATATCAATTCAAGCAAGGAAATAGAATGGTTTTATTTTTTAAGAAAACATTTTTTTCTTTTAATTGAAGTAAGACATGCACACAAAAAAGTGCACAGATCAGAACTGTAGAGGTCCATGAATTTTGCTGAAGCAAACCCACCTGTGTAACCAGCAACCAGATCAGGAAATAGAACACTACCAACGCCTCCAAACCCCCTGCTTATGTTGCCTCTTAGTCATCAGCCCTCTCAACACTCCCAAAGTCATACTATCTTGATTTCTATACCTGTAGATTAATTTTGCCTGATTTTATTTTTCTGTAAATGAAGTCCTACATTATTTGCCTTTCGTGTTTGCTTCTTTCACTCAACATTACATTTGTGAGATTCATCCATGCTGTTATGTGTTGCAGTAGCCTGTTTGTTCCATTGCAGCACAATATTCTGTTTGAATATACCATGAATTTTATTTATACAAATGGTAATGGAAAAAAAATCGTATCCAGTTTGGGCTACTGCAGAGAGTGCTATTGGACTTGCTTGCTTATATTTTACTTATGACTGTCAGGTTACATTCATGAGAGAGATTGACCTGTAATTTTTCTTCCTTGTGATATTCTTGCCAGCTTTGGGCATCAGGGTTGTACTGATCTCATAAAATTGTTGGAAATGATCCCTTTTTTTCTGTTCTCTGGAAGAGTTTGTGGTAAGGTTGATGTTTTTCTTTGTAATGTGTCTGGAAGAATTCACCAGAGAAGCCATCGGTGCCTGGAGCTTTCTTTGTGGGAAGGTTATGAATTTAATTTTTGTTTATAGGTATATAGCTCTTCAGATTTTTTTTACCTTTTTTTCTCCCAATCTGATAAGTTGTACGTTTCTAAGAATTCATCCATTTCGGCCGGGTGTGGTGGCTCACGCCTGTAATCCCAGCATCTTGGGAGGCCAAGGTGGGCGGATCAATTGAGGTCAGGAGTATCAGACCAGCCTGGCCAATATGGTGAAACCCCGTTTCTACTAAAATACAAAAATTAGCTGGGTGTGGTGGCAGGTGCCTGTAGTCCCAGCTACTCAGGAGGCTGAGGCAGGAGAATTGCTTGAATCTGGGAGGTGGAGGTTGTAGTAAGCTGAGATTGTGCCATTGCACTCCAGCCTGGGTGACAGAGTGAGACCCTATCTCAAAAAAAAAAAAAAAATTATTCATTTCACTGGCATGCAGTTGCTTGTAATTTCTTATTGTTATATTCTTAATGCTGATAGGATCTATATTGAGGGCTCCCCTTTCCTTCCTGAAATTGGTTATTTGTACCTTCTCTCTCTCTCTCTTTTTTTTTTTTTCCCTTGGTCAGTGTTGACAGAAGTTTCTTAATTGTATTAGTTTTTTCAAAAAACCAATATTAGGCTTCTTGGTTTTCTCTATTGTATATTTGCTTTCCATTTCATTAATTTCTTTTTTTTAAATTATACTTTAAGTTCTAGGGTACATGTGCACAATATGTAGGTTTGTTACATATGTATACATGTGCCATGTTGGTGTGCTGCACCCATTAACTTGTCATTTACATTAGGTATATCTCCTGATGCTATCCCTCCCCCGTGCTGCCACCCCATGACAGGCCCCGGTGTGTGATGTTCCCCACCCTGTGTCCAAGTGTTCTCATTGTTCAATTCCCACCTATGAGTGAGAACATGCGGTGTTTGGTTTTCTGTCCTTGCAATAGTTTGCTGAGAATGATGGTTTCCAGCTTCATCCATGTCCCAGAAAGGACATGAACTCATCCTTTTTTATGGCTGCATAGTATTCCATGGTGTATATGTGCCACATTTTCTTAATCCAGTCTATCATTGTTGGACATTTGGGTTGGTTCCAAGTCTTTGCTATTGTGAATAATGCCACAATAAACATACGTGTGCGTGTGTCTTTATAGCAGCATGATTTTTAATCCTTTCGGTATATACCCAGTAATGGGATGGCTGGGTCAAATGGTATTTATTGTTCTAGATCCTTGAGGAATCACCACACTGTCTTCCACAATGGTTGAACTAGTTTACAGTCCCACCAACAGTGTAAAAGTGTTCCTGTTTCTCCACATCCTCTCCAGCACCTGTTGTTTCCTGACTTTTTAATGATTGCCATTCTAACTGGTGTGAGATGGTATCTCATTGTGGTTTTGATTTTCATTTCTCTGATGGCCAGTGATAATGAGCATTTTTTCATGTGTCTGTTGGCTGCATAAATGTCTTCTTTTGAGAAGTGTCTGTTCATATCCTTCGCCCACTTTTTGATGGGGTTGTTTGATTTTTTTCTTGTAAATTTGTTTAAGTTCTTTGTAGATTCTGGATATTAGTCCTTTGTCAGATGGGTAGATTGAAAAGTTTTCTCCCATTATGTAGGTTGCCTGTTCACTCTGATGGTAGTTTCATTTGCTGTGCAGAAGCTCTTTAGTTTAATTAGATCCCATTTGTCAATTTTGGCTTTGTTGCCATTGCTTTTGGTGTTTTAGTCATGAAGTCCTTGCACATGCCTATGTCCTGAATGGTATGGCTTAGGTTTTCTTCTAGGGTTTTTATGGTTTTAGGTCTAACATTTAAGTCTTTAATCCATCTTGAATTAATTTTTGTATAAAGTGTAAGGAAGGGATCCAGTTTGAGCTTTCTACATGTAGCTAGTCAGTTTTCCCAGCACCATTTATTAAATAGGGAATCCTTTCCCCAGTTCTTGTTTTTCTCAGGTTTGTCAAAGATCAGATGGTTGTAGATGTGTGACATTATTTCTGAGGGCTCTGTTCTGTTCCATTGGTCTGTATCTCTGTTTTGGTACCAGTACCATGCTGTTTTGGTTACTGTAGCCTTGTAGTATAGTTTGAAGTCAGGTAGCATGATGCCTCCATCTTTGTTCTTTTGGCTTAGGGTTGTCTTGGCAATGCCGGCTCTTTTTTGGTTCCATATGAACTTTAAAGTAGTTTTTTCCAATTCTGTGAAGAAAGTCATTGGTAGCTTGATGGGGATGGCATTGAATCTATAAATTACCTTGGGCAGTATGGCCATTTTCACGATATTCATTCTTCCTATCCATGAGCATGGAATGTTCTTCCATTTGTTTGTGCCCTCTTTTATTTCACTGAGCAGTGGTTTCTAGTTCTCCTTGAAGAGGTCCTTCACATCCTTTGTAAGTTGGATTCCTAGGTATTTTATTCTCTTTGAAGCAATTGTGAATGGGAGTTCACTCATGATTTGGCTCTCTGTTTGTCTGTTATTGGCGTATAGGAATGCTTGTGATTTTTGCACATTGATTTTGTATCCTGAGATTTTGCTGAAGTTGCTTATGAGCTTAAGGAGATTTTGGGCTGAGACGATGGGATTTTCTAAATATACAATCATGTCATCTGCAAACAGGGACAACTTGACTTCCTCTTTTCCTAATTGAATACACTTTCTTTCTTTCTCCTGCCTGATTGCCCTGGCCAGAACTTCCAACACTATGTTGAATAGGAGTGGTGAGAGAGGGCATCCCTGTCTTGTGCCAGTTTTCAAAGGGAATGCTTCCAGTTTTTGCCCATTTAGTATGATATTAGCTGTGGGTTTGTCATAAATAGCTCTTATAATTTTGAGATACGTCCTATCAATACCTAGTTTATTTAGTGTTTTTAACATGAAGTGCTGTTGAATTTTGTCGAAGGCCTTTTCTGCATCTTTTGAGATAATCATGTGGTTTTTGTCTTTGGTTCTGTTTATATGATGGATTACATTTATTGATTTGCATATGTTGAACCATCCTTGCATCCCAGGGATGAAGCCCACTTGATCATGGTGGATAAGCTTTTTGATGTGCTGCTGGATTTGGTTTGCCAGTATTTTATTGAGGATTTTTGCATCAATGTTCATCAGGGATATTGGTCTAAAATTCTCTTTTTTTGTTGTGTCTCTGCCAGGCTTTGGTATCAGGATGATACTGGTCTCATAAAATGAGTTAGGAGAGATTCCCTCTTTTTCTATTTATTGGAAGTTTCAGAAGGAACGGTACCAGCTCCTCTTTGTACCTCCGGTAGAATTTGGCTGTGAATCCATCTGGTCCTGGACTTTTTTTGGTTGGTAGGCTCTGAATTATTGCCTCAATTTCAGAGCCTGTTATTAGTCTATTCAGGGATTCAACTTCTTCCTGGTTTAGTCTTGGGATGGTGTACGTGTCCAGGAATTCATCCATTTCTTCTAGATTTTCTGGTTTATTTGTGTAGAGGTGTTTATAGTATTCTCTGATGGTAGTTTGTATTTCTGTGGCATCAGTAGTGATATCCCCTTTATCATTTTTTATTGCGTCTATTTGATTCTTCTCTCTTTTCTTCTTTATTGGTCTTGCTAGCAGTCTATCAATTTTGTTGATCTTTTCAAAAAACCAGCTCCTGGATTTACTGATTTTTTGAAGGGTTTTTTGCGTCTCTATCTCCTTCAGTTCTGCTCTGATGTTTGTTATTTCTTGCCTTCTGCTAGCTTTTGAATGTGTTTGCTCTTGCTTCTCTAGTTCTTTTAATTGTGATGTTAGGGTGTCAATTTTCGATCTTTCCTGCTTTCTCTTGTGGGCATTCAGTGCTATAAATTTCCCTCTACACACTGCTTTGAATGTGTCCCAGAGATTCTGGTATGTTGTGTCTTTGTTCTCATCGGTTTCATAGAACATCTTTATTTCTGCCTTCATTTCGTTATGTACCCAGTAGTCATTCAGGAGCAGGTTGTTCCAGTTTCCATGTAGTTGAGCGGTTTTGAGTGAGTTTCTTAATCCTGAGTTCTAGTTTGATTGCACTGTGGTCTGAGAGACAGTTTGTTATAATTTCTGTTCTTTTGTATTTGCTGAGTAGTGCTTTACTTCCCACTATGTGGTCAGTTTTGGAATAAGTGCAATTGGTGCTGAGAAGAATGTATATTCTGTTGATTTGGGATGGAGAGTTCTGTAGATGTCTGTTAGGTTCACTTGGTGTAGAGCTGTGTTCAGGTCCTGGATATCCTTGTTAATTTTCTGTCTTGTTGATCTGTCTAATGTTGACAGTGGGGTGTTGAAGTCTCCCATTATTATTGGATGGGAGTCTCAGTCTCTTTGTAGGCCTCTAAGGACTTGTTTTATGAATCTGGGTGCTCCTGTATTGGGTGCATATATATTTAGGATAGTTAGCTCTTCTTGTTGAATTGATCCCTTTACCATTATGTAATGGCCTTCTTTGACTCTTTTGATTGTTGTTGGTTTAAAGTCTGTTTTATCAGAGACTAGGATTGCAACCCCTGCTTTTTTTTGTTTTCCATTTGCTTGGTAGATCTTCCTCCATCCGTTTATTTTGAGCCTATGTGTATGTCTGAAAGTGAGATGGGTCTCCTGAATACAGCACACTGATGAGTCTTGACTCTTTATCCAATTTGCCAGTCTGTGTCTTTTAATTGGAGCATTTAGCCCATTTACATTTAAGGTTAATATTGTTATGTGTGAATTTGATCCTGTCATTATGATGTTAGCTGGTTATTTTGCTTGTTAGTTGATGCAGTTTCTTCCTAGCATCGATGGTCTTTACAATTTGGCATGTTGTTGCAGTGGCTGGTACCAGTTGTTCCTTTCCATGCTTAGTGCTTCCTTCAGGAGCTCTTGTAAGGCAGGCCTGGTGGTGACAAAATCTCTCAGCATTTGTTTGTCTGTAAAGTATTTTATTTCTCCTTCACTTATGAAGCTTAGTTTGGCTGGATATGAAATTCTGGGTTGAACATTCTTTTCTTTAAGGATGTTGAATATTGGCCCCCACTCTCTTCTGGCTTGTAGAGTTTGTGCTGAGAGATCAGCTGTTAGTCTGATGGGCTTCCCTTTGTGGGTAACCTGACCTTTCTCTCTGGCTGCCCTTAACATTTTTTCCTTCATTTCAACTTTGGTGAATCTGATAATTATGTGTCTTGGAGTTGCTCTTCTCGAGGAGTATCTTTATGGCATTCTCTGTATTTCCTGAATTTGAATGTTGGCCTGCCTTGCTAGATTGGGGAAGTTCTCCTGGATAATATCCTGCAGAGTGTTTTCCAACTTGGTTCCATTCTCCCCGTCACTTTCAGGTACACCAATCAGACGTAGATTTGGTCTTTTCACATAGTCCCATATTTCTTGAAGGCTTTGTTTGTTTCTTTTTATTCTTTTTTCTCTAAACTTCTCTTGTCTCTGTATTTCATTCATTTGATCTTCAATCAGTGATACCCTTTCTTCCACTTGATCAAATCGGCTACTGAAGCTTGTGCATTCGTCACATAGTTCTTGTGTCATGGTTTTCAGCTCCATCAGGTCATTTAAGGTCTTCTCTAGGCTGTTTATTCTAGTTAGTCATTCGTCTAATCTTTTTTAAGGTTTTTAGCTTCTTTGTGATGGATTGGAACATCCTCCTTCAGCTCGGAGAAGTTTGTTATTACTGATCGTCTGAAGCCTTCTTCTCTCAACTCGTCAAAGTTATTCGCCATCCAGCTTTGTTCCATTGCTGGTGAGGAGCTGCATTCCTTTGGAGGAGAAGAGGTGCTCTGGTTTTTAGAATTTTCAGCTTTTCTGCTCTGGTTTCTCCCCATCTTTGTGGTTTTATCTACCTTTGGTCTTTGATGATGGTGATGTACAGATGGGGTTTTGGTGTGGATGTCCTTTCTGTTTGTTAGTTTTCCTCCTAACAGTCAGGACCCTCAGCTGCGGGTGTGTTGGAGTTTGCTGGAGGTCCACTCCAGACCCTGTTTGCCTGGGTATCACCAGTGGAGGCTGCAGAACAGCAAATATTGCAGAATGGCAAATGTTGCTGCCTGATCCTTCCTCTGGAAGCTTCGTCTCAGAGGGGCACCCAGCTATATGAGGTGTCAGTCAGCCCCTACTGGGAGGTGTCTGCCAGTTCGGCTACTTGGGGGTCAGGGACCCACTTGAGGAGGCAGTCTGTCTGTTCTAAGATTTCAAACTCCATGCTGGGAGAACCACTACTCTCTTCAAAGCCGTCAGACAGCGACGTTTAAGTCTGCAGAAGTTTCTGCTGCCTTTTGTTCAGCTATGCCCTGCCCCCAGAGGTGGAGTCTGCAGAGGCAGGCAGGCCTCCTTGAGCTGTGGTGGGCTCCACCCAGTTTGAGCTTCCTGGCTGCTTTGTTTACCTACTCAAGCCTCAGCTATGGCGGACGCCCCTCCCCCGCCTCACTGCCACCTTTGGTTGGATTTCAGACTGCTGTGCTAGCAGTGAGTGAGGCTCCGTGGGCATTGGACCCTCGCAGCCAAGCGTGGGATATAATCTCCTGGTGTGCCATTTGCTAAGACCGTTGGAAAAGCGCAGTATTAGGGTGGGAGTGACCCGATTTTCCAGGTACTGTCTGTCACAGCTTCCCTTCGCTAGGAAAGGGAATTCCGCGACCCCTTGTGCTTCCCGGGTGAGGCGATGCCCTGCCCTGCTTCAGCTCACACTCCGTGGGCTATACCCATTGTCCAATAAGCCCCAGTGAGATGAACCTGGTACCTCAGTTGGAAATGCAGAAATCACCATCTTCTGCATTGCCCACTCTGGGAGCTATAGACTGGAGCTGTTCCTATTCAGCCATCTCGGAACATCTATTTTCTTTTCTAATCTTTATTATTTCCTTATTCTTACCTTCTGTGGGTTTAATTTTCTGTCCCCCCCCACCTTTGGATATGACTTTTTATATTTTATTTTATTTTATTTTTGAGACGGGGTCTCACTTTGTCACCTGGGCTGGAGTGCAGTTGCTCAGTCTCAGCTAACCACAACCTTGATCTCCCAGGTTCAAGTGATCCTCCTGCCTCAGCCCCCCAAGTAGCTGGGGCTACAGCCATGTGCTTCCATGCTTGCCTAATTTTTCTATTTCTTGTAAAGACAGTGTTTCACCATGTTGGCCAGGCTAATCTCAAACTCCTGAGCTCAAGCGATCTGCCTGCTTTGGCCTCCCGAAGTGCTGGGATTACAGGAGTGAGCCACCGTGCCTGGCTGGATATGGCTTTTTAGGTAGATATTATGAATCATTAGTTTTTAGATTTTCTTTTTTAAATACATGCATTAAAGATTATAAATTTTCCTTTAAGTTTGGCTTGTTCTTACACTCCATACATTTTAATATGCAGTATTTTCATTATCATTTTGTTTAAAATATGTTTCAATTTCTATTGAGATATCTTCTTTGACTCACAGATTATTTGGAAATGTATTGTTTTTATTTCCAAACACTAGGAAATTTCTAGTTATCTTTTTTGTAATTGATTTCTAACTTAACTCCATTATGGTTGGATAACATACTCTGCATTATTTCAATCCTTTGATATTTGTTGAAACTTTTTGTTGGCCCAGCATTTGATCAATTTTGATAAATGTCCAGGTACACTTGAAAAGAATGTGTTTTCTTCATTTTTTGGGTGTAATTTCTATGTAAATTCAATGGGCCATGCATGTTATGTTGTTCAAATCTTCTACGGCCTGATTTTTTTTTGTCTACTTGTTGTCAAAGATGTCAGAGATGTGTTAAAATCTTCCATTTTGATTGTTAATTTGTTCATTTCTTTTTTTAGTTTTAGTTCTTTATGATATTTTGAAATTATGTTATTAGGAGCTCAGAAATTTAGAATTGTCATATCTTCCTAGTGAATTGACCCTTTTATAATTATGAAATACACTGCTTTATCTCTAGAAATACTTTAAAGTGTCCTCTGGTTTTTAGCTTTAATAAATATTGATAGTATATATATATTCCCATCTTTTTACTTTCAAATTCTGTGTGTTCTTAAGATGTGTATCTTGTAAATGTCAAATAGCTTTTTTTCCAATTATTGTGAAAAATCTTTGTCTTTTAATTGGATATTTTAGTCCATTTACATTTTTAATAATTATTGAAATTGCAGGGTTTAAGGCTATTATTTTGCTACTAGTTTTCTATTTGTCCTACTTTTTCTATATTCCCTTTGCTCTCCTTTCTTGGCTCCCCTTTCTTGCTTTCTTAGGATTTATTTTTAATTATCTTATACCCCATTTTATTGGCTTGTGAATTATACATTATTGTGTTTTTCTTTTTGTAGTTATTCTGGAGATAAAATGCCTCCTTGAATCTAATATAGACTAATCTTATACTACTTCCAAGACAATGTAAGGACTCTGCTTGCCCCTGTTCTGCCTGTTAGTGTTAATGTTGTCACATATTTTAATTCTGCATGCAGTTGAAACCCCACAATATGTTCTTATTATTATTGTTTTACATAGTTAGTATTCATTAGATTTATCCAGATCTTTATACTTTCTGTTGTTCTTTATTCCTTCCTGCACCTCTATGCTTCTCTCTGGGATTATATCTCTTTGTTTCAGTATCAGTCTACTAACAGTAGACCCTCTTGGGTTTGTTTGGGGTTTTACTGTTGTTGTTATTGGTCTGAAATATCTTTATTTTGCTTTTGTTTTTGAAAGCTGTTTATTTTTGAAAGCTGTTTCACTGGGTATCGAATCCTAGGAGGTCAATTATTTCCTTTCACCTCTTTAAAGATGACATATATGAAAAGTCAGTTGTCAGTCTTATTCTTTTTTCTTTGAAGGTAATGTGTCCTTCCCTCTGGCTACTTTGAAGATTTTACTTTGTCTTTGGTTTAAAGTGTTTGACTGTGATATGCCTAAGATGTGAATTTTAATTTTTTTTAAATGCAAATTTCTTGAGGTACATAGCACTTCTTGTGGCTTCATATATTTTGGAATTTTGGAAAATCTTGGCCATTGTCTATTCAAATATTGCTTTTTCTCCCATTTTCTCTTTCTCTCTCTTCATTTCTGAAACTCCAGTTACATCTAAAAGTAGACTTCTTTACATTTGTATTATGTATGTCTCTTATGGTTTTAAAATGTATTTTTTCTTTTTCTTTTTGAGACAGAGTCTGGCTCTGTTGCCTAGGTTGGAGTGTAGTGGTGCAATCTTGGCTCACTGCAACCTCCACTTCCTGGGCTCAAGCCATCCCCCCACCTCAGCCCCCCAAATAGCTGGGACTACAGGCACACGGCACCACACCTGGCTAAGTTTTTTTTTTTTGGAGAGATGGTGTTTCACCATGTTGCCCAGGCTCAAACTCCTGGCTGGCCTCAAAAGAGATCTGCCCACCTTGACGTCCCAAAGTGTTGGGATTACAGGCGTGAGCCACTGCACCCAGCCTTTAAAATCTTTTTCCTTTTTTCTCCCCATGCTTTGATCCATGAGTATATTTAGAAGCAAAATTGGTGATTATTAGGCAGACTGTGTTTACTACGAGCAAATTATATCATTCTAACCTCACTTTTTTCTTTGCTAGAATTACCAGATAATGCCTATCATACCCAGTGTTTCTTTCCAGATGAAAATGCCTCATCCACAGCCCTCTGTTCATGGAAGTAGAGTTGGGATATTCCCTGCACAGCAGTGGCCAATCAGATTAGCTCTCTCTGTGATTTGGAATAGGGCAGTGTAGGAGGGACTGGTGAGTCAGTAACAGAAACAACAAAATAACAAAATAAGATCCTAAAACAGAAGCAGATACTTGAAGGAGGTACCATGTAGGCAATAAACCAGAGATGCAGAGTAGATTTTGTCCAGAACTGCCTTGGCTCCTGGGAGCTATTTAATTCTAGGTATAGTACGTGTAATCTTACGAAAAAAGCCCATTTCTTGAGGTGACCTGAATGAACCTCTCTTCCTTGCAATCGGAAAGGACTAATCTATCCAGGAAATGTGAAAAAAAATGTGTATCTGGGCTTCAGCAAAGTATTTCACTAAGACGTGCAATATCTTATGGACAAAATTCAAAAATTTTCATTAAATGTGAATATATTTAATAAATCAGTTAATTAGAAACTTGTTAAGTGAACATACCCAAAGGATACTAATTAATGAATTGCTTCAGCCTGTAGGGAGGATTTTGTTGTTGTTGTTTTAAATGTAAGTTTCTTGCCTTGACCCTGTTCTATTAAACACTGTTATCACCTTTGTTGAAAACAGGCGCTTATCAAATTCACTAATGGAAAGCATATTATTTAATAGGTGCTTACAAGCTGGAACAATGGCTACTTCTTTTTTTGTTGTTGTTGAGACGGAGTCTCACTCTTTGGCCCAGGCTGGAGTGCAGTGGCAAGATCTCGGCTCACTGCAAGCTCCGCCTGCCGGGTTCATGCCATTCTCCTGCCTCAGCCTCCCCAGTAGCTGGAACTACAGGCACCTGCCACCACGCCTGGCTAATTTTTTGTATTTTTGGTAGAGATGGGGTTCACCATGTTAACCAGGATGGTCTTGATCTCCTGACCTCGTGATCCGCCTGCCTCAGCCTCCCAAAGTGCTGGGATTACAGGCGTGAGCCACCGTGCCCGGCTGAACAATGGCTACTTCTAACAAGAACACATTTAAAAAACAATTTTGATTATAAAAATAACATATTCTTATTGCCAACTATTGATAAAATTGAGAAAATTGTTTTTATGTCATACTCAGACATCCTCAAATTCTATATCTTCTATAATATTTAATATAAATAGATTAAAGACCAGCTCTTAGGTTCAGGATACCAGTTAGATAACCTCTAGATGGAAGAGTTTTGAGGTTGCCAGCTTCAGTGTGCTTTGGCTGCTGAAAAACTACTGGGATTTTGGGCAACATTAATAAAGGTTAAGTTCCAGAACCAGAGAGGCTACAGTCCTACACTACTGTCAAAGGGACCAGGCTTCACAGTATGTTTGATTTAGATATGCTTGAGATTATTTATTTTATTGGTTAATATTTGAACAGTTGTTGGGCAGAGAGTCTGTGTAATAAAAATACTCCCTCATCCTCAAGATATGGCTGAGACAAATTTTCTTAGTGATCAAGGCAGATAAAAAGTACAGCTTCAACTGTTCATTTTTATTTAGACTCCTAAATTTGCTTGAGGTTGTCTGATACAAATATCACAGGCATTAAAGTTAAACATTTCTCAGGAAACTTTTGTGCTTCTTAAAACCACACCTCCATTTCCAATGGACATAGTCCAAGTTTAGCTAGAATTTGCTTGACATAAAGTAGAGCTTGCTGACACAAAATTCAATGTTAGAAGCATTCTTTTTAAAATCAAGAAGACAAGGCTGTCTACTACTGCTCCTTTCTTTTACTCTGTACTGAACCAGGCAAGAAAAGAAAAGTAAAAGGTATAAAGATTGGAAATGAAGATATAAAAACTCATTATCCAGAGTTGAATTTCATGTGCTTTTAACTTTTTAGTAGCTTCCTAGGCTGTTTCACAGCTACATGTATCACACTTATTCCACATGTTGTGAGGAAATAACTAAAAGAGATTTGCAGGAAAATAACTGTGGTGGCAATGAGGGGACTTTAAAAACCATGGTACATGAAGAAAAGATTTAGGAATATTTCACTTGGGGGAAAAAAGACTCACAGGAGGGAAAAAAAGAGTCGAATTAGTTTGCCTTCAACTATTTAAAAGAAGAATTGTTATTCGAAACAGGGATTATCTACACCCTCCCCCACCCCCCCACCCCAACCCGCCAACCCCAAGGCCCCGGGAACCAGTGTCAACAGACAGGCAAGAGGAAGAGAGATATAAACTCTGGCAGAACTTTAAGAGTCAGAGTAATTCAAAACTGTGATGGGGTGCCTTAAGAGGTGAACAGTTCTTTGTCACTAGAGGTTTTCAGCTAAAGGCTAAGTAACCATGTGGTAGGAATGCTGTAGAATCCTCTAAGGCTTTAGGAACTAAAGAGCTCATTGTTCTTTGTTTGTTTGTTTTGAGACAGGGTCTTGCTCTGTCACCCAGGCTGGAGTACAGTGGTGTGATCATGGCTCACTGCAGCCTTGACCTTCTGGGCTCAAGCAATCTTCCTGCCTCACCCTCGTGTAACTAGGATTACAGGCATGCATCTCCATGCCTGGCTATTTTTTTTTTTTAAGTTTTTTTTGTAGAGACGAGTCTTGCTATGTTGTCCAGGCTGGTTTCAAACTCCTGGCCTCAAATAATCCTCCCACGTCTTCCTCCCAAAGCATTAGGATTACAGATGTGAGCCACCATGCCCAGCCACGAGCTCATATTTCTGAACCATGCACTGTCTCATTTAATCATGGCAATCCATTGAGGGACATTATTTCATCCCATTTATCAAATGAAACAGAATGTTTGACAAAAAGAGTTGTCTGGTATAACACCGCGGATAAGTATGAAAACCTGAGTTCAGGCCCGTGCAGTCTGTTTCCAGAGCTTTGACTCTTAACAGAATTTAGTGCACTAAATTGTCTGGAAAGAGTGGCTGGTTTCAATAATCTTCAAGCTTTCTTCAAACCCTGAGACTGTATAATTGTATGGGGGAAAAAGTCATGCCTAAAGGGGTTTGCATTAAAGATAAATTTTGTTGGCAGTGATGTCAGTTCTTGTTTTAGTATCTAAGCTTTAAGTTATGAATAAAATAAAAGTTACTGAAAATCCAATTAATCTAAATTAAAAAAACTATTGGATATTCACACGTCTACCAAGGCACAAATAAGTTGGTAGACAATGGCTGGGATCCCAGTAGATGCTCTTGGGGCTCTGGCAATAAGACTAAGCCTATAAATACCAGATGTAGTATGTCTTACAAAACCAAATATCAGCAGTTTTGAAGCATCATGGTACTGGGTTTTTCTTCTAAAGCCAGCAGTTGATGTTAGGCTACTTTTATATCATCTCTAAACAAAGTTGTTTTATTTGGCATTTTTGAATGTTTTATCACTGAGCTATAGATTATATCATACCATCACAGTCACAGAATGTCGTTTAAAATTTGTAGTTAGGTGCATTCTTCTGTGTACATATGCGACTCCTTCAAATATAAAAACTAGATAAATATACATAGAAGTAATGTGTGTGCAAGAGATAAGTACAGAGATTGGCCATTTGCCATTGTTATTAGGAAGAAAGGCATGCACACTGAGAGTTTTAACAAATTACAAATGCCAGGAAGAAAATAATATGGCTGTGTTTGAAAAGATCATGCTATTTACTTGACAGGCTCTGCCAGGGCAAAGTTACAGCTGTGGCCCTGCTTTGCAGATCATTTAAACAGGCTTTTCTTTATGTCACTGGCACTTTGGTCACATCCACAGAGCTTTGCCATCAGTAAATAATAATTATTATGTGTGAGAAGATAGCCGACAAGCAGCTCCAGTGTCAACACCACCATAAATGAATCAACAGACGCACACATTCGTTTCAATGGGTTTTGTTTAGTTTTTAATTCATGAACACTATCAGCCTTGTTAGAAGAGAAATAGAAGAAAAATCTATAGATTATAAGTTTGAAAAATTATAGTGATGTATATTACACACATATATTTGAGTGTGTGTGTATTCTAAAAAATCAAGACTGTCTTTTAATGTATTCTATCTAATCCTCTTTTTAATCTTTCTATATTCTTTATATTTGAATGTTTCTCATATTAACATTCCTTATGTCATATCGTCTTTATATTCATCTACCTAGGCAAACATGGGATAGTGAAAAGAGTTGGACAGCCTGATTTTAAACGTCACTACTTCCTAGCTGAGTTACTTGAATTCAGACTCAATTTCTCAATCGAAAATACCTACTGAGCAGATGAAAGGAAATTATGAACACAAAGATGTTCTGTAAGCTATGAAGAAAGTATCACACCAAAGTCAGGTCCAAAGGTCCATTTCCTCTAGTTTTGTCTTAGGTGGAAACTCAAAAGATCTATAAACCATCTTTTAAGTAGCTAATGATGGAAATAAGCATGGATATGAATCATGGTACAGCACAATGGAAATATTTCACTGAACTCTTTTCTATTTATCCTTATTTTAGCTGTCATGGTGAACCATGAAGGCTACTGGTTACTGTTATTGTAGTAAAAGTTCCTGTAGTTGTTATCGTAGTCATTTTTCTACTGTTATAAGAAATACTATAATAGAAGCAAATTGTAGTCAGCTAAGAGAAGAAGGGGACAACCTGTGTAGGTGTGGTTGGCATTTAATAAACATTATTTAGTTAACACATGCAAATGTACCCAACATTTCCATCTTATGTTAATCTTTGGAAATTTAAGGGAATGAAAAATGGCTTGGCAATTGTTTTGAGGCTTCATTTCTCAGAGCTTATTTGGCATTTTGGCCCTATAGGAGTAGGTGGGGCAGCAAATCCCAGATTGAATTTCTGAAGCATTCTTCTGCCTGAGCGTTTTGGAAAGTCACACAAGGCATTAGTAGGAGCCTCCTGTGGAAAAAAGCTCTCTTAACTTTTTTCAGGATGTGACTAGAATTTCAAATTTCTTTGCTTATAGCAAGTTAGTTGGGTATTCCTTACTTTGTTTTGTACTTAAATAAAGGAAACATTGATCCTTTAAAAGCTTTGGGGAAGGACAGAGTTTTTTATTTAACAGTCTGCCACTGGGGTGAGAGACGGGTTCAGGTTTGAATGGTACAGTGCTGTCAGGATTTTTCCAGTCTGAAAACTCCAAGGCGAGAGATGTCATCCCGAGTGGCAGACAGTGATCCCTGCAAGATACCGGGGAGGCCGGCAGTACATAATGTATAAGGATGGAGGGGGCAAAAGAGGAGGCTGGAGAAAGAGTGGCTTCATTCCTAGTCGTGGGGTGGATTGTTCACTTTGTGTTACTCTTCTGTGATGACCAAAATGCTTCTTTAACTCAGCAAGAAGCCTATGATTTTTAGGGAAAAGAAGTGCTTCCAATTTTAACCACACAGATTTGTATGAGGAAAGCATTAGTGCTGTTTGGTTTGTGTGTATTATATGGGTTTGGATTACAATAATTCCTCCCTTTTGTATAATGTTTTGCAGTTTTTAAAGCACTTCATGCTCTAAATCATTACCATAAACACTGATAGGAGGGTACAGATGGCTCTTCACTCATAATGGCTCCAATTTAGACCCCTACTTTTATGACCTTTTTTATTGCAAATATGATCCTCCCAGTTTTGGCTAAATCTCACCATGGTGCTTGCTTATGACTCTCACTATAGGTGACAGGAAAAATAAAGCTGCTCTTATGTTGATTGGCTCTAGGAGTAAAGTGGAAAAACTTGATTTTATGGATGCAGCTGTAGATGAAGCAAACCTATATGCACTTGAATTAGGCAACACTCTTGCAAAGCCATTGTCTATCTGTATCTATCTTTCAAAGAGCTGCCCCAAGACATCAAAGGCGGAAATTTTTACTGCAAGCAAAAGCTTTTTAGAGCACTTCTGGAAGATGGCAAAACATTAGCTGTTCAGGGAAGAAGCCATAAGAACCAACAGAGTGGCATCAAATAATTTGCCCACAAAGTCTGCTAAAGATGAAGGCTATTGTATGCTATGAGTATTCAGTAATAATAAAATTGGGTGCAGAGATGGGAAGAGGATGAGGAGTAGTGACAGAAGGAGAAAAGGAAGAGGACACAGCAACATGGAAAACTTGAACATTCAAAGAAATGTCTACCCACTGAATTTATGGTTAGAAATTTTGGACAGATGGCCCTAATTTTGATCACAGTTTGAAAGTCCTTAGAGCACTGAAGCATTTACTTGCTCTGGGGAGATTTATCCGAAAAATAAAATATCGTTAGTTGGAATTTCTTTGGATTTGTGTTTTTGAAAGCGTCAGCCAGTTAGTTGATAAAGAAGTATCTTCCAAAAGATCATGTACAACGTTGACTTTTTCTTTTTAAACTTAGAAAATCATTGTAAAAGCATATCTTTGTTTTTGCATGATTGATTTTGGTATTTTATAGTGTAAAACGGGTCTCCAGGAATACTATCTTCACTAATAACCTTAGAGATAATAAAGGTTTAACTTATGGAAGCTTAGCTTGTGACCAATATCTAGGAATAAATTAGAGCTTAGGTACCCATCATATTAGCCCCAGTTTATAAATGAGAAACAGATCACGAAGAAGTAAAACAATTTGCTGACTTCCCCTAAAAAGGCAGCCGGGGTCATGTAATGCCACATTACCAGGCTGAAATGTAATAATGTTTCCCTTTATCTCCCTACCTGAGAAACATGTTTTTCAGACCATGAAGCAAATACTCATATGACATTTGAAGGACTCAAATTTTCATATGTTGGCAACATCAAGTACATTAGTTGATGAACATATTATACTTGTTATCAACTATTACCAATGTTTAAATACCATTAAATTCTAACAGATAAAGACAATTTAGAGCAAGGTAAGTATAAGCATACAGTTGAAGCGGGAAAAGTTCCCTTGTCCCCCTCGCAGGGCGTGAGATGAGGGTGTGACTTGCTTCTTCAGTGCCCCGCTGCACAAGCCTGTAGGGGAGTCTACAGACGGGCAGGGAGCCCCATGGCAGTGTCTAGGGGTGAATGTTTACAGCTCCTGAAGCCCCAATGGGCGTGTGTTACACGGTGCTCTTTTAGTTTAGCCTTCCATAGGCTGCTTGTGTTAGCTCAATTAAACCCCTGCCTTATCACAAGGGCAGAGGGCTTTCTGTATCCTGGGGTTCTTGGGTTGGTGTACCAGAAGAATTGGATCACACATAGGCTCAGAGAATGAGTGCAAGATTTTATTGAGTTGAAGTAGCTCTCAGCAGATGGGGGAGCCAGAAGGGAGATGGTTTTCCCCTGGAGCTCAGCAGCCTGGGCTCTCCTCAGACTGCCCCAGCCAAACTCCGTGTCATTCTGCAGGGGTGGTCTGTGGCCTGCTGCAGTGGTTGGTGGCCTGCCGGCGTGCTGGTACTTGTCGGTGCATTCCTCTCGACGTCCAGCTGCCCATGTGTTCTTCTGCTGATGCACTCCTCTTGATGTCCAGCTGCCTGGATGTCTGCCTGCTAGGGTCTGGGGTTTTTATAGGCACAGGATGGGAGCGTGGCAGGCCAGGGTGGTCTTGGGAAATGCAACATTTGGGCAGGAAAACAAAAATGCCTGTCCTCACCTAGGTCCATGGGCAGAGGCCATGGGGTAAAGCCCTAGCCAGGGATCACGCACTCCTCCCTTCCATATCATTTAAAGGGACCACACTTCCTTTCCCAGCATTTCCTTTCATGTATCACAGTAATGCTTTGGAATTAACCACCTGCTCATCTTGAAAATAAGTAAGTAACCACTTTATTGTTTCAGTGGAAGGCATGTCCCTTCTTCAGACTCAATCTAATCTACCTGGAATCCATCCTTTCCTGCCTTTTCCAGGAAATCGTTATTGTTCCTCACTCTCCCCTACCTTCAACCTCTTTCTCTGTCCACTGGTGTTTATGAGCCTAAATGGTCAGAAAAGGCTCAAGCCTCTCCCACTTTTACACACACACACATACACACACACACCTCATTCAACCAGCTATCTCTTTATCTTTCTTTTACCTCTTAAAACCAAGCTTCCTAAAAGTGTTTCCCATAGTCACTCACTGTCTTTATATCTCTTTTCCCACTAAACACTCAACTCACTGTAACCTAGTTTTTGCTACTTCATTCTTTTTTTTTTTTTTTACAGCCCAGAGGTCCTTTATTTTCCTTTTTAACACCTATTATGCCATGAATTCCTAGGGAATAGATTCCAGCAGCTCAGGCTCCTTCCCATTGGTTCTCACAAAGTGTGCTTCTCTGGGTGGAGCAGGCTGGTGCTTTAGTTGAACCCAGGTACCTTTCTCTTTGGCTTCTTTCTTTTTCTGATCATTTTCCTTCATGCGTTTCAGGAAGCTATCTCAGCTCTTAGAGTGCTTAATATACTCAATACGTACATTAATTCTCTTGGCAAGAATCTTGCCCTTAATTTGTTTGTTTACAACAATGCCAACAGCATGCTGGGTAACATTGTAGACTCTTCCAGTTTTGCCATGGTAACACTTGTGGGGCATTCCTTTTTGAACAGTACCCATTCCCTTGATGTCTACAATATCACCTTTCTTATAGATTCGCATATACGTGGCCAAAGAACAACTCCATGTTTTCTAAAAGGCCTAGAGAACATATATTGGGTGCCTCTCCTCTTTCCCTTTGTGTTTGTCATTTTGGCAAATTACTGGAAGATGGCGGTTCTGGCCGAAAGGTACTTCATTCTTTTACAGTCCTTTTCTCCAAGTCATAAACTACCTTTATTTGCTACATCTGATGCCTACTTCTTTATACTTTCTTTTACTTTTCAGTAACATTTGACACTATCAGTCATTCCCTCCCTTCCTTTCTCTCTCTTTTTTTTTGAGACAGGGGGTCTCACTCTGTCACCCAGGCTGGAGTGCAGTGGTACGATGTCAACCTCTGCTTCCTGGGCTCAAGTGATCCTCCCACCTCAGCCTCAGCCCCCAAGTAGCTGGGACTACAGGTGTGCACCATCATGCACGGCTAACTTTTGTATTTTTAATAGAGACAGGGTCTCACGATGTTGCCCAGGCTGGTCTAGAACTCCTGAACTCAAGCAATCCGCCTTGACCTCCCAAAATGCTGGGATTACAGGCTTGAGCAACCATTCCCAGCTTCTTTCTCTTTTTTTCCTCCCTTCCTCCTTCTCACCTATCGGGGAACCTGCCCCGATAGTCACATAGGTTCTTTTCTCTTTTCCCTAAGCGTCGGCCGGTTTGATAAATAAAGGGACAGAGTACAAAAGAGAGAAATTTTAAAGCTGGGTGTCTTGGGGAGACATCACATGTCGGTAGGTTCCGTGATGCCCTCCAAGCCACAAAACCAGCAAGTTTTTATTAGGGATTTTCAAAAGGGGAGGGAGTGTGCGAATAGATGTGGGTCACAGACATCAAGTACTTTACAAGGTAATAGAATATCACAAGGCAAGTGGAGGCAGGGTGAGATTACAGGACCACAGGACCAGGGCGAAATTAAAATTGCTAATGAAGTTTCGGGCACCATTGTCATTGATAACATCTTATCAGGAAACAGGATTTTGAGAGCAACCAGTCTGACCAAAATTATTAGGCGGGAATTTCCTCTTCCTAATAAGCCTGGGAGCGCTATGGGAGACTGGGGTCTATTTCACCCCTACAACCTCCACCATAAAAGACGGCCACGCCCAAGGGAGCCAGTTTAGAGACCCACCCCCAGGCGTGTATTCTCTTTCCCAGGGATGTTCCATGCTGAGAAAAAGAATTCAGTGATATTTCTCCCATTTGCCTTTGAAAGAAGAGAAATATGGCTCTGTTCCACCCGGCTCACCGGCGGTCAGAGTTTAAGGTTATCTCTCTTATTCCCTGAACAATTGCTATTATCCTGTTCTTTTTTCAAGGTGCCCAGATTTCATACTGCTCAAACATACATGCTGTACAATTTGTGCATTAATGCAATTATTACAGGGTCCTGAGGTGACATACATCCTCCTCAGCTGACAGGATTAGGAGATTAAAGTAAAGACAGGCATAGGAAATCACAAGGGTATTGATTGGGGAAGTCATAAGTGTCCATGAAATCTGTACAATTTATGTTTAGAGATTGCAGTAAAGACAGGCATAAGAAATTATAAAAGTATTAATTTGAGGAACTAATAAATGTCCATGAAATCTTCACAATCTACGTTCTTCTGCCATGGCTTCAACTGGTCCCTCCATTTGGGGTCCCTGTCTTCCCGCAACACTCACCCACCCTCCCTCTTTTCCCCCCTTCTTTCTCTCTTTTTAAGTATCTTTTACTGGCTGAATAACAATTCCTTTCTTTTTCTTTCTCTCGCCCTCACTTTCATCTACTCCCACTTTCTCTCTCCCTTCCTTCCTTTTTTCCCCCTCTTTCTCTCTTTAAGTATCATTTACTGGCTGAGTAACAATTTCTTTCTTTTTCAGAAGAAAACCCTAAACATACATTTACAGGGGATATTGTAAAGGGTCAATAACAGTAAAGTCGCATTGCTTCCCACACATAAAATAAATGTTGATCATCCTTGGATGCTCCTCCAGACTTTTCCTGTGAAGTTCCTCACTCCCATCTGAGTTTCTTCCCCTGCTAACAAATTTCCTGCCGAACTGGCTGCCACTCCCAATTCTCTTCCCCAGTCTTAGGAAAAGGACATGTGTCACCCAGGCTTCAGGGAGAACTTGCCTTCAACTCTGAGGAGAAGGAATGTATTGCCACTAGCTTTTAAGTCCACTTGTTAAAAGAACTGTGAAATCAATCTAGACTTATCCTTTGCATTGAAGTTTATGGCTGGGCTGAGACTAAAGGGGCCATGAGTGACACTGGAAGATCTTCAGACATTGGAGGCTTGCAGAGCAAGCTGTGGGACAGGGAAGGCCACGTGGCAGCAGGGAAAGGATTTGAATGGGGGGCTCCTTGGACAAATTTGGGGCCAGAAGCTAGAGCAAAGGATGGTTGGGGGTAAAAGGGAGGCTGCCAGCACAGGGCATGGGCAACTTACTGGGGTGATGCCTCTCCATGCCTCAGGAAATGGGGTATCCCACGTCAGGGTGTGTCTGGAGTTGGTTCCTTCTGGTGGGTTCTTGGTCTCGCTGACTTCAAGAATGGAGCTGCGGACTTTTGTGATGAGTGTTACAGCTCTTGAAGATGTCACGGACCCAGAGAGTTAGCACCAGCAAGATTTATTGTGAAGAGCTAAAGAACAAAGCTTCCACACCATGGAAGGGAACCCAAGTGGGTTGCTGCTGCTGGCTGGGGTGGCCAGGTTTTATTCTTTTATTTGTCCCCGCCCACATCCTGCTGATTGGTCCATTTTACAGAGTGCAGATTGGTCCATTTTACAGAGTGCTGATTGGTCCATTTTACAGAGCACTGATTGGTCCATTTTACAAACCTCTAGCTAGCCACAGAACACTGACTGGTGCATTTTACAATCCTAGCTACAGAGTGCTGATTGGTGCATTTTATAATCCTCTTGTAAGACAGAAAAGTTCTCCAAGTCCCCACCCGACCCAGAAGTCCAGCTGGCTTCACCTCTCAAAGGGGGGTCACAGAGGCCATCCCCAGTTTCCCAGAGCCAGGGCAGGGCTGTAAAGGATAAGGGATTCTCATGGACCCAAAGGCTGATGGAGCTGGGAGGAAGCCCAGCTGCCTCAGCTGCCCTGGGGTCTCTGCCAAAGACCCCCACTCCGTGGTCTCAGATGTTGCTGCTGTTGCTGCCACCATCAGGCAGTCACATCCCCGGGGATGTCCACCACAGGATCCACCGTCCCCACACTGGTGGGGGCTGTGGATGCTTGAGAGGCTCCTCGGCTGCAAGATCCGGGAACTGAGTCTGGCTCCAGTGCTGCTCGAGGACAGAGGCCCACCCTGGCTGCTGCTGGGATAGATTCACCTACTCTTTCTTGAAACTTCCTCCTCCCTGGCTTTCCATGTTGCAAACTTTCTTTGTTCTTCTACCTCTCTTGTCGTTTCTGTCTCCTTGACTCTTCTTCTGCCTGTGCCAGAAATGTTGTTGTTCCTCATGGTTCCTCATAGACCCCTTTCTTCTATTACTGGAAAATTTCATCTACTTCTGTGTTGTCAGCTCCCATTAGGAAGAAAACGTAAGTTTATAGTTCTACCCCAAATCTCTTCTCCTGAAAGTCTAACTTGGATCTTTACTTTGAAGTCCTACAGACACTTACTTTAGTTTGGATTCCCCTACCCTCAAGTAGAGCCTAGGACTATGGCTTACCTGAATGAAGTTTTTCTGGGAAGGTAATTCCAGGAAGCAGGAGTGAGGGAGCAGGAATAGTGACATATGGAAGGAGAAAAGCCAGTAAAGGGTACATTGCTGAGCTGATAATCACTGTGGGCATAGACTGGTTATCATCATCCATGTCACTTAGAATTGTTTCTCTGGAGGCTGGGGGGCTGGGGCGTTGTTCACCAATTCCCGGCACCCATTGGTTGAGGACTGCCACCAGGAAATGGTAGCTGAGGCACATTTGAGCTATACTTTTGCCAGGTTGAGGGATTTCCCAATTCTGGAGAAAGCTGTGAGGAGAAAAGCAAAAGTGATGGTGTCAGAGTGCAGGGACATGTTCCCCACAGCTGCACTGGCATCAGAGGTGAGCCAACAGGGTAGAAAGCAGGGCACAAAGTGCATTGCTATACAACATTCCAAAACAGAACCAGCTCCCCAGCATCTGGTTCTCTTTTTGTCACTCTATCTCAAGGGCTGGCACGTCCCCTCAAAACCCTTCAGTGGCCCTCCTTTGTACTTAGAATGGCCAGCTTCTGACTATGGCCTTCTGATAGTTGCAGGAGGCAGATAAGGGTAGGGATTGGTCAGTTAGCGGGGGAAGGTTGTCCCCGGACAATCTCTGACCCACCCCACAAGTGTTTACATCAGATGCTTTTGTGCAGATAAGGGAACCTGTCCAGAGTTTTGTCTGTGCATGCCCGCAACAGACTGGTGACCCACCTGCACACTGAGAGACTGGGGTGGAGCCACAGGAATTTCGCACCTTGTGCAGCGGGGAGGAGCCTGGCCGCTTCAGCTCATGTGTGGTGGCCTGGTATTCAATCAGTGAGGTGGGAGACAGTTAGCATACTCCCTTCTTTTTTCACTGAGAGCTTTCTTTTAATAAATTTCCCTCTCCTCACCTTTCAGTTTATCTGCGTTCCTAATATTTCCTGGTCGTGTTACAAGAACCTGGTTTTAGCTGAACTAAGCAGCAAAAAATACTGTATCACTTCTACCCCCGCTTACCTCACCATCCTCATCTCTCAACATTCCCCACCCCACTGTCTCCATTCCAGCCTTGCTGATCATTCAGTTCTGTGGGTACATTGTGCTTTCTCTCATATCTAGGTTTTTACACACGTTGTCCCTCATCCTGGAACATTCTCTCTCCAGCCCTCTTTTCCCTTAATTCTTATTTGCCACCTGTTTTCAGATTAGCTGCAACTTCTTGATGATCGTCCATATCTAGATTAGGTGCCCCTCTGTCTCTTCCTATACCATCTTACGCTTTCCTGTCAGAACACTTGCATGATATTATAACAGCCTGTTCACTTGTCTGGAGCCCTCTCTAGACTATGAACCCTGTGAGGAAAAGATCTGTCTGCATCCTGTTCACCATTTCATGCCCAATGCTTACCGTAGAGTCCTAGACATAGCTGACCCTCAGTAAATGATTGAATCAATATCTCGAGTGTTAATAGAGCATTAATTCTAACTGTGTGGCGGGGTCTCCCAACACGTCTCAGAAAACTTAAGCATTCAGCTGCGTCTTGAAGAGATGTAAAAGCGCTGAGGCTGGATTGTTCAGGATACGATAAAGTTTGGTCGCCTAGAACACACAGTACTCAGTAGAGCATGGCAAAGATGAGACTGGTCTCTCACTTTATGGCCAGATTGCAAAGGGCCTTGAATGATCTTGGATTTTATGGAGTAGACAGCGGTAGAACCATTGAGGAAGTTTTAAGAAGACAGTACTTAGTCATTTGGGTTGTAGAAAGATAGCTGGGTGTGGTGGCTCATACCTGTAATCTGAGCACTTTGGGAGGCCAAGGCAGGCAAGATCACTTGAGCTCAGGAGTTCAAGACCAGCCTGGGCAATATGGAAAAACCTTGTCACTGCAAAAAATAAGAAAAAAAAACTTTAGCTGGGTGTGGTGGTGCATGCCTGTAGTCCCAGCTACTCAGTGGGCTGAGGTGGGAGGATGGCTTGAGCCCAGGAAGTCGAGGCTGCAGTGACCTGAGATTGCACCACTGCACTCCAGCCTGGGTGACAAAGTGAGACCCTGTCTCAAAAAAAAAAAAAAAAAAAAAAAAAAAAAAAAAGGATAACTCAAGGCAACAGGTTAATGGCCATAGAAAAACAGAGGTAAGAAATTCAGTTAGGTCACAATTATAGTAGATAACAAGATCTGGAAAGCAGTAGCAGTGGGAATAAGGAAGAGGACTGGATTTGAGACCTTTTAGAGGTAGATTAGATAAGGACTCAGTGACTGTTTGGAGACAAAGGGTGAAAAAAGAAGCAGTATATACTGACTTTGCATTTGGATGCTTGGGAAGATGGTGATGTCACTAACAGCTGGTGAATATAGTTCAGTTTTAGATAAAAGTGAGTTTAAAGCGCCTGGGTAATGAGAAAAGTTGAGAAAGAAACTGAAAGTTTGAGTCTGCAGCTGAGGATTGGAGGTTGTAGTAGGCTGAATAATGGCCCCCAAACATACCCAGATTCTAATCCCTGGGACCTGTGGATGTTACCTTACATGGCAAAAGAAACTTTACACATGTGATTAAGTTAGGGAATTTTTTTTTTTTTTGAGATGGGAGTGCAGTGGTGCAAACACAGCTCAATGCAGCCTCAACTTCCTGAGCTCAAGCAATCCTCCTGCCTCAGCCTCCTGAGTAGCTTGGACTACAGGCGTGCACCACCACGCCTGGCTAATTTTTTATTTTTTGTAGAGACAGGGTCTCATTATGTTGTCCAGGCTGGTCTCAAACTCCTGAGCTCAAGCAATTCTCCCACCTAGGCCTCCCAAGGTGCTGGCATTACAGGGATGAGCTACCACACCCAGCCAAGTAAGGCATCTTGAGATAGGGAGATGATCCTGGAGATCCAGGTAGACCCTAAATATAGTCTCGAGTGTCCTCATAAAAGAGAGACAGAGGGAGATTTGACTACAGCAGAGGGAGTAATAGATGTAACAGTGGAAGCAAGAGGAAGGAATGATGTGAGAAGGAATCACAATCCAAGGAAAGCAATAATCTCCCAGAAGCTGGAAGAGGCAGAGAAGGGATTCTCTTCTAGAGCCTCCAGGAGAAACCAGCCCTGCTGATACATTGACTTTAGCCTGTTGGAACTGACTTCAGACTTCTGGCCTTTAGAACTATAAGATAGTACATGGTATTTTTTAACCACCAGATTTGTGATAAAGTTGTTTCAGCAGCTATAGAAAACACACAGAGGTATAGGTCAGGGACTAATTGGTAAGGAGCACCAAAGTAGTGGGAATGAGTAAAACTGTCTAGAGGGAGAGGGCCTGTAGAATGAGAAGAGGGGAGGACCAAGGAAGAAACCCTTGAAATTGACTTTTAAGCCTCAGGCAGCAGCAGAGGGACTTCCATGTCTGGCAGTATGACAGACTACATACCTTGAATGATAGCTCACTGAAAACAACTACAAATAATTAACAAAGTATTTTTTAATCTTTTGAAGTGCATGTTTATGCTGGCAGAAGTAAGGAATACTCAGAGGTCAAGTATTATATGCAAGTGGAAACCCAGGAGAGTTTTCCACAGGAGAGGTTTCCATAGGAGAGGTTTCCATAGGAGAGGTTTCCACAGGAGAAGTTTCCACTTGGAGAGGTTTCTTGGGTTTCCACTTGCATCTAATACTTGACCTCTGAGTATTCCTTACTCCTGAGTATAAGCAGAAACCTGGAGAGGTTTTTGCCTTGAGAGTATCTGCCAAATTCACATGAGTGAATAAGTGAATACAGTGGTCAACGTGTACACAGAGTGAGTCTAACTGTAGTCCCTTCCACCTCTGCTTAGAGCTGGGTCCACAAAAGATTACACTGTTTGTGTAAGGATGGGTTACAAATTAACTTACTGCCTTTCCCCAAGCCCCAGAGTATTGTAAGGAAAATTGCCTGCCTTGAGACTTGACTTTAAATGGAGGGAGAAAAAAACATCTCCCCTGAGAACTCATAACATAGCCAGCACTCACACAGTCTTGCAGCTCAAATTCACACTGTTCTTTAGAGTCCAAAAAATTCAAGTCAAGAATTAAGTTCACAGTAAACCTTAATTTGTAGTTTCCAGGCAACTGACAGAAACAAATGCAAACCTATTCTAGAAGTACCCATCTTCAACACAGGCCTCGATGGCTTCTCATCAATAAATTCTAAAAAAAATACAAGCTCATGGTCAAAATCACAAAATGCAAAAGGAAATAATTGCTCTAGTCAGTTTTGTGTTGCTATAACAGAATACCTGAAACTGGATGATTTAGAAAGAAAAGAAGTTTATTTGGCTGACGATTCTGGTGGCTGGAAAGTCCAGGTTTGAACATCTATATCTGGCAAGGGCCTCAGGCTGTTTCCACTATGGCAGACAGCAGAAGGGGAGGGGATACCTGCAAAGAGATCCCACGGCAAGAGAAGAAGCCAGACATTAACAACCTGGTCTCTCCGAAATAATTCATTCTCACAAAAGCAAAAATTCACCCCAGCAGGAGGGCATTAATCTATGAATGAAGAATCCACCCCCATAATCCTTTAATGAGGACCCAAACACCTCCCACTAGGCTCCCACTCCCAACACTGCCACATTGGGAATGAAATTTCAACATGAGTTTTGGCAGGGACAAACCAAACCATAGCAATAATGTAGCATGAGCAAAGGCCAGCATAAACATGAATAACAGAATCAGACTGCAAAGCTTTAGCTATTGAAATTACTAAACACAGAACATAAAATAAGCCTATTAAATATATTAAAAGAAATAAGAGAAAAAAATGAAAATATGCATAAAACATGACCAGAAGATTTGAAGAAGACCTGAAAGAACTACTAGAAGTTTAACAGGTAATATTTCAAATTAAAAATACAATAGACAGGTTTAACAGCAGAATAATCACAACTGGAGAATAGATTCAGATGGATAGATCCAAGAAAATTTCCAGAATGTAGCCCTAAGAGACAGAAAATATGAATGAAAGGTTATAAAACATGAAGACAGTCTTGTGAAAAATATAACAATTATCTAATTGGAGTTCCAGACAGACAGGAGAGAAGGAGAAGGGCAAAGGTAATAACTGAAGAGGTAATGGCTGAGGATTTTTTAGAAATGACAAACCACAGTTTTTAAAAGCCCAACAATCCCAATAAGGATAAATAAAAGGACATTCACACTTAGACATCATGTAGTTGAACTACAGAATACCATAAACAAAGAAAAAAAGTTGAAAAGCAGCCAGAGAAAGATAAGACAGATTAGCGTACTTTCAACAGGGCAATTAGACTTCTTAACAGTTACAGAAGCCAGAAAAAGTTTAACATTTTCAATGTGTTGAAAGAAAATTACTGTCAACCAGAATTTGAATATTATCTTTCAAAAACAATGACAAAGTCAGACACCTTCAAAGAAACAAAAACAGAGTTTGCCATCAATAGACCCTCACTAAAGGAAATTCTAAAGGCTGCTATTTAGGCAGGAAGAAAGGGAACAAGGAAGGTCAGAGATGAATAAAAGAATGAGGAGCAAGGAGAGTGCTGAATATGTGCTTAATTGTAAATAAATATTGGCTACAAAGATCAATAATTTTTTAAAAAAATATCTTTTTAAAAAATAATATCTTAAGGGGCTGAAAAAACAAGATAGAAATGAAATACACAGCTGTCAATAGCATGTAACTGGGAGGGGAGGATCAGAATTAAAGTGTTTATTGTGTGGTAGGATGGTAAAGATATTAAGTTTCCAAGTTAAAATTTCTAGCATAACTACCAAGAATGTATAACTTTTTAACTATAAAGGGAAAAAGTGGAAAGAGAAGAATAATACAAAGTAGATGAGAATAGAGGAAAAAACAAAATATTGAAGGTTCAAGATACATAAAAAGCACAATATAAGATGGTGAAAATAAATCCAAATGTATCAATAAGTAAAATAGACTACTCAATTTATAAGCAAAGACTGACTGGTAGTATATATTGTGTTTTAAAGAATGCAGGTATATTCTCTTAAGTCACATTTAAAACATAAGGATTCAAAAATGTTAAGAATAAGAGCGTGAAAAAAAATTGTATCACGCAGACACTAACCAAGAGGATGTTGGTGTTGCTATATTAGTATCAGACAAAATAACCCTTAAGGCAAAAACCTTCACGAAAGATAAAGAGAACATTTCATAAAGAGTTTCATAAATAAAAAAGGTTCAGGCCGGGCGTGGTGGCTCATGCCTGTAATCCGCGCACTTTGGGAAGCCAAGGCGGGTGGATCACCTGAGGCCAGGAGTTGGAGATCAGCCTGGCCAACGTGGTGAAACCCTGTCTCTACTAAAAATGCAAAAGATAGCCAGGCATGGTGGTGTGCCACTGTAATCCCAGCTACTCGAGAGGCTGAGGTGGGAGAATTGCTTGAACCCAGGAGGTGGAAGGTTCAGTGAGCAGAGATTCCGCCCCTGCACTCCAGCCTGGGTGACAGAGCGAGACCTTGTCTCAAAAAAATAATAAAAATAATAAAAATAATAAGAAAAAAAATAAAAAAATAAAAAAGGTTCGGTCTTCCAAGAAGATGTAAGAATTCTAAGCTGTTAAATACCTAGATAAAGTTGACCAAATCAGTAAGGAGAAAGATTAGAACAACATAATTAACAAGCCGGTGCTAATTAAGTACAGTACATAGAACACTGCACCTAACAGCTACACAATATAGATTCTTTTCAACCAACATGGAGTATTTTTGAAAACTGACCACATTGCTAGGTTAGAATACAAATCTCAACAATTTAAAATTGGAATCATACAGACCACAGTTTCTGAACCTAATGCAATTAAATTAGAAATCAATAACAAAGGGATAACTAGGAAAGTCCATATTTGAGAAATTAAGATATCCTCTTCTAAATAACATGTGGGCAAAAGAAGGAATTATGATGGAAATTAGAAAATACAATGTGTGAACACAAAGACCCTATAATAAAAATGTATTTAATGTAGATAAAGTAAGATCTAGAGAGAAATTACAGCCTTATATGCTTTTATTAGAAGAGATGAAAGACTAACAATAAGTTAAGAAGTTAGAAAAATAATAATGAAATAAAAATAAGTAAGAGAGTAGAAATAATAAAGATAGTAGAAATTAATAATATGGAAAATAAAAATACAACAGAAAGGATTCACAAGGCCAAAAATTATTTCTTTGGAAAGCCTTTTATAGGTAAATATTAGAACAAAAGAGAGGTTATAATTACAGTTGATGGACACATTAAATGGTTAATTAGGAGGATAATGTACGGCAGGGCTATAAGTTGGAGAACTTAGGAAAATGGATAAATTCATAGAAAAAATAGAATTTACTAAAACTTCCTCAAGAGGAAACAGAAAATAATATTCCAAAACATAGTCAAGAAAATGAATTGGTTTAAAATTGACCCACAAAGTAAATACCAAAACCAGGTAGTTTTTTGTTTTCTTTAAAAATTTTTTTAATTATAGAAATTTTAATCATGCACAAAAGTAGAGAAAATTGTAAAATGAACTATGTACCCACCATTCAGCTTCAATGATTGTCAGCACTTGCCTTTCCTTTTTATTCAATCTCCACCCTCATTTTAAAAAAATTGTTTGCTTTGAAATAATTTTAATGTTACAGAAAAGTTCAATAAATAGTACCAAGCATTCACATATATCATTCATCCAGTTTCCCCTGTTGTTAACGCTTTACATACCTATAGTACAATTAATCATACAGATTTTGATTCTCTCCTAATTGATCCATGGATTTAATGAAGAAGCAAGCATATATACAATTTTACTTATATGAAGTTAACAAAAAAAGTCTTATTTTATTTTATTTTATTTTTTTAATGAGACAAGGTCTCACTATGTTGCCCAGGCTGGTCTCAAACTCCTGGGTTCAGGTGATTCTCCTGCCTCAACCTCCCAATAGCTGGAATTATAGGCATGCCCCACGATGCCCAGCAATGTTGTTTTTTTAAAAAAGAACACAAATATATGTGGTAAAAAAAGAAAAATAAGGAACATTTTAATTTCCTTTTATTTGTCTCAGAGATAAATCCATTTATCTCTGAGTGTGAAGGGCTAGGGCTGGGATCAGGAAGGGGCTTACAGAGAACTTAGAAATGTTTATTTTCCTAAACTAGATAGTTCTTGCTATACCTCTCTTGTGCTGGACATTCTGGGCCTCTGCCCTGGGCCCCAGGCTTTGGAGTGCCTTCCTTGGAATGTTCTAAGTCTCTCTCCGGTGCATGAGATCAGCTGGGGAGTGCAGATCAGTCCTGCACCTGAGCCCAAACCTGATCTCACCTGGGTCCCAGTCCTCAGAAGCGCTTTTCTCAAAAGTTGGTGAGTACTCCAGTGACTAGGACCATTGTGGACTGGGCGTGCTATCTGGGCAATGTACCCAATACTCAGAACGGGACTCATGGTCCTGGACCTCCATTTCTCCCCAGGGCACATTTCTCCTTTGGGGCATTCTCCGACTCTCCACCAACCCACCTCTTCACCACCACGAGGTCAACCAGATGCCCAGAGGAGCTTTGAGACTCTCCCCTATGAGATGGTTCCTGGGTTCTGGAGGGTGGCCTGGTGAGTAGATCACTCCCACTGGCCAGTGAGATATTTCTTTTGCAGGATTGCTGAGCCACCAGAAAGGTGAAGACACGCTGATTTGGAGTGATTCTCATTCGTGCTGGACTAAAGACAAAGTTAGGCCTTTGGAGTACCCATGTTCACGGGTGTTCCCACTGCAGGGTCACTTCCAGCAAACAGCACCCGAGGTCAGCAGGGATGGCAGTGGGCATCCTGTACCCTATGCACATCCCACCCATCACTGGCACCCAGGATGGTCCGCAGGCTCTAGGCCACATGTCAGACCATCCCCATGGGTGGCCTTGCCTGACTTCTTGAGGGATTTAGAGGCTGTTGCTCCTCAGTGCCAATGGGCCTTTCCTATCAATAACATCATGGTCTCTCAGGTCTATCTTAAGCCTTTCGGGACAAGGATCTGACCTTTTTGTGCAAATGGGACCGATTTTTGGTCTCTGCCCTGGCCCCTGACTTATCCTCCCTGCTGGTGGTGGGGTTTGGAAGGCAGAGGTGTGGTCAAGATAGAAAGAGATCACATT
Organism: Homo sapiens; assembly: GCF_000001405.40. Taxonomy (NCBI): domain Eukaryota; kingdom Metazoa; phylum Chordata; class Mammalia; order Primates; family Hominidae; genus Homo; species Homo sapiens. Next base: position 62,545,776 of record NC_000002.12, read on the forward strand.
GTAGGAATGCAGGAATCACAGAAAATGAGAGATTCAATTGGAAGATATTTTCTAAGTTTTCGCCATACATTTCCTATCAGTAAATTTAACATGATTGGAAAACAAATTACAGTTCACATTTTCCTGTATGTGAACTGTAGCCCAGAACAATCTTTGAGTGTTTGGCAGCCCTGCAGCATAATGTGTGAGACAGAGTCATGAGTAATGATATCATCGGTATTAAATAAATTATAATCAGGGAATTTCAGAGGTAAGAAGATCTACATTGTTTAAATACAAGCAGGTTTAAAGAGCCATGACATTGTGAGAATTAAGAGCAGTGCAACTTTTTTTCTGATGTGAAAGATATGAAATTAACCAGGAACAGTTCTTTCAATAAGGAACTTGAAGAGATGGTTCCTGAATCTGAGTAAGAAGAGATGGTGCCTGGACTCTAGGAAGAATCTTCATCTGTGCTGATTGAACAATAAACAAAGAATGTCTTTTCTATTAATTACTTTAAATCTTCATGCATAAATCACCATTCCTCACATTGGCCCATAAATTTTGTAGGGCAATTTTAAAATCAAATTGTTCATGTAGACAGGGACCTCACAAAAAAATATTTACTTGTGGCCCCACACACCCTAGGGGCAGCAGTGGATACTTGGATGTTTTTGCATTCTTCATTCATTATCTGTATCTTAGAAATGTTGTTTTATATCTACTCAATATTTAATAAAAACTTCTTTCTAAAATAAGAGACACAAGTAGAGGAAGTGGAGCTAGCAAAGAAGGCACAGAATGAGTAGTTAGAGAGATCAGAAGGGAACTGTGGTACCTAGAGGAATATAATAAATGTTTCTAAATTAATAATGGATTCATGAACCAGGAGAAAGTTGAGAGAAGTTTTGGGCAAGAGATGTGGCCATATTTGTAACTCAATTTGTCAAAGCATGTCATATTGGTTATGCACAATATGAAATCTGAACTCATTTAGAAAATCCTGCCCCCTTGGACCCAAAGCATCTAACACCATCTATAATACCAATCCAAGGTGTTATATTCCAAACTATAATGTTCTATAATCTGTTTTAAAAGTGAATTTCTGTGTAAAATAAAGAGCTTATTAAATGTAGGGTAATGAAGAAGTCTAGGGGGACCCTGTTCCATAACATCTCCATCATTTAGGAACTATATACATTTGCATTTACCTTTATGGCTTTTCTTTTGAAATTTTTGTCCTAATTTAAGTGACATCATTAAAACAAAAAAATGATGTCTATATAATATTGCTTCCTTTACTTAGCTATTTCACTTTTGTGGTTGACTGTTAAATTGTCTGCTTATGGATATACTTAATGAATAATTCTGATTATTTTCTCTCTTCAGTAGATTACTAACCCTACTCATCTTTTCTTAAAATGCAAAGAATGCTTAAATGAATGATTTCCTTCATTTACTCCTTGTTATTAGTTCAGGATTTGTTTTTAAGCTTTGCCAAAGGTTGTTTCCACTACAAAGTCCTGGTCTCTCCTATATGAGGGGACCCTCAATACCACTATAATCTTTTTGCATGCTCAATAATCTCCTCCTTCATTATCTTCAGTGGCTGTTTCAAACTTCAAGCTCTCTTCCCCATTAAGTCATTCCTTTCTCCCCTTTACTCACAGTAAATCAGTTTTCCTCCCCCTCTTCCCACTACTAATATTACTATTATACAAACACACACACACACACCCCTTCCTGATAAATCCCCACTCTTTACCATCAAATTGTCTTCTCCCTTGCTTTCTTCCCATTTCACTGTAATTAGTGTTCTTCATTCTATTCATGATTAAATACTCCAGTGTGTGTTGATCAAACCCCTTCTATTCAGAAACCTCATGCTCTCAACCATTCTCTCCCTCTTCCTCTCTCTCTCATGTACACACATACCTCTACAACTTCCTCCACTCTAACTTTTTCCTACCAGTATATAATCAAGTTAAATCTTACTTAATACTAAACAAATGAACAAACAGATTTTCCTTAACTCAGTGTCCCTCTTAAAATTAGGCTATCCCTCCTGTTGTGAACTGCATGTCCCAGCAGCAGCATTCACAGAATCAACACAGTGAGTAAAATCCCCTAGGATTGACCATTACACACCTGAGCATCCACATGCAGTGGGCCTCCTCAAATTACCCATTTGTCTCCTTCCCGTTATAGTTACTGGGGAAAAAACTTATGCTTGTCTCTTTTTTCTTACTCATTCCTTAGCTGACTACAATTGGTGTCTACACCACTAGCTTGATGTAATGTCTGGGGCTAAGGTCAATAGTTCCTTATTGCCAAGTCTGAATATTTGTCTGCCTTTATCTTACCCAACTGTTATTTGAAGTTATAGACCAAACGGTTCTCAAAACTCCTCCTTTAACTTCCTTCTTCTTCTGAGGTTCCTTCCTCCTACCTCGCTGGATAATTCTCTACAGATTCCTTTAAGGACTTTGGTCCTCCAGGCCCTCCTTAGATGTGGTGTTCTCTGAAGTTGCGTCGTAGACTCTCTATCCTCTTCACTTTTTCCAGGTTGTTGAGATGACGTTGCTGAAATACTTGGCATTAGCTATATTGGGATCAAATTTTGAGACAGAGGGTTTTGGGAGTGGGGATGGACAGGAAGGTTGTAAAGTCAAGGGGGCAAAGTATAATATAATCTACCCTTGGAAATCCTTCGAATAGCCCATGGACACAGAATAGCACTTTCTCCTAATAAGTCTGCACAGTTTTCCTCCAGTGTTAGAAGAAAGTATTGAACTTCAGCTAAGCACCAGGTTACATGACTTGACTTAGGTTTAGAACCATGGAATTTTAAGGGGAAAAACAGGCACAGTATCAGCATCATTATTATTATTATGATAATTTTTAGAGACAGAGTCTCATTATGTTGCCCAGGCTGGAGTGCAGTGGCTATTCACAGGAGCAATCATAGCGCCCTGCAGCCTTGAACTCCTGGGCTCAAGCAGTCCTCCCACCTCAACCTCTTGTGTAGCTGGGACTACAGAACCACTGAGCTTGGCTTGGCACAGCATCTTTAAGCACAAGACCAACACCCAGCATAGGGAGATGTTCAGCCCAGGGAATCTGAAACCTGCCTCTCTTCTCATGTTCATTTGGGGACAGACACTGAGAGGAATGGTGGGAAAAAATCATCACATCATTTTAACTATTGATTTTCTTTCTCCCTATTTTTTGTCTTTGTTTTGACAAAAACAAAGATGTGTACTTGGATTTGCATAAACTAAATGTACACGTGCCCTATACTACCTGTATGTAAATAACTCTCCTGTGTCTCCAGTCTGGTCTCCCTTCTGAGACCAGGCCCACATGTTGGAAATCCCTTTTCTAGGCTGATCATCCCTTCATATTAACACTCTGTAGACTAATCTCATCATTTCCCCCTACCTTTATCCCCAGAACTACTCCCCTTCTCCAGTCCAGCCTGGAAGAATGATACCTTTGTTCAATCACCCAAGCCAAATACCTGAGAATCATTCCTGGATCTCCTTTCTGTGAGCATCCACATTCCATCAATAGCTAAATCATATTCATTCTACTCTCTTCAAATTTCTCAAATTCATCTCCTTCTCTACCTCTCCATCCCACTTCTATTGCCTTCACACTCTTGCCATCTGCCATCTCTCCCTAAAATTATTACAGTGACTTTTAACTGGTCTTCCTGCTTCTGTCTTCTTTTTTTTTCTTTTTTTCAGACAGAGTCTCAATCTGTCACCAGGCTGCAGTGCAGCAATGGCACCATCTTGGCTCATGGCAACGTCTGCCTCCTGGGTTCAAGTGATTCTCCTGCCTCAGCCTCCCAAGTAGCTGGGATTACAGGTGCACACCACAACTCCTGGCTAGTTTTTGTATTTTTAGTGGAGACAGGGTTTCACCATGTTGACCAGGCTGGTCTTGAATTCCTGACCTCAAGCGATCCACCCAACTCGACCTTCCAAAGTGCTGGGATTACAGGTGTGAGCCACTGCCCCTGGCCTGTCTTATTCTTGCTGCATTCCACAGTTAAGAATACATGTACAACACTTAGAAATAAGGCCAAGACAGTACAGTAGGTAGGTCCTTTCAATGTGGTGCTGAAGCATTATTAAATAGATCTACTCAATAACTATTTAAAATTGTTAATGTATCTCCATTGAAGTTATTACTGTTGTTATTATTGGAATTTATAAATTAAGGGCTCACACTAGGCAGTTAGTTACATGTTAACTTGTAGATTTTTGCATGGTAGAGATGCAAAGTTTTTTTTCTGATAGAAGAGGTAATCCCAATGTTTTATTTATTTTGTTTATTTTATTTTTATTTCAATAGTTTTGCAAGAACAGGTGGTGTTTCGTTGTATGGAAAAGTTCTTTAATGGTGATTTCTGAGATTTTGGTGCACCCATCACCTGAGCAGTGTACATGGTACTACTCACTGTGTAGTCTTCCCAGTGTTTTACTGCTCTAACACTAGCCACCAGATCTGTCACTAACTTAAAAAAAAATTAAAAGCTGACATTGGGTCCTCTCTTGATGGTGTATATAAACACCCGTTCCTTAAGTCTCTTAGAACCAGCTTAACCAAATTACTAGTTTCTGCACTATTTAATGAATTCAATAAAATCTTTGACAATTCTCCATTTTTAAAAAGTTTTATTCTTAATTGATGAATAATAATTGTGTATTTTTATGGGATACAATGTGATGTTTTGATACATGTTTGTACTATGGAATGACCAAATCAGGCTAATGAACGTATCCATCACTGCAAATGCTTTTCATTTCTTTGTGATGAGAAATGACAAAATCCACTCTTTTAGCTATTTTGAAAGATATGATACATTGTTATTAACTATAGTCATCATGCTATGCAGTAGGTCACCAGAATCCATTCCTCCTCTCTAACTGAGACTTTATACCCTTTGGCCAAAGGCTTCACTTTTCTCCTCTGCCCTTATCTCCACCATTCTACTCTCTACTTCTTTGGAATTCACCTTTTTAAGATTTTGCACGTAAGTGAGATCATGCAGTACTTTTTTTTTTTTTCTGTGCTTGGCTTATTTCCCTTAGCATAATGTCCTCTAGGTTCATCCATGTTGTCACAAATGACAGAATTTCCTGCTTTTTAAAGGCTGAATAGTATTCCATTGTGTATGTATACTTTTTTTTTTTTTTATCCATTCATCTGTTGTATTTTCTTTTAAAGATGTTCTGGGACTTTCATGTTCTTCACATGTTCTACATAAAATATTGACAATAGATAAACAATAAAGGAAAAGACTTTTAAGCAAAAATCTTCCAGAACTCACAGCACTACTCTGGCCACCACAAAGAAAACAGTCAAGTAAACAAAGGATACTGGAGTTTAACAGTGATTTTTAGATTAATGGCACACTTAAAAAACAAAGAACAAGTCAACCAATCAATTTTCTCTTTGCTATTGAAAGGAGAATAAAAGTGAATCATGGAACTAGATCTTTTGTGTGAAGCAGCTTAAAAAGGGGGGTGGGGGGTGCAGAAGAGGAGAACAACTGTTGCAAATGTAGTGCTGTAATGTGCAAGGTCAAGGATTCTAACACATTTCTGAAAGTCTCTAGATATATTACTGAGTATTATTAGAAAATAAATGCATAGGCCAGGTGCAGTGGCTCACGCCTGTAATCCCAGCACTTTGGGAGGCTGAGGCAGGCGGATCATGAGGTCAGGAGATTGAGACCATCCTGGCTCACACAGTGAAACCCCATCTCTACTAAAAATACAAAAAATTAGCTTGGTGTGGTGGTGTGCACCTGTAATCCCAGCTACTCGGGAGGCTGAGGCAGGAGAATCACTTGAACCTGGGAGGTAGAGGTTGCAGTGAGCTGAGATTGCACCACTGCACTCCAGCCTGGCAACAGAGCGGGACTCCGTCTCAAAAAAAAAAGAAAGAAAAAAAATGCATAGAAACATAAACTATATGGCATTGAAACATACCCTGCTATATAAACATACAGTATGTCACTTTTATCTCTTTATGCATATAACTGTATAAAGAAATATCAACAGTTTGACCTTTTGCCTGAAACTCTTAAATACTCACGAAATGGTCAATTTGATCTTAATTATTAGCTGAAGAACCCAGGAGACTCCACTGCTATCTAGAATCTAGAATCTAGATTCACACCTAGAGGGCCCCACCCATTAACTAAGCTGTGTGTTCCTGTGCCTCCAGACACAATTAACTGTAACTTGCATAATTAAGTCAATAGGCAAGTTTGAATACTGAGACCTAGCTAGAAAAAGTAGCAGCAAAGACAAACTAAGCTGGAATTCGTTAGACAAGCAACAGGAAGATTTGAAAATTCTTCCAGTTCAAGTTGGAATTAAGGTGGCTGTTAATTTCCACCGACTTTCCCAAACTAGTGATATTTTGCTGTTCTCTGAAAAAAGAATCTATCATAAGCACATTCATTCGAGAAAAATAGCATGTTTAAGTTTTCATACCTATTCCCAAGTTACTTTTAATTTTGAACATTGTTCAAGGGCAGAATATATATTGGTTAGGATGTATTCATTGCTGGTTCATCTCCAAAATACTTTTTATGAGGGCTGCCAGCTTCTGAACATCTTCACTCTTGATGGTACTGTACAGAGGGGAGATCTGTGCTCTTCCAAGGAGAGCATATTGAGTTCAAGAGCTTTTTCAAGAAATCTTTTTTTTATAAAGCACCATCTCCTTTGACATTGCCAGTATGGAATGGAATATTCATCTTTCTCATAATGGAATATTATGAGGCTCTACTGGATGTTCATAGAATCCTTAAGAATTATTAAAAATATCATAAATTATTATTTTAGATTTGATGGAGCTAAGCTTCTCCACCACTGCTGCAGTGCCATCATTCTTAATCTACACCAGGAACAAGCCCATGACATAGTTGCTGAAATACTGTTGCATGTTGTACAAGAAGTTGTTTCCAACATGCACTTTGTATTCCCGGATGGAGGGCCATTCTCTGAGGGTGACCCCAGCAGTCATTGCAGATGATCACTACTGTCATCCCAAAACAACCAACATGCTTCTGGGCACCAGCAAAAATCACACCAAACCTGGAAGCATCCACTGCCTTCGATAGAAAGTTTGAGGATATGTGGCAAACCAGTAGTGCTTCCTGAGATCAGATATAAAGTCAGACTCCACTCTGTGCCAGTCATTTGTGCAGCATTACACATCGAAGCTGTAAGGGTGAGGTTCCAGGTGTTGAATCTGGAATTTTCATATAACTCCCAAGTTTAGGGTAGCTGATATTCACGATCTCAAACTTCTTGGATGCTTCTGCAGCTTTAGCTGACCAAGCTCCTGTCACCACATAGTTGGCACACCTTCCTGCTTTCAGGCACTTTGGGTTTAAGGGGACAGCACTGAACTGGCCAGACCCACCTTCTTGCACAAAAATGACCTTGTACAGTAGTTGTTTGGAATGGCTAACAATTCCCACACCAGATTCTCTGTGGTATTAATAATTTTAGTGAAATTGGATGACCTGTTGTTCATTTCAAGAACACTAATGCCAATTCCTTTGTGGTCTAATAATTATTGTTCTATCTCTAACAACACTGAGCTCAGCACCTTGGTGGGCCCAGGGCCGAAGTTGACCACCTGCCTTCATGGTGTGATGGAGGGTAGGGAATCAGCTGGGGGGGGGACCTATTGTGTGGGCAGCATGCATCCCCCCACCTGCAGTGGCAGGAGCCTGTTGACCAGTGTCCATTCTCTATTAATATGTGACTCATGTTTTTAAACTCTTTGGAAATTATACTTTGACATCATACTGCTACTAATGAATTGTTTCTAACATGCTTATCTGATCATATTATTTCTCTGCTTAAATTCCTTAATGGCTGCGGGTAGCCTTAATAACTGATGCTCATACTCCTTAGTTTGACACTTACATGTCCTTCATGCCTACTTTTCTAGCCAAATCTCTTCCTATCCCCACACAAACACTATATTCCAACCACACGGCACTATTAAATAAGCAATGTGTTTTTCTTTTTGTACCTGCTGCCTTCTTCATCTAGACCTCCTCCTCCCATTCCCACTGCCCTTTCCCTCCTTTCCCTCCTTTCTGTCTTATTTATCCTTCAAGATTCAGCCCAGGTGTCATCTCCTCTGGAAGCCTCCCCAGATCACCCTTGCTGGATTAAGGTGTTTCTTTCCTCTGCTCTCCTTGTACTTACACACATCATGCTTTCTCCAATTCTTCATTTACTTGCCTGTTTCCGAGACTAAAAGCTAGAGTATAAGCTCTTGAGCTAGGAACTGAATTGACCATCTCTGAAGTACTTATATCCTGAATTTACTGTTACAAAAATGAACTATTTGCCTCATCTGTCTCTGTAAATAATCAATTTATATAGTAAAATTATGTTAAGTGTATTGACTGCCAGCGATGTACTAAACATAAGCAGAGGTACATGTAGCCTCTTCCCAATGGCCCTAGCTCCTAAATTTAACCATTATTAGTTAGGCTCTTTTCCTTGATGCATTCTTAATGTTATAGTCAATGAAAAAAAATAAAATTTCAATCATGCCGTTGTCTAATAGAGGTTGTTCCATCCTTCCCCATCAGATAGTCATTAATATTCTCAGAATTTTAACCATACTTAAAACTTGGCCTACAGTCAAACAGTATTTATGAACATAAAAGTGTTCCCATTTTCCCCAAGAAATATAAAGAAAATTATCACTTGCTGGATTTAAGCTAAGTCATCCCCTGGTAGATTAAGTGTTCATGGCCCTCTGATAATAGCATGTGCCACAGCCTCACCCAGTGTATTGTGTGGGCCCTTGACTGTACTTTCCTCTCAACTACTTCCAACTGTGGGTCATCCACTCAACAGACATTTCATTGTGTGATTTCCTATTGACAAATGTCTTTCTTGTGCTTTTTGTAATGCTGTTCTGTTTGGAGCAAGTTTGTTCCCTTTGGCAGAAAACACTATTCATGAGAAAAATTTTCTAATGAAAAAAATCCTAGACTTTGGTGCTGAGTATCAGCAGCATAAGGAAAAGCACAACTGTGTGAGGATTAGAACTTTATATGTGTAATTGACTTCAGGCTCCAACCAAAGACAGCATCAGGATAAATCCTCTTATGCTTTTACTTGCTCTGAACCACCTCTCAGATGTCCAGGTTCATGGTAAAATGTGTTTCATCTATGCCTGAAGTATCTTGAGGCTCTAAATCTTTGCAAGAGTATTTTATTCCCTCATCCATGTTAGAAAAACATCACCAGGAAGGCAAACATAGTTACCTGATGGTCTCATGTTAGACTTTTTGTTTATTTAGGTAAGCACCTCTTCCTACTAGTGGACTCATCTCAGAAGATTTCAAAAACAAAAGTCTCAAGTGACGTGGATATTTCCACCTGGTTGTAGTGGGATAGGCTGGATTGATGATTTTTCACACTAAGCTCTGAGTGTTCCAATGAGTTCCTTGGAAGTCTCTCAGGATCAACAGGGGTGAGTGGAAGGGGCTCCCCACTCCAGTTTCAATATGAGATACTCTATTTTTGTCCATTTTATATAAGTTGATCTCTAATCTGAATTTCATTTGAAAAAAGTGTTCCACTGCTTAAAGGTAAGTTTAAAAAGAGAACAGAACTAGAATACTTCTAAAAAAATTCAGTAGTTAGCTTACATTGCATACAAATAAAGTAGGCATGGGATATTGATATTGCTGTTAATTCAAAGCAGTAACACATTTAAAAATTCATTTATTCTACAAACATCTATTGAGTTATGATTGCTGCTAAATATGTTCAGTTTGAGATTCTACCCAGTATGATGGGATAGTGTTTTTCACAAGGTACATGGCTCTTTGCAGATGTCCAACACTCTATAAACTACATAGCTGGAAGGGAACCCGGGAATTATCCAGTCTACCCTCTTCCTTTTTAGTCAAAGAAACTAGAGTAGAAAGAAATTAAGTAAGTTGAACAATGATACTTCAGGCACCAAGTGGGCAGCTGAAGTAAATCCACATGCAGCCTGCCCTGTGTGTATAAAAATAATGCATCTTGGGGATGACAGAGGAAACTAAAATATGTTCTGTCTTATTTTATATTACAAGACTAACTCTGTTCATGTCAAGTTGCTAAACCATTAATACATAAAATTAAGAAAAAAAGGTACTTTTGTATGTTTGAGAAACATTGTGAGAACCAGTCTCTAAATATGAATTCTTGTCTTCCCTGTTTCACTGCACTATGTGCAAAAATTTGTTTCCAAAGAGATCAAGGAGGCATACACACTGATTTATCCTATGGTTGTTATGAAATTCTGCCTACCCTCAATCTTGCTCCAAGGTCCTTTCCACTGCAGCAGTCAAGCTCATCTACTATCCCAGTCCCACTAGTGCCAATACCTTGACCTTCCCATGAGACGTTAGGAATCTTTGTGGCTGCTGGGATAGGACTGGCAATGGAACAGGGAAAGACTGAGCCAGGCAAGACCATTAAATCCAGCTGTCCCTGGGCCAGGTTCGTGTAAGAAGAGAAATGGCTTTCTGTGGACAGATGCAAAGCTGAGCTGCCAAGAAGTTTGATGGGATGGTAGAGGAGGTAGTTCTCTAAATATTGGAAATCCCAAGCCTGTGGAAGGTGATGGCACATAAGGAAAGACCTCACACTTTGGAGCCGATGGACTTGGCTTTAGAATCCCAGCTGCACCTCTTACTGGCAATGAGACTTTGCAAATTTATTTTAACTTCTCTAAGCCCTCAGTTTCCATCTCTGTAAAATATGGTTGTAAAAATGCCATGAAATAATGTATGTAAGGAAATTCATTAGCACAGTGCCTAATAAATTTCAGTTTCTCTTTTCTTTGCCTTAAATTCCTTAGTTTTCTCCCATCTCAGGCTCTCTCTCTCTCTACGTCTCTATGAAACAGCTCTGCTAAAGAAAGATGCAAACTTTTGATAATCTACCCTTGAAGAAAAGCTCCTTGGAATTTGGACCTACAGTTTGAAAATTTGGCATGCTACACCAACACTACAGTGACAAGGGAAAAAATTGTTTGTGACAGAGAAAAATTACCTGCAATTTACAATACCCAGCTGCCTCCAAAGGAGGTTCTTTGCTGAACAGAGTGATGGGTATGAGGATGCAGGGTTAAGAGAGTTCACCAAATTGTTCTGCATTAGAAAAATCCTGTTTATTCATTTATTGTAGGAGGTAGGCAGGGGTGAGTCAGGGTGAATGGAAAATGAATGAGATCCAGAAGAACCAGGGAAAATGTGGAGCCTATGTGTGGCAAGATTGAAGGGTGGGAAAGTGGCTAAGGGGAACTTTCTGAGGAGACCCCAGATGTTAAACAGGAATTTTTATTAAAATTTGCTATGTGGTGCTCCATATAATCCTTTCATGCCTTTCTCCATAAAACCTACAATAATATCTATATTTCTTATCACTATGTTGAAGGAAATTGAGTTTGTTCTTGTTGAGAAGTACAAGAACAAATTGAAGTGTTAAGTCCCACTTCAAGGTGTTTGTGACCCCAGGACAGGGCTGCCTATGAGGCCCAGGAACATCTGGGTCCCATTACTTAAAAATCAGCAACCTCTCCTCTGGCTGAAGACATGCATTATTTTTAAAAAGCAGAAAGAAAGAACCAACACCTAGAAACCATTGTCTTGGGGCCCAGGACAATACGACTCAGCTCTGAAGGATAAAGGTAGAGTTTTACCAGCCAAAGGTACACAAAGTCCAAAAGACTGGCCTTAACTCAGTGATGTAGTTTGGATATTTGTCCCTGCCCAACTCTCATGTTGAATTCTAATTCCCAGTGCTGGAGGTGGGGCCTGGTGGGAGGTATTTGGTCATGGGGGTGGATTCCTCATGGCTTGGTTCTGTCTTCATGATAGTGAATGGGTTCGCAAGATATCTGGTCATTTAAAAGTGTGCGGCACTCCCCTACTCTTTCTTTTGCTCTTGCTCTGGCCATGTGACATGCCTGCTCCCCCTTCACCTTCCACCATGATTGTAAGCTTCCTGTGGTCTCTCTAGAAGTCGAGTAGATGCCAGCACCATGCTTCCTGTACAGCCTGTAGAACTGTGAGCAATTAAACCTCTTTTCTTTATAAATTGTCCACTCTCAGATATTTCTTTATAGCAACGCAAGAATGGCCTAACACACTCAGAACTTCTCTATGTACCTCACAAAATGGTTATAAGGCCCTCAACTCTTAATCTTTCTATTGTAAACATTGTTGATATTGAGAATATTTACCTGATGCTGCAAAATTTGTGTGAAAAGTCAAAGAATAAAAGTGTTTAATAAATCCCAAGGCAGAGACTTTCATTTGACTGAGAACTCTTTCCATGGCCAGACAATCAACAGCAGCAGCTTTCTGAGCTCATCTGTGAAGTAATGGGATAATGGATTAGATTTTCAGAGCTTCCAGCAGAGCTTGTGGTCACATTTAGCTCCATTGCTCTACTTCCCTCGTGATTCTCTTTGCTTTTTCACAGTGGAACAGGGCCTATTAGCAAGCAAGAAGTAGCTTTTAAGAAAAAGGTCACATTAAAAAAAAAGAAAGAAAAGAAAAAGGTCACAGAAAAACACATACCTTGAAAAACTGATAGGAGTAGAAATTGGATATGGAGAAAGATGACAGAGTCCAAGAGAGCATCCAGGAAGCTTTTAAGGTTTGAGAGTGTTACATAGTACACTACTTTGAAATAATAGCTATTCAAATGAATAAAGCTAAGGGAATTTGTTGTGGAAGCTTAACTGCTTCAAGTCATTGGTGAAACATCCAGAACAGCAACCATTTTAACTGGAAAATTGGTTTCTACAAAATGATCAACAGGTACAAATGAATGGATGATGCTCTATTGCAAGGACAACATGAAGATAGCCCTGAACATGCTACAGTGAGCTGCCACATAAACCAGCTCTGAGAATTGAGTATCATAATGTAGAGGAAAAAGTGTAAGATTTAGAATTAGATGGCCTAGATGAAAACCCAAGCTCTAATACTTGCTACTTGCCAAATAGTAGGTCACTCAGTTCTTCTGAACCTCAATATCATCTTCTATAAAGAGAGGTGTTGTACCTCACATGGTTGTTAAAAGTTCCAGTGAAGAAAAATGCAGATGAAAGCACTTTTCCATTTTTTTCTAATGATGAAAGTAATATATGTTCAATGCAAGCAACTTACAAAGCAGAAAAATGCTAAAGAAGAAACCATAATCTTACCAATCAAGGAGAACAGATAGTATTTCAATATGTCTTCTCAATTATTTTATATGTATGGGTGTGTGCACGCACACACACATACACACACAAATACACTTCTTTTTAAACAAAAATAACATCTTGAATGTGCATACTATTTTTGTAGCCTGCATTTCTACTTAGCAATAATATACTGCAAAATATTTCCCATGCCAATATTCTTCTACCAAGTGTTTAGGAAAACACTTAAAACTGTAAATGGCCATTCAAATATCAGTAGTTATTATGAAAATATGAATGAATGAATATTCTCATTTTTCCCTCTATACACACCAAACCTGAAGCACCCAAAAAGTCCCCCTGCATCATTTTATTGGCAGTTTTCTAAATAAGCTATAAGGTGAACAGAATCCTTTTCTTCTATCTTTTTTTGTTTCTTTCATGATCTTTTTGATAACTAGGAAGAAAAAAGCTACAAAATGAGATTGCATGCCAGCATATTTTACTTTAAATGCCTTTGATTTATTATCTTCAAATTTGCTTTTCCAACGATGCATGGATTCTGTTGAGATGTGCTACGTGTGCACCCTCATGCTTTCCATTAACATAAGTTACAAATAATTACCCTGAAGTCTGGACCCACTGCCCTTTTGTTTTCCATATCCAAGGTCTTTTGCTCTCATGAAGAATATATACACTTTTTCTATTTACACAAGTAGAAAGTAAATTGCAGCTCTGATTTGGGAGTGGCACAAAAATGATGAGTGGGCAAGTTAATTTGGTATGAGGATGTTTTGCCCATCTCAACTGACCTGGATTGAGATTTGGAGATGTGGGAACTCATTCCGACTCTCATTATTCATGCATCTTGAGCAAACCACTCACCTTTCCTCAACCTTGGTTTCTTCATCTGTAAAATGTCAGGAATAGAGTAGATAATCTCTGAACTTCTAAGATTTTAAGGCCACATTTGGAAAGTCAGGTGTGCATTCTGATGGAACACAGGAGATACAGTGGACAGATATGCCCCAGAAGAGCTCTAACCAGCTGCTTAAATAGTGAAAACTCCTGTGCCACTTTTTTTTAAACCTTTTAAATGGCTTTATGTGCAAATAGTGAACAGATGTTGTACCCATAAATTCTACTTTCCAAAAACAGGAGCTTTTTAAAAGAAAACCACATAATAACTTTTAAAAGGTGCTGGGATTCCTCCACTTCTAGATCATTGCTAGGCTAGAAAAATAAAGTTTGTTCTATCAGGAATCACAAGTTAGAACTGAGTATTCTCCAAAGTGGAAATTCTAGAGTGTAGTGTCACTCCAGGCAAAGATTATTCAGTTCTCATCCCCAACATCCACAGCTACCTATCAGAAGGGTTAAACCAGGTCAAAACAGTCCAGCATAATTAGGCTTCATCCAACAATGTCATTATGCTCTTCTAAGATACAAATAAACCAAAACAGGAAATACTAAAATTAAAATAATATTTGACACTGTCATACAAATTGTTATTTCCTTGTTGTATCCCCCACTTCTATAACATTAATAAAGGGAATATTTTACTGCCAAGAATATTTTATTTTATACATCACTGGCCATGAATTTTTGCCATTAGTTATTATACAAATGCTGCCTAGTGCCATTATCCAAATGGCATAACCATTTTATGTCCACAATTCACTTCTATAGTTATAAGTAGAATTTTCATGATTTACATAAGTACATCTATCAGTGAAGATTTAACACTGAGATGCAATCTAATGTCCGTAATATGTGACGTTTCGTAGATGACAATGTAGGAAAGATATATTTTAATCACTTTTCATTTAAGTGACCTTATGTAAAAAGTAAAGTAATAATTTAGTAGTTCCAAGTCTCCAGAGGGCATTTTCAAATGTACATAAAAGAAATGGTTACAGAGATTTTTTTTAAGAAGCATCTTCCATGTCCACATCCTCTTGTAACTGCTGTACCATTTTCTCTTACAACTGCTTTCCTTTGCCTGCAAGAGGGGCTAGGATAAGATGGATGTTTTGCTTGACTTCTTTGAAGTTTCTGTAGCGCTTTATTTTTCTTCAATCTGTTCACTACAAATTTAGCTTGGCGTTTCTGTTTGATCTCTTCAACTCTCTTTATTGCCTCAATAGTTTTATTCCATAGCTCTCACTGGTATTTGATAGGTTCATTTCTACGTTTTTCAAATTCAAATGAATTATCCACTGTAAGCTCTTTATCAGCTGCTTTCCAGAATGCTTTGGTCCACCCAACTTTGCGAGGATTGCGCTTCTTTTTAAAGTTTTTATGATATTTAGAGTTACAAAATCTGAACACCTTGCAATTGTTCTGGACAAACATCATGCTGTGGCCAGGGTAGATGGACCCCGAACAGAAATAACACTTCTCGATACACATGTTGAACCCACCAAACAAACGTCAAGCTTGAGAGCCCTGTGCCACTTATTAAATGTACCCCTATTGGAGCTTCCCAAGTGCTCTCACTTCCTAATCCCTCCCCCTTCAACTTCCCTGGCTTTCCCCCTGTATCCGCCATTCGTCTAAACTCCAGCGACTTTTCCAGCTGTCATCCATACTGGTTGGTCAGTGCCCAACTATTTAACGGTTTTAAAATATTTTGAATATCACCCCGGATATAAGAAACTCTTTTGCGTCTCCACTGCACAATACATACCTGCTCACCATAGAAGCTAAATCCTTGTGACTGAATCCTCTGGGGCTCACAAAGTTGGAGACTATGTTTAAAACTGGCCATTTTTATGGAGGTTGCAGTGAACCAAGATTGCGCAACTGCACTCCAGCCTGGGTGACAAAAGCAAAACTCCATCTCAAAAAAAAAATAAATAAATAAATTGGCCATTTTTACATGTAATAGGTGAAAGTAAAATGAAAACCTTAACTGGACTGTATGAGTTTTATCAACAAGTGTAAATCAGATATATTTATTTTTCTATGTGTACAGGTGTTTTATTGTTTTAAAAAATAAAGGGAATTTTTGAAAAAACTTTAGTTCTAGACTTTAAAATAACAGAACATACAAATGTGCTCTCTTTTTAAAGCATCTTTATGGAGGTATAAGTCACATACCATAAAATTCATCCATTTAAAACATGCAATTCAATGATATTCAAAGAATTTTACAACTATCATTGCAATCTAATTTTAGAATATTTTTATCCACCCCAAAACCTTAGCAGCCACTCCCTATTCCCTTCTGCCCTCAGCCTCTGGAAACCTCTAATCTACTTTCTGTGTCTATGGATTTGCCTACTCTGTGTATTTCATATAAATGGTGTCATAGAATATGTCAATTTTGTGATTGGTTTCTTTCACTTACCATACTGTATCAAGGTTATGAGTACATTTTTGACATCTGAATCAAGTTGAAACCAGAAGCAATCCTGGGCAAAATTTGAAGGACACAGTAGTAACATTTGGTTTTGGTATCCTCTGACCTCTTCTTCTAGATCCAGCTCTACCTTATCCCCCAGGCCTTTCCTCCCCACGCAGTTTCCCAATTTTGGTATTATCTCCTTCCCTACAAACAAATCTCTTGTGAAATACCTGGACCTATGGAGATCTGTTTTATCTTAAAACTCCCTGAAAGTAAGGAAACATGAGCAGTAAGGACTCAATGTACTATTCTGCCCAATGGTAATTGCCTTTAGAGGATAATTCCTTAATAGCAATAATAGTTTTCATTTTGGAACCCTAACTAATGGCTGGGTTCTGCACTAAACACTTTGTAATACCTCATTCTTGGTAACTAGGAATTAGGTAATAGGTCATTCTTGCTAACCAGGCAGGTGTGTACTAGTATTTTCATTTTACAGGGAAGATGGTATGGATTCAGAGAAGTTACCCACCCAAAGCAACCCATCTATTAAATGGCAGAAGCAGGATGTCCATCAGGTGTATTTGATTTCATGGTTCATGCTCTTCATTGCTTCATTCACATAGCCCAAGACACGGGTTTTTCACATTTTAGTATCTCTGAAATTGGGATGTTTCTTATAATTGATGATGTCTTATTATACTAGGCCTTGGTTTTTCTTTCTTAGTGGTATATAAAACAGTGATGCATCTTACAGAGGTTTATATCTTTGATTTTGATAAAAGCTGGTAGCAAACAATATTGACTTTCTAAAGGAATTAGCCTTTAATAATGGAGTTTTAGGCATTAGTGACAGAGGTAAAGAGAGAAGGAGTTGGGTTTTGAGGGGAAGTTCCTTCCTCAATGTAGCAATGTCTCACATATACAGATGCCTATCTTCTTCTTCTGTGGATAAAAGTGACCCGGTAAGTGCTAACCTCATGATGCCTTAATCACAAACACTGCTCCTTTGAAATATCTAAGTTTTTACATTTCGGTATAGAGAGGTGATGGTCTTGCAACATCAGTTTACCATTGGAGTTATTCAAACAAATTGATTTTAATTGAATTTAATTTTGAAAACATCATGACATTCTTAAATGAGAGGGAGAGAAAAGGACTATCATTCACTTGCAATTATTTTTCTCATCCTTATTTTCTCTGTTTCTAATAGCACATATAGATGATAAAGTTCCAACTCTAAAAAAGTTGAGGAATCACTGACCTACAGCAAAGTGACATTAAAATAGATTCATATTTGCAATGCCTCGTATGTTTCTCCTCATGTATTTTCTTCTCACACTTTCTGCCCACATTTTTGAGAAAACGATTATAAATAAATACAAATTTTTGTGCCCAAATAGTTCCCCTCCTCACATTTTGCTTTCTGCTTTCTAGCGGAGGCATTTGAAGTGTCCTTGCAAGAGCAGAAAGTGAAGTAGAAGGAGGCAGGAGGAAGCACGTATGTAAGTATTCACTTGTAGTTTGGTCAGGTTGCACTCACTTGTGAAGGAAAGAACAGGTGAGTACAACCTGACCAAGCTATAAATCACAGGACTGTTGGTTTTCCTGTTCTATATGGACATTCATCCACCTGAGCTGGAGTCAGGGCTTTCTTTTTCTGGAGCGATTCCAAATAGAAACTGAAAAGGAGGCCAGGCATGGTGGCTCATGCCTATAATCCCAGCTATTTGGGAGGCGAAGGCAGGTGGATCACCTGAGGTCAGGAGTTCCAGACAAGCCTGG
Organism: Homo sapiens; assembly: GCF_000001405.40. Classification (NCBI taxonomy): domain Eukaryota; kingdom Metazoa; phylum Chordata; class Mammalia; order Primates; family Hominidae; genus Homo; species Homo sapiens. The sequence goes on from NC_000002.12 coordinate 62,564,146, forward strand.
CAATATGGCGAAACCCTGTCTCTACTAAAAATACAAAAATTAGCTGGGCATGGTGACATGTGCCTGTAGTCCCAGCTACTGAGGCAGGAGAATCGCTTGGACTTGGGAGGCGGAGGTTGCAGTGAGCCAAGATAGCGCCACTGCACTCCAGCCTGTATGACAGAGAGAGACTCCATCTCAAAAGAAAAAAAAAACTTAAAAAGAGAGACAGAGAGAAAAAGAGGGGCAGGGGGGAAGGGAGATGGAGGAGAAGAGGAGAAGGAGGAAAAGGAGAAGGAATGAGAGAGAAAAGGACTATGATTCACTTGCAATTATTTTTCTCATTCTTATTTTCTCTGTCTCTAAAAACATATGTAGTTCATTCAACAGGCATATTTTCAGTGCTAAGGGTCAGGCATTATGCTGAAATCAGGTAACTCAAAGGAGACAGGGCGGATCCAGTTCTGCTCTCTTGGCACTTTCAGTTTAGTGGAGACGACAGACACCAGAAAAATGATTGTACAAATATATCATTACAAAATGTGACAAGTTCTATGAAGATAAGAACATAAGCATGAGCATAAGTAATAAAGGGACTCAAAATAGCCTGGGAAGGCCTGCCTTCTCTGAGAAAGTGATATGTTGAGCTGAAAGTGAAGGATGCGAAGATACAGTCCTCTCTCCATGGGGAGAGAGGAATCGAGGAGGACCTTGGAGTGGGAGAGGTGGGTCCTGTTCAAGGAACCAGAGCCCAGAAGGGTCTTGGGAGGGCAAGGATGTTCTGAGAGGAGCTGGAGAACTGGGTCAGACCTGCAGGGCCTTGCAGGCCACATGAATGATTCCTCCCTTTATCTTGTGAGCATTGGAAAGCCACTGAAGGGTTCTAAATGGAGGTGGGGAGGGGGCTGGGGGTAACATGATCACACAGTACTTCTAACAGCTCCCTGTGGTTGCTGTCTGAGAGCAGATTGAAGGATTGTTCATGAAGGTAAGGATGAGATGTGGATTCTTGCCCCACTTGCCCAGACACGGGATGACTGAGGCAATGGATTGACGTTATCCAGTTCTTGGTTTCCTAATGAGTTTAATCGTGTCTGTTATACCCAGCTTACACGATTGCTGTGAGATTCAGATAAAATGGTGGATAGGTGTTTTGAAGAAGCTCAAAGTGAGACACAAATACAAAAATTAATTTAGAATGGCAAAGCCCCACATAGCGAAGCTTCTGTGGTAATAATTACAACAAAACAGCTACCACTTATTAAACACATATTTTGCAGTTAGTCCTCACAGTAACAATATGAGAAAGGTATTACTGGGCCTAATTTAGAGCTGAGCAAACAGACTTAGTAAGTTAAACAATTTTCCCAAGGTCGCAGCTGCCTAGCATTAGAACTAGGATTCAAACCCAGCTGTGGCTGACTCTTAACCCACATCTCAAATCACTCTTCTTACATCTTCAATGTTTTTCTCTTAATTGATCACATTTGTTGTGAGAACTACAGAAAGAATAAGTGCTTAAAATGGTAACTCATTTTGCCCTCACATCCTGTTTATGAATATTCCTTAGCTGGACAACTGGAACGATAGCAGATAAGAGCTGAATGTCAACAAGTAAGCAAGTCAAGCTCTTCACTAGACTTGAGAGAGACTGGATAATACTTTAGGAGTGAAACAGATGGTTATGATTATTCTGTGTTATTTACATGGCACCAAGGAAGTTTGATTAAATAAAAAATTTGTTTCATTTGAATGTTTTGGCAAAAATGCTGTCATCCAGACAAGCAGAATAGGACAGATACCCACACACATACACACATACACACACACACACACACACACATTCACAATGGAATTAGTATATACATTATAAATACTAGTTTGGAGAGAGATATATATATATATCCACAGTGGAACTTGGCCTGGTATATATATATCCGCAATGGAATTGGGTCTGGTTTCTGAGCTTTGGACTATTCATGAGCTTAAATTTACAGCAAAGGGTCAAATATCAGAAATTCTAAGTTGTCATATACTCCTGCTTCCTTACACCAAACTAAGCCAGTTTTGATGAAAAAAAAAAATTGTGTGATATGGAGTATAGATAAAAGAGCAAACAGACTTCTTTTAATAACACGAGATTTAGGAATTAAACATAGCAGGCAGAAGATCCTGTAGGAATTTCAAGTGATATTTTACGATGGTTCACTAAAGGATGTTTTAAGCCTTGGTTTACATAGCATGCTACTTTATATAGCACTCTTTATTCTTGGGATCCCTGCAAGAGGAGATATTGTATTGATATAGATAATCATCTCTGCTTCCTTCCTATCTGGCCACGTGGGAAGGGAATAAACAAAAATAATATCTAGCTTATAGGAGAAGTAGGAAAGAAGTTTTAGAAGAGTATAAAGGCCAATATAAAAAAGAAATGTGAGGTAGTGAATATTTTGAGTAGGACAATCTTATATAATGGATCTCCTAAAAGATAAATACAAGTTGAAAATGTATCTGAATGTTTTAACAGAACTTTCTAAGAATTACTAATGTTATGGCCTTTTCAAGGAAATATCTACCACATTTTATAAAATACCCAAAGGTCTTATATTCATTTATCATTTACTCTTCTTTTAATTATATAATTAGTGGTTGTTCTATTCATTACACATTTATGAAGCATATGCCAGAGACTTTGGGCATTTAAAAGCTACAAAAAGACAGAATTCTTGCCCTTGGCTGCTTAACATTTGGTTGGAGGGGCCAGATATCTAATATGATTACAGGACAAAAGCAATACAACAGCTCAAAAACAAATCCCAGCCTTCTCTGAACAAGGAGTTATAATGGTTTAGAGTTTGTTGTAACCAGATCACTTGCTCTCTAACTTTTTAAATGTTTGTTTCTACTTGAGAGGAAGTACTGATATATATACAGCAGGAGGAATTAGTAACAAAACAAACACCATCTCGTCCTGCTAAAATATAGTCTAAAGCTATTCTGTTATTTAACACTACTTGTATTAATGAAAAAAAAGGGTTTTTTTTTTTCCATTTAGTAAGACAGGTGCTATGAAGATATTGGCCATATGACATTGAGGCCACAAGCTGGGGAGAGCTGAACTGCAACATTTCATAGAGTAAATAATTTGAAGTTCTTGGTTCAATCCAGAATAGAGTGGGTGAAGATAAAGAACAGAAGGAGAGAAGAGCCAGTGAGATAAAAGGGAGCTGGTGTTAGACTAAGGCCCCTATGATGCTTACATGCCATCTTGAAATAGTTTGCATCCTTGTGACTCAAATTCTTCTTTCTCTCACTCTTCCCCAGGTGCTGTCTGTAGTATTTTACTCTTTTGAAGGATGCTTTATGCAGAGGAGTAGTTTGTTGTTGTTGTTATTATTGTTTGTGTGTGTAACTGTCAAAGAAGGAGCTGAGTTTTATATAATGGATCTTAAAGAGGGCACCTAAGGGAGCAGGAGGGAGAGGAGGCCCTGAGAACCTATGGCTCAGAGGAGCCCCCAGAAATGTTAGAGGATCATGACTATGAAATTTTATCCAGGTCTCAGAGGAAAGGAGGAGCAGCTGACATCCAGTTTATACAAATAAAGAAGATATGATCCACATTGATGGTGTGTATGCATGTGTGTGTGTGTGCGCATGCATGTGGTGAGGAGGGAGGCTTAGAGAAGAGGCATTTTCATCTAAACCTTGGAGGAAATGGTGTTTTGGGATTGGCTGCAGGATGGCAGGTGGGCAATAGAGAGAGGCCTAGCATGAATGAGAACATCTGCAGACACACACACACTCTCACACACAGTGTATAAATGAGAATATTTTGACTGCAGCTGGAGATTCACTGTTTTAAGATCTCTTCTTTGCCTTGAAGGAATACATTTTTAATTCTTCTTCAATTTGCTGATGGTTCAATAAGAAATAAGGCCCGAGATCTGTGATATTCAAACTTGTTTTTAAGCAACAGAATCTTATCTTCAAACAAAATCTTATTCCAAACTGCAACATGTAAAACAGATCAACTCAGCTGCCCTGGTTAAGAGGTGAAGGTCTTGTCCTTTTGTACTCCCTCACACCCAACCCTCAGCATTCCTGGGGCTCTATGGAGCACAGCCCCAACACCACCACCCTAGAACCAGAAAAATAAGACTGTCTCATTGGTCTCCTTTCTTGATTAAAATATGTTGATCTTGCCAGGAGAAATTCCATCCAGAAGTTTGTGCCAGAAAATGAAAAATGTCCATGATATCTAGTGCTGGCAAGGGAATGGGAAAATGGGCACACTCAGACACTCTTGGTGAGAGTATAAATTCATGCAGTCGTTTTGAAGACAATACATCAAAATTTTAAATATATGAGTGATATGATCTTGTAGTTCCACTTCTAGGGACTGATGGCATAGACATACTTCTACAAAAAAGTATATGTACAAGCATATTCATTGTATATGACTGTAAAATCAGAAACAAAAAGAAGAATGGTTAAATAGATTATGCTACCTCCTTATAATGGAATACTGTAGTCATTAAAATGGAAGAGATTCATATAGGGAGATAGAGAAGGATGTCTTTGATACACCATAAAGTGAAAATGCAAGTTACAAAGAATATAGTTAATATGATCCTTTTTTTAAAGCAAGCAAATAAAACCCAAATTCTATGGAAACTGTGTAAGTACTTTTAATTTCACAGAAAAAAACCCCTCTAGAAATAAATGGTCAGTCTCCGGGGGTAGGCTTTACTTCTGGAAAAGGGGAATAGAGGTATATAGGTAAAGGGGACATACACTTTTTACTCTATAGATATTTGTATTATTTGGATTTTTTACAAAGGACATACAATAACTTTATAATTTAAAAAGCAGTGATGAGAAAGATTAAAAATAGCATCATAAAATAATTTACTTGTTTTCAAAAATGGATAGGTTTCTTCTTTTCTGTCAGCAAAGTGCAAATAATGTACCCCGTTTCCCTTATTGCCTTGGCTGCCAGGAAATCCAGAGTCAACTTTGAAACCTGAACCTTGCAGTGGCATTGACCTTTAGATCTACAATATTCACATTCCTTTTTTTTTTTTTTTTGGTCCTACTTTTCTATTCCCAGTTAACCAACTTTTTTTCCAAAGCTTTCCAGGCTCTTTTTCCAGAAGAGATAGGTTATAGAGAAAGAAATGAACTCTGAACACTTTACTCTCAGCAGCCTACATTTCTCTGTGAGTACCAAACTCTCCAGGGTCAAGTGTGAGCTAAGTAGTCAAGGATTTACTATTTATACTTCATACTGTGGTTATTCTCACATAGGATTTGAGGTGCCTGAGGGCAAGAATCTGTGCTCTTGTAGCGATAGCAAACACTTGGCTCTACTTTTGGGTTTCACTTTGCCTATACTCCAAATTTAAGAGCTACAAAGACAGGCAGGAGCCTCATGTGACAAGTCTTATCTTCACTCTGTAGATGGTAGGAAACCACTGAGGGTTTTTAATTAAAGGAGTAACTGGATCTGAATCATGTTTGAAAAAACAAAAACTGGCAGAGGAGAAAGTAGACTGGCGCATGGAAAGGCAGAGATGCTCATTAAATACCTGTAAAGTGGTTGGATAATTGATGGTTAAATGACCAAGGTAATTTAAAAGTCTGCATTTATTGGAAGGGCGTGTGCAGCATTTGTCAGTACTACCCGGGTGGATCACTTGGTCTGAATATAGGCTAGTAAGGCCCATATCATAAGGCCGGTAAGATTCAAAAAAGGTAAAAAAAAAAACATCTAGTTTCGCAGACTGCAATCTTAAATACAGCAAGCCATTTCATAAAGGAGAGTGTAAACGGCTCAGAGCAGAAGACATATTGTGGTTTGAAAAGAAGTGAAGGCAGCAGCTTCCTAGGTAACTTGGCAGGTCGCATCTTTATTTATATAGACAGGGGCCAGTTCTCTTTGCTAAAAGTGATGAAGACACATCTGCCTCACCTCTGACGGAAATGTGGCACCAACAAAGGACACCAGCTTGGGGTCAGCCTGCTTCAGGCCCTGATTCTGTCACTTATTAACTACATGACCTTGAACAACCCCTCAGAGCCAGTTTCTTCATTTGTAAATGGAGAGGCAAAGACACCCACTTCCGCGGGTGGGAGGGTAAAACAAAGAGAGCATGTTAATCCTCAGGGACAAGCGTGACTTATTTTTTATCTTATTTAAAAAAAAAATAGACTTTGTAACCTCCCTTCCCCTCCCCACCCTCCATTTAAGAATGCGGTTTTTGTTATTTATTAACTCAAATAGCCTGTGGGGGGTGTTTTGGGTCTTCCGCACACTGAACAGCTTGCAGAATTAATAGCTGGTCTGGTTCTCCCTTTAGATCTGGGGGTGGGGGTCAGGCACAGAGACGATAATCACCTGTCCTGGAACTCATACCTCGCAGGGAGTGGGGACATCCCCTTTATTGTCACTGCCCAGCCCAGCCCCTGACTCTTGCCGCGGTCCACAGCTCTGAACCTACCCCCAAAGCATTTGAGGTTGCAGGCCTGGTACCCCTCCCCGCTCCGCCCTGCTCACTCCTGGCCAGCCTTCCTGGGCTGTTGTTGAGGGTAATTCTTGTGCGCTCCGCGGGGGCGGGTCCCCATCCGCCGCTTCAGGCCTGCGGGCTCTGAGGGTCCTGCCCACTGCGGAGCAGGTGTTGCAGGAATCAGTGACTCAAAAAATGTCGCCAAGTTAATATTGATATTACGTATGGATTATATTTTAAATGCATATGAATCAGGGACTTCATGGTTAAAACAAAGTCCATGTTAAACCTCCCTCCACAATGCCTAACAAATATGAGGGTTCTCAGCTCCTTGCTGTCCCTGAGCAGCCCTAGAAGCCCCTTGGCTGGGCGTGGCAAGATGGAGAAGGGAGAAATAATCCAGGTTCTAGTGAAAAATCTTGTCCTTGCGACTGGTAGGTACAGTCGCTGTCAACCCACAGTTCTCCCAAAAGGCGAGGTCCTTCCTTCGGCTCAGCCTGCTCCCTCTCTCCTCGCCTCCCCATCTCTAGGACGCGGGAGGTGGGAGCCACTGCGCTCCCGGAGACGCCGCCCGTGCCGTGTCAGGTTGTCCCCGAGTGCGCTTGCCGTGAGTTTCTGCCGCGTGACTCACCCGTGTCCCTCGCTCTCAGCCATCGGAACAGCAGAAGCGGGTCGGGGAGAGCGCGCTGCCCTGACACCTGCACCCCATCCCCACCTCCAACTCCATCTCCAGAATTTAGCCTTCGCGGAGCCCAGCGGCTCTAGCCAGTCTCTTTACTTGGCGGCAGGTGGTGTGGGGGTGCGAAGGAAGGGGAGATGCGGCGAAATCAAAGTACTTTTTGTAAAGTGTGGTTGTGTAAGTACATATACACACACGCATTTTTCTGGGGCGAGTGTCAAAAGGACCAGTGACTCAAAAATGTTAATAAATTAATATGAATATTATGTGTGAGTTCTATTTCAAATGCATTGAGATCAGGGACTTGATAGTTAAAATAAACATGCCCATCCCCCCACCAAAAAAAAAAGTTCATTTAAACCTCTTTCTGGTGGGGTGTGGTGGGTCATGCTTGTAATCCTAGCACTTTGGGAGGCTAAGGCGGGCAGATCACCTGAGGTCAGTAGTTGGAGACCAGCCTGGCCAATATGGTGAAACCCCGTCTCTACTAAAAATACAAAAAATTAGCTGGGCATGATGGTGGGCGCCTGTAATCCCAACTACTCAGGAGGCTGAGGCAGGAGAATCGCTTGAACCCAGGAGGCAGAGGTTGCAGTGAGCCGAGATCAGGCCACTGCACTCCAGCCCAGGCTACATGGCGAGACTCCGTCTCAAAACAAAACAAAACAACCTCTTTCCACCATGCCTGACAAATATGGGGGTTCTCAGCTACTTTTCCCTTTTCAAATATAAATCTGTAAGGAGTACCCTTCTCAAAGATCCCCGAGGCCTGTAATAGGTCATCTTTGCCTTTGCTGATGTGTCCTGCTTTAACATTCCTGGGAATACGTATTTGCTGTACAGAACAAACTCTATTATCTTATTGCTTTCACTAGCAGATTAGGAAAATGGGGAAGAATGTATATTTATAGGGTTCAACCACATGCCAGGCACATTGTACAGTATCGTTTTTCATCTCTGTATCTTCAATCCCTATTTCACATATGAAGAAATGGAGGCAAAAGAGATCAAATAACCTGCCCCAAGTCACAGTATTTGAATCTGGACCTCAAAACCCTTTGGAGCCAAAGTCAATACCTTTTTTATTCTGCCAAGAGTTCCCTGAGGGGAAAATTTTAATTACTTGTAAAATTCACATTTTAATACTAAAACATTTTTAAGCCCCTCCCCTTTAAAAAGGGTATGTACTGTCTCATAATTCATCAGTATATAGGAGATGGGATCTCGGTACTTCCACTTAAACCCTCTGGTCTCTGGTCTTGCCTCTTCTGGAGATGCCCCTCTTCAGTGGAGCCTGTTCCATGCCAAAGATATGAGACTTGAAGGGTTTTCTACCGCTGCAGGCTGCAGTGGTGGAAAGCAAAGCAGTTTGACATCTCACAGTACCAGATTAACCTCGTCTAGTGTATCCCCTTGCATGTATGCTTAAGTAGCATTATTAAAGGTCCCCTTCTGTCACTTTAGCCTTGACATATGCCAAGTCTCTGGAAGGGGATAGTGGTAAAACAAAATTTGTTTTTGTCAAGTATTTTTTGAAGGAGTGTATGGATATGAGAAAATGGATATAGTGGGAGAGGATGTCCTAACTTTAATCCAAACTCAGAAGCTGGAATTTAGATTTATGTGATGAACTGGTTACGTTGGGTATCTATCCTCATGTGGGAAAAGGGGGTCCTGAGGAAGCCTTTAAGAGATAACATATCTTGAATAAAGAGTGATGCAGGCAAACTTGATCCAGTAACAAAATTTGAGTGGCAGGAAGGGAGGAGAATGCACATCTTAGCATTTGCCACCAGGAGGGACTCCCCTGATGGTCAGTTTGGTTAATATCCAAGAATCTCAGAGAAGAGAGTCATGTCCACCTTGGGTAATAGCTGTCCTACACCAATCAACTCTGACCAAAATATAGGATCATGTAAGAACGTGTCAGCCGTGAGGTGGGCCATGCTGAGGGGCTTCTGGAGAAGAGGAGGAAGTGCTGAGCAGGCAATCTCATAGATGTTTCCCACATTAAGCCCCTAGCAGAAGTCATGCCTGGATCTGAAGGTTAGCTGTCATTGCCATGCCAATGCACTGACTTCATCATCAGCACATTTGAATAAGTATAAAAGAGGTACAGTTGATTCTAAAAAGGCTGTCTAAAAAAGTTAACAGCGTTCTCAGTTAAGATAGTGAATTGAAGGTATGTACAGTAGTCCCCTCTTATCTGCAGTTTTGCTTTTTGTGGTTTTTGTTACCCCAGTTAACCGCAATTTGAAAATATTAAATGGAACATTCCAGAAATAAACAATCATAAGTTTTAAATTGCATGCCTTTCTGAGCAGCATAATGAAATCTTGTGCCATTTCATTCTGTCCAGCATGGAATGTGAATTATCTGTTTGCCCAGCATATCCATGCCATATATGCTACCTGCCTGTTAGTCCTCAACACCCTCTGCTCCTGACATCCAACCATCAACATCTTCATGACTTAATGATCTAGAATCACCTGAAAGCAGATGATTCTCCTTCCTACTGTCAGAAGGTCAATAGCAGCCTAATGCTACATCACAATGCCTACATCACTCACCTCACTTCATCTCATCATGTAGGCTTTTTTTCATCTAGCATCAAAAGAAGGGTGACTACAGTACAATAAGATGTTTTGAGAGAGACATTCACATAACTTTTATAATAGTATATTATTGCAATTATTCTTAGATATTTCTATTAATCTCCTACCTAACATAAATTAAACTTTATCATAGGTATGTATGTATAGGAAAAAATATAGTTCATATAGGGTTTAATACTATCTGCTGGTTTCAGGCATCCACCATGGCTCTTGGAACATATGTCCTACAGATAAGGGAGGACTACTGTATCTAATTTCACTTTCTTCTGACATAACTAAAACCACATTAAATAAATTTTTACAAAAGACAAACATACCAGTATAGGAAAGATGATAAGGAGCAACAAAATTTTGGAAGCTGGAAAGCAGATGGACAAGCCAAAAAAGCTGAGTCCTAAGCTGGCTTCAAACCACAGAATCTTCAAAAAGCTCAGTAATTGGCAGCATCAGGTATACCTGTGACTTAAATAAGGAAGAAAAAACAACTTGAGAAGCAATTGGATTCCTAGCTGCCTATTTACTCTTTATGGTGCCAGGTGACTTCCTCCCCTGTCCCAGCAGAAGTCTGGAGTTTTTGTGTTTATAGGTATGGCTGACAGCAGGACTTCCTACTGAGGGGAAAAACGAGTTCATATATTCTGACTCCCCACCCCTTTTCTTTCACCTGTTTCTCAGTCAAGCCCTCATCTACCAGGCAGGAGATCAGAAAATTCTCTGGGGAATCTGACCAGAACAAGGCGGGGAAAAAAAAGCAAAGACACTCACTTCAGGGGTCTGCCAAGAAACTGTACATCTGGATTATCTTTAAGTTCAAAGTCAACAAGCCCTGCCCACTTGTCTAGTGCTTTTAATCAGCTTTTTTAGTGCAGAAAACCAAGGATTACTAGATGATATGGTTTGGCTGTGTCCCCACCCAAATCTTATGTTGAATTGTAATTCCCATAATCCCCACGTGTGGTGGAAGGGACCAGGTGGAGATAATTGAATCACAGGAGCAGTTTCTCCCATTCTGTTCTCATGATAATGTGTTAGTTCTCACGAGATCTGATGGTTTTATAAGGGGCTTCCCCCACTTCACTGGGCATTTATTCTTCTCCTTTCTGTCTCTGTGTTTGTTTCTCCTTCCGCCATGATTGTAAGTTTCCTGAGGCCTTTCCAGCCCTGCGGAACAGTGAGTCAATTAATCCTCTTTCCTTTATAAATTACCCGGTCTCGGCTATATCCTATAGCAGCAGAAGAATGGACTAATACACCAGATATCTGAGGACAGTCCCCAGTGAAAAAGATAGAGACCTAAATAAGTACAAAAAAAAAAAAAAGCAACATGAAGCAATGGAGACTACGCAGGGAGAAGAAAACAAACAAGATTTCTCATATCCTCAGATAATAGACAAATGCTGCATACATGAAAGAAGAATAGGAATAGAATAGTATATAAAAGGTCATTTAGAGAACAAAATGAGCTCTTAGAAATTAAAAAAAATTAAAAGACTAGGATGTAAGATTAAAAATTTTCTCAAAGTAGAAGGTTAAGGATTTTTCTCAAAAAGTAGAACGAAGAGTAGACAGAGGAGAGAAAGGGTAAGGAAATGAGAGGTCTGTTCTAGAAGGTTTATTATCCAAATTATAAGAGCTCCAGAAAACATAAATGGAGCAGAGAAAATTATCAATGAAATAATTCAATAAAATTTCTCAGAACTGATGAACATGAATTGCTAGAACAAAAGGGCCTGTATGGATGAAAACAGACCCTCACAAAGGCATGTTGTAAATTTTTAGAACTCTGGGGAAAAAAGAAAATTACGTAAGCTTCTAGAAAGGCATAAACAAGTCACACAAAGTTAAGAATCCAAATAATTTCAGACTCTCAGCAATGTACTATAAACAAGACAAGGGAGCAATACCTTTAAAATACTGAAGGAAAATTATTTCAAAGCTAGAACTTTATACCCAGCCAAACCATCAATCAAACAGGGCTACCGAATTGTACAATTCCAGGGAGCAATATTCAGAATGCAGTGTTAAACAATAAAGTGGCTCACATTCAAGAATGAGGACAGAACAATGACATTTTCAGACATTTAAGCCTCAAAAACTTATTTCACATGCACCCTTTCTCAAACTACTGGGGAATGTGTTCCACCAAAAAAAGTAAACTAGGAAAGAGGGAGACATGAGATATAGACAGGGCTGTCTTTGTGGATATCACCCCATATACTCACACAGGATACTGCACATAGAAGGACCCCATACTTGGTTTAATGCTCTGCTGTTGTCATCTTGAAATTCTTATAATTTTTTAACAAGGGACCCCAGGTTTTCATTTTGCACTGGGCCCCACAAATTGTGTGGTCTGATCTTGGATACAATAAGTACATGATCCATCCCAGGTGAAAGGCAAAAGGAATCCTCATAAGGACAGTGAAGAGAGATTCCAGGACAGCTATCAACAGACAGAGGGCAACTGTTTCAGAGAGGAGCATGAGACTCAAGAGACAGACACGTTGGTGACCTTCATAGCCAAGTTTTCACTGCTATTTTACTCTCTTTTTCAACCCCAGGATAGAATGCTTGAGTGAGCTTGTCCAGATTCTTACTGTGTCATGACCTTTTGCTGAAAAAGCTCCAGCTCTCTATTCCATACCCTGCTGCTTGCATCAGTTGAGGACATTCATTGCATCTCACCAAAGATTGTGCTTAAACCTACATCTGAGAGCTGGAGGTGAGTTAGAAAATAGCATCCCCTACCCTCTGACTTTATTTCTGCCTGACTTCAATACCAGGCTCACCTGAGAACATTGCCAGGTGCTCAGACTGCATGGAGCCCTGTGTTTCCTAGGACTGGTGTATGACCTTGGCCACTAACTTCCCCAGAAAGGGCTCCTGTAAATGCTTAAAGAAGCTGATGCCGAGAAATTCTGTTGCATTCATGCCTGAGGTTTCAACTAATAGAACTTTGATATTTTTTTACACAGCTACTAAATTTTCAAAACTAAAGAATATATTGTTTAGGTATGTAAACATAGGTGGTGAAACCATAAAGCAGGGAATGATTAACGTGAAAGTGCCAATTTTTAAAAAGTGCCAATTAATATTAGCCTCTGGATAACCATGGGTGGGAAGTGAACAGAGGAGAGGTTTTGGGGGCAGGTGCATGGGACTCGTTAATGTTTTATTCTTAAACTAGGTTAGGTAGTGAGTACGTGGGTATGGGGTTTTACAGTTTTTTGTTTTTTGGGTTCTTTGTTTGTTTGTTTTTGTTTTTTTTTTGTTGTTGTTTTTTTGATGAGGTCTCACTCTGTCACCCAGCTTGGAGTGCAGTGGTGTGATCTCAGCTCACTTCAGCCTCCACCTTCTGGGCTTAAGTGATCCTCCCTCCTCAGCCTTCCAAGTAGCTGGGATCACAGGCATGCACCACCATGCTTGGCTAACTTTTTGTGTGTGTTTTTGGTAGAGACAGGGTTTTGCCATGTTGTCCAGGCTGATCTCAAACTCCTGAGCTCAAGCAGTCCACCCGCCTCGGCCTCCCAAAGTGCTGGGATTGCAGCCGTGAGCCACCATGCCTGGCCAGTTTTGGGCTTTTAATTCTTCTTTAAATTGTACCTATATTTTAATAAACTCTTCTAAGGGCAGTGAAAAGTAAAATAATGAATTTCAATGCCATTATCATAGGAAAAATTTCATCAACAGCCAATTTGGCCCTTGAGCCACATCAGTCTATATAGTCCTTTTATCATGGAATTTTGAATAAAAGACCTTAGACCAGCCAGTCCAAACTCCTTTTTATTTGTAACCATTATTATTTTAACTGGCTTTTGGTATATGCTCTTACTGTATAAGTTGCAATATAAATTTATAAGTTCATGTTGTTTTAGATGTGTGGTGAGTTATTAGACTCTCCTTGTTTCCTGGTGGTGTTTCTGTATTTTTCCTTCATCTGAGTCCTTTAACTTTTCTAAAGGTATGCTCAAGACTTTCTTCATTGGCCTTGATAATTTCATTCCACTTAAATATGGGGGTGGGACTGTGGAGGTGGAGACTGAAGGAGCCAACTCTGTCTTTTACCACCACAGTTCTCCTTCCTTTACTTCTCCCCCAGAATGTATTCATTTGGGTTTACTCAGTTCAATGCAAAGAGTTTGGGAGCCCAGGATCTTTTTGCCAAATTGGATGTGAGCTGACTCACTGACATATTTCTCAAGTGACCCATTGGTTCAATGAGTAACATCCTGGAAGAAACATGAGTTATTGTTAATCATAATTATTCCTTCACCTTTCCTGGAATGCCTTTGAAGGCACCAGGCATCAGCAATATCTGTCATCAAAAGCTCTTTTGTCTGCAGTTTCTGTGATTGCATTCAGCTTGTTCACAGCAGAGAGAGGTTTTTTTCCTAAGATGATGGCTTCCCTTCTCTCAAAGGTATCCAATATTTAGCCCGCCTGCAGAAAGGAAGTTGGCACAAGTTCTGAAGAGCCAATCAATTCCTTAGCTTGTTCTTCTTGAACAAGTGACCCTTTCTTGGTAGCTCTAGAATTTCACCACAATTGCAGAAGCTGAGTAACTTGTCAGCTGGTCATTTGTAACCAATAAACTGAAAAGATTATCCACCTTACATTTTGGGTAAATAGACAAAATTTGTAATTCTGGAATTGTGTCTTCAGGGCTGACTGTACTGTGGAATCACATCTGGACAAGATTTTGCTGTAGTTCTTGGCATTCCTGAACAGAATAAAAGCATGAAGGAATTAGAAATCTAAGCCAGAACCCATGCCTATTAATGTAGTTGTCTTCGTGTTAAAATGAGTAAAACATAAACTGAAGCACTGAGGTAAGAGGAATATTAGTTGTAACTTCTTTTGGCTGCAAAGGACAGAAACTCTGTGTACAGGCTTAATAGGAAAGGGACTTATAGGGATGCAAGAGAGTCATAGAAGCCAAGGAGAGAAATGTGGTTTGCCCTCAAGATGAGGTTGGAACCAGGAATGAGAAGGACCCAGGGACTCTTTCTTAACTCTGCTCCCCTTTGTGCATGTACATCATCTTTATTCCTCTTTGTAAATCAACTTTTCTTTGCTTCTCAGTGCAACACAGCCACTCCTGTGTTTGTTTTGTTAGTCATGATAGTCTAGGTTATGTTGAAATAAGAAATAAATCCTGGCTGGGTGTGATGGCTCACACCTGTAATCCCAGCGCTTTGGGAGGCCGAAGCTGGCGGATCAATTGAGATCAAGAGTTTGAGACCAGCCTGGCCAACATGGTGACACCCCATCTAAAAATTAGCCAGGCATGGTGGAGCATACCTGTAATTTCAGCTACTTGGGAGGCTGAGTCATGAGAATTGCATGAACCCAGGAAGAAGAGGTTGCAGCTAGCTGAGATCATGCCACTGCACTCAAGCTTGGGTAAGACGGAGTAAGACTCTGTCTCAAAGGAAAAAAAGAAATCCTAAACCATGAAGATGTTCTTCCTAACTCGTGTCACAATTTTCCATGGGCTGAGCAGCACTTCTCCATCCTATCACTATACCATTTGGAACACGTGGCCTCCGAGGTCACTGTGGCAGGGAAACAGAAAGTGAAAAGAGATGAGAAATATTTTCAACAGTTAGGCCTAAAATGATCTCATAATCACTTCTGTCTATTTCCCATTGGCCAGAACTTAGTCACATGGCCTCAACCTAACTGCAAGGAAAACTGGGAAATGAGATGAGCATTGGGAAGTTAGTGAGCACTAACAATCTCAGTCACATCTCCAATCAGCAGAAAACCCAGACCAATTAGTCCAAACTACTTGTTTCCTGAGGTTGTTTCTATGGGTTCAAACTCTGAATTCCTAGGGAAGAGACTCTTGCCCAGCCTTGCTCAGACTCCTGCCCAGCTCTGATCCAATCTGCTCTGTCTTAGAGGCAGGATCATGTTGAACAGAATATCTGCCAGGATCCCATCACTTTTAACATATGGTTCAAATGTGGAAGAGAAGGACAGTACTCAGAAAGGGTAGGCTTCTCAGACAATCGTTAGTGTCCACTACATAGAAGCATGTTTTATTTCTGGAGCCTCTGAGAATCAATCTTACACTATTTATGCTGTTTCTCAATAATGGTTTCTGGGTTTTAGGGAAAACCTTATTTTAAACATGCAAAAATTATAGTGAACCTATTTAGAAGAGTTAGGACTTACTGCTTTTCCCTCTAGAAAACGATTGACAAGACCTACCTTTGGAAATAAGGTACCTGACTTGTGAGGATGGTTACCAGACACACAAATGTGGAAGCCGTTTTTCCTGATCTCAGTTGAGAGCTGCTACTAGAACACAAAGATGGCACTGGAGTCCTCCCAAATGGACACCCCCCTACTGTGGTAGTCATTAGGGTTTTTCCAAAGAGTCTCATTCTTTTCTCCTTCTGGATATAAGATTGCACACCTCTGTCTCCTTTGTAATTAGATGTGGGGATATGACTTACTTTGGCCAATGAAATGGAAACAGAAGGGACATGTGTCACTGGTAGGCAGAGGCTTGAAGAGCCCCTTCATGATTCATCATACTTTCTTCTCCCTGCTTAGGTGATTGTAGAGGCGTATATTGATATGGAATAGCTCGGCCTGGATCTCCCTGCCTACTCATGCTGGACATCTAGCTTGAGCAAACAGTGAACTTTTCGTTGTGTTGAACCACTGAGACTGGGGCTGTTTGTTACTGTAGATAACCTGATCCATTCCAACCACTATATCATCATATGCAGCCATCCATACCACAAGGGACCCCCACCAACATACACAACCATCTGTGGCAATCTTGCTCAATGTAGAGTGCCCTTCCTTCTCTACGCTATCCCTTGGAGGACCAGTTATATGGTTTACACCAGCTTGGCAGTAATTGTCACACTTGAGTTCATTTGCATGGCCCCTTATTGCAAAAGCCATAGGAATGATAGGGCCATGGATATTTTATTTTTTTATATTTCTTATATATATTTTATTTAAGTTCTAGGGTACATGTGCACAACGTGCAGGTTTGTTACATATGTATACATGTGCCATGCTGGTGTGCTGCACCCATTTACTCGTCATTTAACGTTAGGTATATCTCCTAATGCTATCCCTCCCCTCTCCCGCCACCCCACAACAGGCCCCAGTGTGTGATGTTCCCCTTCCTGTGTCCATGTGTTCTCATTGTTCAATTCCCACCTATGAGTGAGAACATGCGGTGTTTGGTTTTTTTGTCCTTGCAATAGTGATAGTTTGCTGAGAATGATGGTTTCCACCTTCATCCATGTCCCTACAAAGGACATGAACTCATCCTTTTTTATGGCTGCATAGTATTCCATGGTGTATATGTGCCACATTTTCTTAATCCAGTCTATCATTGTTGGACATTTGGCTTGGTTCCAAGTCTTTGCTATTGTGAATAGTGCTGCAATAAATATATGTGTGCATGTGTCTTTATAGCAGCATGATTTATAATCCTTTGGGTATATACTCAGTAACGGGATTGCTGGGTCAAATGGTATTTCTAGTTCTAGATCCCTGAGGAATGGCCATACTATCTTCCACAATGGTTGAACTAGTTGACAGTCCCACCAACAGTGTAAAAGTGTTCCTATTTCTCCACATCCTCTCCAGCACCTGTTGTTTCCTGACTTTTTAATGATCGCCATTCTGACTGGTGCGAGATGGTATCTCATTGTGGTTTTGATTTGCATTTCTCTGATGGCCAGTGATGATGAGCATTTTTTCATGTGTCTTTTGGCTACATAAATGTCTTCTTTTGAGAAGTGTCTGTTCATATCCTTCGTCCACTTGTTGACGGGGTTTTTTCTTGTAAATTTGTTTAAGTTCTTTGTAGATTCTGGATATTAGCCCTTTGTCAGATGAGTAGGTTGCAAAAATTTTCTCCCATTCTGTAGGTTGCCTGTTCACTCTGATGGTAGTTTCTTTTACTGTGCAGAAGCTCTTTAGTTTAATTAGATCCCATTTGTCCATTTTGGCTTTTGTTGCCATTGCTTTTGGTGTTTTAGACATGAAGTCCTTGCCCATGCCTATGTCCTGAATGGTATTGCCTAGGTTTTCTTCTAGGGTTTTTATGGTTTCAGGTCTAACATGTAAGTCTTTAATCCATCTTGAATTAATTTTTGTATAATGTGTAAGGAAGGGATCCAGTTTCAGCTTTCTACATATGGCTAGCCAGTTTTCCAAGCACCACTTGTTAAATAAGGAATCCTTTCACCATTTCTTGTTTTTGTCAGGTTTGTCAAAGATCAGATAGTTGTAGAAGTGTGGTATTATTTCTGAGGGCTCTGTTCTGTTCCATTGGTCTATATCTCTGTTTTGGTACCAGTACCATGCGGTTTTGGTTACTGTAGCCTTATAGTATAGTTTGAAGTCAGGTAGCGTGATGCCTCCAGCTTTGTTCTTTTGGCTTAGGATTGACTTGGCAATGCGGGCTCTTTTCTGGTTCCATATGAACTTTAAAGTAGTTTTTTCCAATTCTGTGAAGAAAGTCATTGGTAGCTTGATGGGGATGGCATGGAATCTATAAATTACCTTGGGCAGTATGGCCATTTTCACGATATTAATTCTTCCTATCCATGAGCATGGAGTGTTCTTCCATTTGTTTGTGTCCTGTTTTATTTTGCTGAGCAGCGATTTGTAGTTCTCCTTGAAGAGGTCCTTCACATCCCTTGTAAGTTGGATTCCTAGGTATTTTATTCTCTTTGAAGCAATTGTGAATGGGAGTTCCCTCATGATTTGGCTCTCTGTTTGTCTATTATTGGTGTATAAGAATGCTTGTGATTTTTGGGCTGAGACGATGGGATTTTCTAGATATACAGTCATGTCATCTGCAAACAGGGACAATTTGACTTCCTCTTTTCCTAATTGAATACCTTTTATTTCTTTCTCCTGCCTAATTGCCCTGGCCAGAACTTCCAACACTACGTTGAATAGGAGTGGTGAGAGAGGGCATCCCTGTCTTGTGCCAGTTTTCAAAGGGAATGCTTCCAGTTTTTGCCCATTCAGTATGATATTGGCTGTGGGTTTGTCATAAATAGCTCTTATTATTTTGAGATACGTCCCATCAATACCTAATTTGAGCGTTTTTAGCATGAAGTGTTGTTGAATTTTGTCAAAGGCCTTTTCTGCATCTATTGGGAGAATCATGCGGTTTTTATCATTGGTTCTGTTTATATGCTGGATTATGTTTATTGATTTGCATATGTTGAACCAGCCTTGCATCCCAGGGATGAGGCCCACTTGATCATGGTGGATAAGCTTTTTGATGTGCTGCTGGATTCGGTTTGCCAGTATTTTATTGAGGATTTTTGCATCAATGTTCATCAGGGATATTGGTCTAAAATTCTCTTTTTTTTGTTGTGTCTCTGCTAGGCTTTGGTATCAGGATGATGCTGGCCTCATAAAATGAGTTAGGGAGGATTCCCTCTTTTTCTATTGATTGGAATAGTTTCGGAAGGAATGGTACCAGCTCCTCCTTGTACCTCTGGTAGAATTTGGCTGTGAATCAGTCTTGTCCTGGACTTTTTTTGGTTGGTAAGCTATTAATTATTGCCTCAATTTCAGAGCCTGTCATTGATCTATTCAGAGATTCAACTTCTTCCTGGCTTAGTCTTTGGAGGGTATATGTGTCCAGGAATGTATCCATTTCTTCTAGATTTTCTAGTTTATTTGTGTAGAGGTGTTTATAGTATTCTCTGATGGTAGTTTGTATTTCTGTGGGATCAGTGGTGATATCCCCTTTATCATTTTTTATTGCGTCTATTTGATTCTTCTGTCTTTTCTTCTTTATTGGTCTTGCTAGCAGTCTATCAATTTTGTTGATCTTTTCAAAAAACCAGCTCCTGGATTCATTGATTTTTGGAAGGGTTGTTTGTGTCTCTATTTCCTTCAGTTCTGCTCTGATCTTGGTTATTTCTTGTCTTCTGCTAGCTTTTGAATGTGTTTGCTCTTGCTTCTCTAGTTCTTCTAATTGTGATGTTAGGGTGTCAGTTTTAGATCTTTCCTGCTTTCTCTTGTGGGCATTTAGTGCTATAAATTTCCCTCCTCACACTGCTTTGAATGTGTCCCAGAGATTCTGGTATGTTGTGTCTTTGTTCTCGTTGGTTTCAAAGAACATCTTTATTTCTGCCTTCATTTCGTTATGTACCCAGCAGTCATTCAGGAGCAGGTTGTTCAGTTTCCATGTAGTTGAGTGGTTTTGAGTGAGTTTCTTAATCCTGAGTTCTAGTTTGATTGCACTGTGGTCTGAGAGACAGTTTGTTATAATTTGTGTTCTTTTACATTTGCTGAGGAGTGCTTTACTTCCAACTATGTGGTCAATTTTGGAATAAGTGTGGTGTGGTGCTGAGAAGAATGTATATTCTGTTGATTTGGGATGGAGAGTTCTGTAGATGTCTATTAGGTCCACTTGGTGCAGAGCTGAGTTCAATTCCTGGATATCCTTGTTAACTTTCTGTCTCATTGATCTGTCTAATGTTGACAGTGGGGTGTTGAAGTCTCCCATTATTATTGTGTGGGAGTCTAAGTCTCTTTCTAGGTCTCTATGGACTTGCTTTATGAACCTGCGTGCTCCTGTACTGGGTGCATATACATTTAGGATAGTTAGCACTTCTTGTTGAATTGATCTCTTTACCATTATGTAATGGCCTTCTTTGTCTCTTTTGGTCTTTGTTGGTTTAAAGTCTGTTTTATCAGAGACTAGGATTGCAACCCCTGCCTTTTTTGCTTTTCCATTTGCTTGGTAGATCTTCCTCCATCCCTTTATTTTGAGCCTATGTGTGTCTCTGCATGTGAGATGGGTCTCCTGAATGCAGCATACTGATGGGTCTTGACTTTTTATCAAATTTGCCATCTTGACTTTTTATCAAATTTGCCAGTCTGTGTCTTTTAATTGGAACATTTAGCCCATTTACATTTAAGGTTAATATTGTTATGTGTGAATTTGATCCTGTTATTATGATGTTAGCTGGTTATTTTGCTCGTTAGTTGATGCAGTTTCTTCCTAGCATCGATGGTCTTTATAATTTGGCATGTTTTTGCAGTGGCTGGTACTGGTTGTTCCTTTCCATGTTTAGTGCTTCCTTCAGGAGCTCTTGCAGGGCAGGCCTGGTGGTGACAAAATCTCTCAGCATTTGCTTGTCTGTAAAATATTTTATTTCTCCTTCACTTATGAAGCTTAGTTTGGCTGGATATGAAATTCTGGGTTGAAAATTCTTTCTTTAAGAATGTTGAATATTGGCCCCCACTCTCTTCTGGCTTGTAGAGTTTCTGCCAAGAGATCTGCTGTTAATCTGATGGGCTTCCCTTTGTGTGTAACCCAACCTTTCTCTGTGGTTGCCCTTAACATTTTTTCCTTCATTTCAACTTTGGTGAATCTGACAATTATGTGTCTTGGAGTTGCTCTTCTCGAGGAGTATTTTTGTGGCATTCTCTGTATTTCCTGAATTTGAATGTTGGCCTGCCTTTCTAGGTTGGGGAAATTCTCCTGGATAATATCCTGCAGAGTGTTTTCCAACTTGGTTCCATTCTCCCCATCACTTTCAGGTACACCAATCAGACGTAGATTTGATCTTTTCACATAGTCCCATATTTCTTGGAGGCTTTGTTCATTTCTTTTTATTCTTTTTTCTCTAAACTTCTCTTTTCACTTCATTTCGTTCTTTTGATCTTCAATCACTGATACCCTTTCTTCCAGTTGATTGAATCGGCTACTGAGGCTTGTGCATTCGTCACATAGTTCTAGTGCCATGGTTTTCAGCTCCATCAGGTCCTTTAAGGACTTCTCTGCGTTGGTTATTCTAGTTAGCCATTCATTTAATCTTTTTGCAAGGTTTTTAACTTCTTTGCTATGGGTTCGAACATCCTTCTTTAGCTCGGAGAAGTTTGATCATCTGAAGCCTTCTTCTCTCAACTCATCAAAGTCATTCTCCTTCCAGCTTTGTGTCGTTGCTGATGAGGAGCTGCATTCCTTTGGAGGAGGAGAGGCGCTCTGATTTTTAGAATTTTCAGTTTTTCTGCTCTGTTTTTTCCCCATCTTTGTGGTTTTATCTACCTTTGGTCTTTAATGATGGTGACGTACAGATGGGTTTTTGGTGTGGATGTCCTTTCTGTTTGTTAGTTTTCCTTCTAACAGACAGGACCCTCAGCTGCAGGTCTGTTGGAATTTGCTGGAGGTCCACTCCAGACCCTATTTGCCTGGGTATCAGCAGCAGAGGCTGCAGAACAGCGAATATTGCTGAACAGCAAATGTTGCTGCCTGATCGTTCCTCCGGAAGCTTCGTTTCAGAGGGGTACCCAGCTGTTGAGGTGTCAGTCAGCCCCTACTGGGAGGTGCCTCCCAGATAGGCTACTCGGGGGTAGGGACCCACTTGAGGAGGCAGTCTGTCTGTTCTCAGATCTCAGACTCCATGCTGGGAGAACCACTACTCTCTTCAAAGCTGTCAGACAGGGACATTTAAGTCTTTAGAGGTTTCTGCTGCCTTTTGTTCGGCTATGCCCTGCCCCCAGAGGTGGAGTCTACAGAGGCAGGCAGGCCTCCTTGAGCTGTGGTGGGCTCCACCCAGTTCGAGGTTCTTGGCTGCTTTGTTTGTCTACTTAAGCCTCAGCAATGGTGGGTGCCCCTCCCCCAGCCTCGCTGCCACCTTGCAGTTCGATCTCAGACTGCTGTGCTAGCAGTGAGCGAGGCTCCGTGGGCTTGGGACCCTCTGAGCCAGGCATGGGATATAATCTCCTGGTGTGCCATTGGCTAAGACCATTGGAAAAGCACAGTATTAGGGTGGGAGTGAGCTGATTTTCCAGGTGCCATCTGTCACAACTTTGCTTGGCTAGTAAAGGGAATTCCCTGACCCCTTGCACTTCTGGGGTGAGGTGATGCCTTGCCCTGCTTCGGCTCACGCTCGGTGTGCTACACCCACTGTCCTGCACCCGCTGTCTGACAAGCCCCAGTGAGATGAACCTGGTACCTCAGTTGGAAATGCAGAAATCACCCATCTTCTGTGTCACTCACACTGGGAGCTGTAGACTGGAGCTGTTCCTATTCGGCCATCTTGGAACCGACCCCCTGGCCATGGATATTTTAAATTGGAAAATCTTTGAATGTGGAGGACTACAGGATAGATTATATTTGAAATAAATATTTAGACACTCCTCACTGCTGTCACCTTCCAGAAGGGTAGGCTGATTCACTGTGCTTACCACAGACTGCCTGCCACAGACCATGCTTTGTTAGAGATTAGATGAAGATGAAGTGCTAAATAGAGAACAAGGAAGAGCATGAGACATTGCTGTGGTTCAATGCAAACAAAGCCTGCTTGTCTATTTCCAGCAACTGTAACATCCTTCACAGGCTCCAGACTAAAGAGCCACGCTTTAACTCACTTTCTAACAAGCTTTGCTTAAGATGTTCTCAGGTCAAATCAAGAAACAGGTAAGTATGATTACCTGTTTATTATGATTATTAAAGGACCAAATTTTACTTTAGTCTCTAAAGATAAGAGACTTAAAGAGATGTATAGCAATAAAGGGGAAATCCTAAGGGTTCTTTCAATACAAGTAGGATGTAGCATATGACCAGACAGAATTTCTAAAAATCTTAGGTAAAGTATTAATGGCACAAGCCAAGGAGTGCTTTGAAGATACCAGAGGTGAAGGCATGCAGTGAAAACTGCCTGAGAGCAGCAAAAAAGCAGCCCTTTGACTGAAGTCCTAAACCTACACACTTGATTAAACATCTCCTTCTCAGCATTCCCCATAACGCTTATTCCCCAGCTTGGCTTTAAGACCCCCAAATGATGATATTGGCACTTCTCCAGGAAGGCTTAGGATCTTCTTTGTGCATGCTGTTCCTAACTCTGGCCATCTGTCTCTGGGATCAGCAGCAGGCCTGTCTTCAGCTCAGGGCTCCGGACAACCCATAGCCTGTGTACAAGTGAGAATGGATGTCCCATCTTCCTTGCAGATGCAGCCATGAGTCAAGGTGTTCATTCTGGAGAATGGAACACAGACAAGACTTTAGACTCCATTTACCCTCGTGGCCTGACCTTGAGGTACAGGGTCCAACCCGAGGTACAGAGCCCATCCTGCACACCTATACCCAGAAGCCTTGCTCGTTTGCCTGCTACCTTTGAATTCTTTCATTGCTAAGCCTAAGAGTTGCAGCGTACAATAGTTTGGAACTTGGCACACAGTTTCCCAAAAATGCTTTGAAGATGAGGAGGAGGAGGGGGAAAAGAAGAATGATAATAAAAATTGTTATAATTATTGTTAATCGTTAGTAATATTATTAATCACTATTGCAATTAGGTTTCTAGCATATTCTGTGAAAGGCCAATTTAATGAATAATATTGATGAACTCTCATACTAATAATATAAGTTTAAATTTTTATTCCTGGGTACAAGGGCTGTAAGCTCAAAACTAAAATGGAAAGAGAAGGAGATGAGGAGGAAGAGCGGGCAAGAGGGCAAAATGTTAACGATCTCTTGCTTGGGCCACATGTTAAAATTAGGGATGTTTGCTTTGGGCATTTTTCTACCTCCTTTCTACACCTTTCCTAGGATGTCCTGTGCTCTGATTGTAAACACATACACACACACACACACACACACACACACACACCACCCCTCTTCTAGAAGTATGCCATGCTCTAGAATTATCTACTCTTCTTTCCCCAGCAAACAAAATTCTATCTTCTTGGTACAGCTGGTTTGTAAGAAGGGAAACAATCGTGCTGAACAAAAACCATATTAAGATGAGAATGACTGATGATTACATTGCTCTCCTGGAGGTTTTTTCTTCCTTGTTTTTATGTTTTCTTTGTTATTTGTTTGATTTCAAGGGGATGCTTACCAAAAAGAAGGACCATTCCTACCTGGATATTTGCTCCCGAAAACAGCTCCCCAGAGCTCTTCCTGCTTCCTATAATTTCTTTCCTTTCTTCCTTTATGAACTTCTGATTTTCTCAAGCCTCTTAATTTTTTTCTATAATGATTCCCTTACAGGAGAAGCAGGGACCCTGGTGGTGGGGTGATCTTAGGGAGGGAGAAATGGAATTGAGGTTGTGCTCATTTTTTAGTTAGGGACTACACATACTAGGTATAAGGCAGGTTCTGAGGCCAGCTAGGAGGCCTTTGTGTTTATCATACATCCATACCTGACAGCAGAACACACTCCAGGGGCTCAAAATCCTGGCCAAAAAGGGGTGTTTTCTGTAGTAAGTGGGACATGCGTGATTAGATTCAAGTCAAACATGAATCAATGCAGAAAATGAGAGCAGTACAGCGTGCATAATATTACCGTCAGTGTATCGTTCAACTGACATTGAATTGCCTGAAATTTTACATGAAGGGAAATTAGCTTTCTCATTAAATGACTTTGAGGTGAATAGCATTGTTCTATAGTGAACACTAAGTGAGCTAATGATGTCCCACTTTAAAACAAAGGATGATGTGGGAAGAGAAAGTTGTATTTTAATGGATCCCAATTATGCCTGAGTCACTATTACCAGAGGTTAATAAAGACAGACTCATTCTTAGAATATTGATCCCACAGTTTACAGAAAGCACAAAGATTATGATCTCAAAATGTGAGACAAAAGTGAATACATGATTTTAATTCATATTTCAGGACTTCAGTAGGAAATCATTCAAATTACATATCAAAAGACATTTGCTAGATTTTCCCCAGCAACTTGCCTCCCCTTCATTTGCACAAACATAAAAGGAATGTGCTGTTCTTTTTCTTTTTGGTTTAAAAACAGAAATTGGAAGAACTTGTTGAGATTATATGAGACGAGAAAGCTCAAGAACAGTTAGAGGAATTGTCTCCTTGAAACCAAGTTTAGTATGGGGAAGGGCTTACTCAGCGAGTCCTGCCACCCCGGGTCCTCAGTGCTCTCCAGAGAGACCAATATCTGCAGGCTGCTCAGTGGGAAGGGTGAGCAATGTCACTGGTCTCCAAGTCCAAACAAAGGAGCCCTTCAGTGGCTATTTTGTTTTCTGCTTTGCCAATTAACAAGGCTGAAGAATATGCTACTCATGATTAATTCTGGAGAAAAAAATTTCATGCAACTAGAATTTTTTCCAAGATTTAAAACAAAACAAACAATATTTTCAACCCATATTCAAAATCTTCTTAGGACAGCTGATATTGTGCAGTGTGGAGAGTGCTTAGGAGAATGTGCTATTTGTTTTCACCCTTTTCCAGGCCTAGTCATCATGGTAAAGCTCAAGGCCAACAAAAGACAAATGCAGAGGCGAGGCTGCCACTGGACAAAATGTGAGTGGGCAGCCCAGAGTGGAACACAGAGGGAGCTGAGGGGTGAAGGAGGCAGCTCATCACTTGTGAGCTATGGGATTCTGGACCAGTAGCTTAACCTTGTGGAGCTCAGTCTCTTTATTTGTAAAATGGGAGACTGGACTAGATTAGGGGTCTCACCCTTCCCCATCAGGAAAGGTAATCAGCCTTTCCTGATTACCCCATTTATTGTTCTACTTCCCTGTCAACACTCCATCTTTTACTCCCTAGCCATGACTTTTTATTGGGCATAATTCTTATTCAGTACTTACAGGTTTACATTTTATCAGCAACTGTAGAATTTCTGTCCTGGCGTGTGTACATTGCAGATCATTCCTTCTGTGGATAACTGAGGGGAGAAAAAAGAAATGGAGGTTAAAAATAGAAAAGGAACTAAAACAGAGATGAAGAGATTTTTGAAATGAAAACTTGGGCAGGACCAAGGAAGACAAGCAGTAATAATCCTGGACTTTGAAAGTATTTTCAGTGGCATCTGTGAGGAGGAAAAGGGAGAGATGCATGTTCCTGGCATAGAGTTACCAAAGGCAGATGCAAGCTGCAAAACTCTGGGTATCAGAGGAGATCAATTCTCAGAGGCTTTTCCATCTCAGGCCTCCAACATATCCCTCAGACACAGATATTTAGGAAGCAAGGCCCAGAAGGTGGGAGTCAAAGTGTCTTAGAATGGGGTTCCCCAACACGCAGACTTAAGGATTTTAATGTGAGAATTTTATTTAGACATAATACAAAGAAATAAATGCAGAGTATTAACGCATCATTGCTGTGGTCAACCGGGGCTCAGTCCCTCTAGAGACCCCTGGAACACTTTGAAGCATTCTCTACTGAGTTGGTCCACCTGAGGGGTGAGAGCTGGTACATCCATCCACCAACTCTTTTTTGCTCGTGAAGACATTAACTGTCCAGTGCTTCTAGCCTGTTCCTGACCAAATTTGCTCCTGCAGCTGGAAAAAAGCCTTTAGGCAGAGTCACAGACACTTGCAGTGAGAGGCCCTTGATGTATAAGGGATATGGGCAGGACAATGGTGTGTCTGATGGAAAGCACCAAGTCATAAAATAAGAAAGACCATGAACGTTCAGAGGAAGACCAATCTCATCAAGAACTCTTCTCACTGCGGATATTTTCAGCAATCCTACAGAATCATTTATACATCTCTTATTGACACTATGGAAAAGAAGGTCCTGAAAAGTATCTTTCTAGTGAGTATGAAATGGTAAAGGGTTGAATATCCATGTTGTAGTCATAATTACTGGTTTAAGATGTATGAAACTCATATTTAGTATAAGAAAACACATTTCTAATGGTTTTCAGAAGTGTACTCCAAACATTATTTCCCCTAAGCTGATTCTCACCATATGAGTTTAAATTCTTGAACCACAAATCCCTGGCCTCAGAGTTCTTAAGAACATGATCTCCATAGTTGAAGAGCACTATTGTATAGCCTTTTGTTATTTCGTTTTTTACTTATATTGTTCAACCCCATTAGAGACTGAATTCTTTCTCTATAATGCTGCAGTTCTCTGTCCCCCTCATAGCACCCAGAACAATGCCTTATACATACTAGTTTTTCAATATGCTTGTTGATGCCATCCTAAATTTTTTCAATAGTTGCATAGTTGTATTTCCACAACTATTAAGGAATGAAATACATTTACAGGAAAAATATATTTTGACAAATAGCCAAAGATACGAACAATCCACACAAGAGGAGGAGGTTCACATAAGAGTAGAAAACAGGCCGAGCACAGTGGCTCACGCCTGTAATTCCAGCACTTTGGGAGGCCGAGGCAAGAGTGGATCACGAGGTCAGGAGATTGAGACCATCCTGGCTAACACAGTGAAACCTTGTCTCTATTAAAAATACAAAAAATCAGCGGGGTGTTGTGGCACATGCCTGTAGTCCCAGGTACTCGGGAGGCTGAGGCAGGAGAATGGCTTGAACCCAGGAGGCAGAGGTTGCAGTGAGCTGAGATTGATCCACTGCACTCCAGCCTGGGTGACAGAGCGAGACTTTGTCTCAAAAAAAAAAAAAAAAAAAAAAAAAAAAAGAAAAACAAAACACGGAAAACATACCAAGCCTCTCTAATGTTAATAATTTGATTTGGTGGAATCTATTGTTTGGTCTGTTCAGAGCTTGAGACCAGCCTGGCCAACATGGTGAAACCCCGTCTCTACTGAAAATACAAAAATTAGCCAGGCGTGGTGGTGGGCATCTGTAATCCCAGCAACTTGGGAGGCTGAGGCAGGAGAATCGCTTGAACCCGGGAGGTGGAGGTTGCAGTGAGCCGAGACTGCGCCATTGCACTCCAGCCTGGGTGACAAGAGCAAAATTCTGTCTCAAAAAAAAAAAAAAAAAAGGGTCTCACTTTGTTACCCAGGCTGGAGTGCATTGGTACAATCACAACTTAACTGCAGCCTCGACCTTCAGGGCTCAAGGCAATCCTCCCACCTCAGCCTATTGGGTAGCTGGGATCCACAGGTGCATGCCATCATACCTGACTAATTTTTTGATTTATTTTGTAGAGACGACGTCTTGCTATGTTGCCCAGGCTGGTCTCGAACTCCTAGGCTCAAGCAATCCTCTCTCCTCAGTCTCCCAAAGTGCTGGGATTACAGGCATAAGCCACCGCACTCAGTCTTATTGAGTTCTAGAATGTAATAAATGCTAAGACCTTTATGTAATAGTAGCTTACATTATTGAATGCTTACCATGTGTTATGCCAGTTCTAAGAGTTTACATATAATTAATTCTCATAATCATATGAGGTGGGTACTATTATTCCTATTTTTTAGAGAGGAAACCATGCCGCAGAGGTGGTAACTTTCTGAAGTTCACACGGATGGTAAGTGGCAGAGTCAGGATTTAAACACAGCCAGTCTGCCGGAGCTCACACTCTTAGCCATACATTATGTATTACCTCATTAAACTTTGGAAAATGTAACATAAACCAAGCAGATAATTCAAAGGAAAGAAAAGACACATGGATATGTATAGAAGCACTCATTAGTATTACTAAAAAATAGAAAAAGCTCACATTCACGCCTATAGAAAAATAGGTAGACAGCAAGTATGATACATTGATACAATAAAACATTATATTGCTGGTAACTTATGGGACTATAGAAAACAATAGCAGATGAGAAAAAGTACAATTTAGAATGATAAAATATTGGTTCATAACAACTGTGCAATTGTTTTTTATGCAAGCAGTAGAATGGAAGAAGTCTTTAGGGTTTGTGAAAACATCGGAATTTGAGGGTTTTTTTTTAGTACATGTTGCTATTGCTATTTAGATTTTTTTTCCATTGTAAAGTTGATTAAATACCCAATTAAAAGTAAATTTATTAAATATTTAATATTAAAGGAAGAGAGGCTTGTGAGGTTAAAACAGATTTTTTATTAGGAAAGTTTCATTTGAAGACCATAAATAAAAATAATAAGGTACTGCAGTGATGGTTAATTTTGGATGTCAATTTGACTGGGTTAAGGAATACCCAGATAGCTGGTAAAACATTATTTCTGGGTATGTCTGTGAGAGTGTGCCCAAAAGAGATTAGCATTTGATTCAGTAGATGGAATTAAGAAGATCCGCCCTTAACAGTGTAGGTGGGCACAATTCAATTCATTGAGGGCCCAGATAGAACAAAAATGTGGAGGAAGGGTGAATTCACTCTCTCTTTTTGAGCCGGGATGTCCATTTTCTCCTGTCCTCAGACACTGGAGTTCCTGCATCTCAGGCCTTCCTACTCCAGGACTTAGACCCAGCACAAACCTCCACCCTACCTGGTTCCCAGGCCTTTGGCCTCTGATTGAGAGTTACAACATTGCTTCTCTAGTTCTTAGGCCTTTGGGCTGAATTACACCACCAGCTTCCCTAGTTTTTCAGCATGCAGACAGCATACGATGGGCCTTCTCAGTCTTTATAATCCTGTGAGCCAATTTCCATAATAAATCCCCTCTTGTGTGTCTATACATATCCTTTTGGCTCTGTTTCTCTGGAAAGCCCTGACTAATACATGTACTAATAAGAGAAAAATTATAAATGAAGAAGGTAAACTCACATTTGCTCACGTGTCCTTGATCTGTTGTAATCCTGCCTGCCCCCTAAAGCCTTGCTCCAGTGCCACCATCCTGAAGCTGTCGACCAGAAGCTTCCTCTGGGCCAATGTGATACTTAATTTGTTTCTCTCTCTCAAGGCACTTGCCTGTTTTCACCTTGTTTTATTGCTGTCTGTGTATTTGGCCTCCTCTTAACCATAAGCCCTATAAAGGTAGCTACCATGTGTCTTCATTTTTTATTTTTTTACTGTATTCATTCTGAGGCAGACTCTCTGTTGCCCAGGCTGGAGTGCAGTGGGCCAAGATGGCGCCACCTCCCGAGTTCATGCAATCATTGTGCCTCGGCCTCCCAAGTAGCTGGAACTATAGGTGCGCACCATTATGCCCAGCTAATTTTTGTATGTTTTATAGAGGTGGGGTTTCATCATGTTGGCCAGGCTGGTCTTTATCTGCTGATCTCAAGTGATCTGCCCACCTCAGCCTCCCAAAGTGCTGGGATTGCAGGAGAGGCATGAGCCACTGCATCTGGCTGTGTCTTCAACATCTTTGTAGGCCCCAGTTTTGCCCCACATAATGCCTTACACCTGGTGGATGCCGAACATATGCTTGTCACATGATTTAACTCTTTTCACAAAAGTAAATGAAAGACTTCGAAGACACAGTTTTGAACAATAAGCAACTGTGATCAGGGATATTAGAATGGTTGTCCTTAGGAAAGTTCTTTCTTCTGCAAGATTGAGGAGGTAAGTGGTGCAGCTCTGATGGACCCCAGAAGGACAGCAGGAACATAAGGTGATTTTGATTCCATGAGCTCTGAGGACAACATGTCTGTTTTTTTTTTTTAAAGGCATGTTTCCTTTTCTAGCTCCTTTAATCATAGTTCATTGGAATGAACAAAGTGGATTGGACATTCTTTTTCTATTTTTATTTTAATTTTAGATTCAGGGGGTACATATGCAGGTGTTACAAGGGTATATTGCATGGGGCTGAGGTGTAAGCTTCTATTGATCCATCACCCAGATAGCGAACATAGTATCCAGTAGGAAGCTTTTCAGCCCTTGCTCCCTCCCTCCTTTTGGAGTCCCCAGTGTCTACTACTCTCATCTTTATGAATATTCTTTCTAACTAATAGAAGTTTTCTTGTCATGCCAATGACTATATTGGTCTTTTACCAAGTAGAAAATGACATATGGTGTCAAAAATGAATTTTTCAAGGCCCAAGGATTCTAAACCCTCTTCATGCTGATTGCAACCTTGAAGACAATGTAGCTCTGACTTGGATGGCATATAAAATGTCTGATGGTTCTTCCTTCCCTCTCTGTCTGACGTGCAGGAACACCTTGAAAGTTGGAATTGTAAGCTCTTTGAGTTCAGTAACTAGGTTATAAATTATATACAATATATGAACAATGCCTAGTTAAATTTTAACTGCTATGATTTTATCTACTACCAGTCACAAAGATGTAAATGCCTCCTTTCCCTACTCGTCTGTAAGCAGATAATTCCTCTGTCTTGCTCATTAAAATACATTGAGTCCCCCTTGGAATTTTTCTTTGCGTAGCTTTTAGTTTATTGTCTGTCCTTTCATCACTAGAATTTAAGTTTCATGAGAGCAAAGATATTGTCTGTTTTGTTCAACTGTTGTGTCCTGAAAGCCTACAACAGTGCCTGGTGCTCAATAAATACTGTATGTTGAATAAATGAATGAATAAGTAAGCATAGTTCTGGTTGTGGATTTAGAAGTCTTTTGTATTACCCTGAATATCTTACATGCACACACACAAATATGACTCTGCTGTGACCCTCCCTCCCCTTCTGCCCTTCCCCACCAGCTCATCACATGCACTAAGTAATTGTTGGCTATGCATAAGGATCCATCTGGCTTTCACTGGAGAAAAACTGAAAATAGTTTGCTTTTACGAAAACTCATGTGGGGAACTTACATCTCAAAAAAGATGTTTGTAATACCAAAATGTATTTTGTTTTATTAAATCCAGATTGTTGGGTGGAGTGCCTTAGCTAAAAGTCACTCTCAAGCAAAATGAATTGCTTGTTATTCTCACAAAGAATTTACAGGAAGCAATTTGTAAAGGTTGCCATCAGGCTGAAGTCATTGTTGGCACTTGGAATCACTGTGTCATCAACCTCAGAGCAATCATTTAACCTGGGTCTGCTCAGAGAAATCAACATAATGCAAGGAAAATTGAATTCTACTGCCTCAGATTACAATCACTTTTACATTATTCCAATTTGATCCTGGAGTTTAAAATATTTGGCCTATCAGTTTCTCTTATCTTGCCACCATGTAGAAATGTCTTTTTACATGTGCTTAACACTGGTCCCGTCATTACCAGCTAGTTCACAAATAGCTTTAAAAAACCTACACTTTCCTCTTTGTGCTCTGGAAGTTGCTGTAGGAATAGCTAGGAAACTAATGGTTTGCCATCTATTCAGGCCCATTTCATCCAGTAGCCTGCCTGCTGGTTAAATAGCAAAAATAATTCTACTCCTCTTGAGTGAACTATCCTCCAATCTGACAGATGGGAGAATTATTGTAGGTAGGCCTATGAGGGCATCATTATATCAGGGAAACACTGAATCCCGGCATGAAATGAAGATGGACAGGCCTGTGCTCCCAATTTCTCCCAATGCATTTATTCTCATCACTCTGGGAAAATAGGACTAAAAAGATGGGAACACAGATTCATATCATTAGCAAATGTTAGATCAGTTCCCTATATTTCTAAAACCAGTTTCCAGCACCAAATTGGAAAACAAGGTTTTGACAAAACCACAATGATCATTTTTAAACCTTATCCAAAAAAATGATAATTCATTTACTGATTCTGCAAAAATATATGGAATGCTGTGAGCAATCACCACAAAGTAGACTCTGAAAATAACATAGAAACATCGTACTGCACAGATTCCTCAACTAAGTGATTTTGAATGAGTGTTTTCCTTGCTATGTACATTGAGAATAGTCATATACTGACTTTTAGATCCCTTGACTGCCTCAGATGGAAGCTGCAGAACCATCAGGTGTAAGTGCTTCAGGATGTTGCAATTATTCTAGAAGAAGACTGAAGAGAGAAGTATGTGGTTCTCTCTCTCTCCTCTCCAAACACAACCACAGCCTTCGTTTAGCAGCTGAGATTGCTGTTTAGAAGTCTTGTCATCCAGCCAGTCTGCTTTTTGGACCTCCCAAGTTGAATAAGATTTCTTAATTGAGTCAAGCCATACATCTGCTGACTGTCTTAGACCAGTGTGGCCTGTTGGCTGTTTTCACCCTCCAACAGCTAATGCTTGTGGCGGGACTTGATGTGGCCCGATAACACTTCCATAGCCAACCTGTTGTTCCTATCACTTCTCCATTCCACAGCTGATTAGACAGCTTCCTGTCCATGGTTCTTATGCATCTGGGCCAAAGAAATTAATTTGCACTCATTATTCATAGTTGCAGCTGACTAACTGGACTCGGGTCACTTTTTTTGTCTCATCAGATAATGAAAGTCTACTTAGTTAATTATTGCAATATTTGGTCAACAGATACCTATTGGAAACTTACTATGTACCCAGTACTGTGCAAGGTGAGTAGGATACAACAGACCATACAAGTTCTAGTAGCCTAAAGAAATTAATATACTTCTCTAATTTCTTCCTAGTTTTGCAATTTTTTAATTTTTTTTTGAGACAGGGTTTCACTCTGTCATGCAGGCTGGAGCGCAGTGACACAATCGTGGCGCACTGCAGCCTCAACCTCCTGGGCTCAAGCGATCCTCCCACCTCAGCCTCCTATGTAGCTGAGACTACAGGCACTCATCACCATGCCCAGGTAATTTTTCTGTTTTTTGTAGAGATGGGTTTTGCCATGTTGCCCAGGCTGGTCTTGAACTCCTGAGATCAAGAGATCTGCCCACTTTGGCTTCCCAAAGTGATGGGATTACAAGTGTGTGCCACCATGCCCAGCAGCTATTTTTAATTTGAATAAATGTTTTAAAAATTATGTATGAAACCATAACTCCTTCCATAAGCTAATACTTTAAGCTTAAGCAAATTGTCATCTCTCTAGAGGTTTCATTAACACTTACTCACTGTTGTTGTTGTTGTTTTTTTTACTTACTCATTTATGAGTTTAAGAATATTTACTACCTTAGACATCTGAGATATATTTTGGGATAAGGTATGAAGTATTTGATTTAAAGTAATTTTTTTTTTCTTGAGATGGAGCCTCGATCTGTCACCCAGGCTGGAGTGCAGTGGTGCGATCTCAGCTCACTGCAACCTCTGCCTCCCGGGTTTAAGCGATACTCCCACCTCAGCCTCCAGAGTAGCTAGGAGTACAGGTATGCATCACCGGGCCTGGCTAATTTTTGTATTTTTAGTAGAGATGGGGTTTCACCATGTGGGCCAGGCTGGTCTTGAACTCCTGACCTCAAGTGATCTGCCCGCCTCAGCTTCCCAAAGTGTTGGGATTACAGGCGTAAGCCACCACTCCGGCCATCTAAAATAATTTAATTCCAAGTTCTAATGAATGTCTCCCATAAATGTGTATTTTCAAATCTTCATTATTTTATGTTGTATTTTGTCATTTATTTAATCCTTATGTATAACAGTCTATTTCTGGGGTTTCTCTTCTGTTTCCGTGACATATTGTTATTTCACTTCCTCATTTTCCTTTCTCTTTTTTAGAATATTTTTATCTTCATCTCTTTATTTTCCTAGATGAATATTATAACATTCTTCTAAATTCTAAAAAGAATCTCATTGTGATTTTGTTTGGGATTGAATTCATTTTTTTAAATAACATTGAGTTGACATATTTGCAATATTTTATTCTTCCTGGGTATTATGACCCAACAAGTTTTATTATTTTGTTTATATAGCCAAACAATTATTAAGTCTACTTCTCTCTTTACATATTTTATTGCTATTGTAAATTATACCTTTTTAAAATTAGGTTTTTCTAGATTGTAATTGTTGATATTTAGGAATATTAATGACTTTTCTATATTTTATATTTTATCTGGCTATTTACTGTTCTATTAAGCCTAAAAATGTTAGCTGATTCCTTGGGCATTTTGTTAGATACATAATGGTTTTCAAATAATAAGGTTTTTGTTTCTACCATTACTTATTTCTCTTGGGTTTATATTATCTCTTTTCTTACATTGGCTTGAACTCCCAGAATAATATTAAATTGAAATGATGCTAGATGGCACATCTCTAATTATTTTTCTTTTTAAAAAAATTATAATTTTTTTTCTTCTAAAAAAAAAAAACCAGGATATATGTGCAGAATGTGCAGGTTTGTTACATAGGTATATGTATGCCATGGTGGCTTGCTACACCTATTGACCCGTCCTTTAAGTTCCCTCCCCTCACCCCACCATGCCCCAACAGGCCCTGGTATGTGTTGTTCCCCTCTCTGTATCCATGTGTTCTCATTGTTCAACTCCCACTTATGAGTGAGAACATGTGGTATTTGGTTTTCTGTTCCTGTTTTAGTTTGCTAAGGATGATGGCTTCCAGCTTCATGCACGTCCCTGCAAAGGACTTGATCTCATTCCTTTTTATGGCTGCATAGTATTCCATGGTGTATATGTACCACATTTTCTTTATCTAGTCTATCATTGATGGGCATTTGGGTTGGTTCCGTGTCTTTGCTATTGCAAGTAGTGCTGCAATAAACATACACGTCCATGTGTCTTTATAGTAGAATGACTTATATTCCTTTGGGTATATACCCAGTAATGGGATGGCTGGGTCAAATGGTATTTCTTGTTCTAGATCCTTGAGGAATGGCCATACTGTCTTCCACAATGGTTGAACTAATTTACATTCCCACCAACAGTGTAAAAGCGTTCCTATTTCTCCACATCCTCTCCAGCATCTGTTGTTTCCTGACTTTTTAATAATTGCTATTCTGACTGACGTGAGATGGTATCTCACTGTGGTTTTGATTTGCATTTCTCTGATGATCAGTGATGTTGAGCTTTTTTTCATATGTTTGTTGGACGTGTAAATGTCTTCTTTTGAGAAGTGTCTGTTCACATTCTTTGCCCACTTTTTGTTGGGGTTGTTTGTTTTTCTCTTGTAAATTTGTTTAAGTTCTTGTAGATTCTAGATATTAGCCCTTTGTCAGATGGATAGATTGCAAAATTTTTCTCCTATTCTGTAGCTTGCCTGTTCACTCTGATGATAGTTTCTTTTGTTGTGCAGAAGCTCTTTAGTTTAATTAGATCCCATTTGTCAATTTTGGCTTTTGTTGCAATCGCTTTTGGCATTTTTGTCACGAAGTCTTTGCCCATGCCTATGTCCTGAATGGTATTGGCTAGGCTTTCTTCCAGGGTTTTTATCTTTTGGGTTTTACATTTAAATCTTTAATCCATCTTGAGTTAATTTTTGTATAAGGTGTAAGGAATGGGTCCATTTTGAGTTTTCTGCATATGGCTAGCCAGTTTTCCCAGCACCATTTACTGAATAGGAGAGCCTTTCCCTATTGCTTGTTTTTGTCAGGTTTGTCAAAGATCAGATGGTTGTAGATGTGCGGTGTTATTTCTGAGGTCTCTGTTCTGCTCCATTGGTCTATATATCTGTTTTGATACCAGTACAATGCTGCTTTGGTTACTGTAGCCTAGTAGTATAGTTTAAGTCAGGTAGCATGATGCCTCCAGCTTTGTTCTTTTTGCTTAGGATTGTCTTGGCTGTACGGGGTCTTCTTTGATTCCATGTGAAATTTAAAATAGTTTTTTCCAATTCTTTGAAGAATGTCAATGGTAGTTTGATGGGAATAGCACTGAATCTATAAATTTGGGCAGTATGGCCATTTTCACGATATTGAGAAGGCAAATCTCTATAACATCATCTCAGATACTTCCTCTCATGCCTTAAGCTAATCAGAAACAGTGAGGAAAGAAGAGTAGCACAAAGTTTGGGATAAAACATTGCTATATGGAAAAGTTGGCCTTTCATAAATTTCATAGCTATGACTAAATTTTCCTTCTTAGTGTTTTGGCTAAGATCTAGTAATTGTGGTACTATTATTAAAATTGAATTAGAAACTGGAAATGTATTTGTCATAAGGCTTATTCTAAAACCTCAGGTTGACATTGCTATAACTGTCACAAAATTATAGTTTGAATGTCAGGTTTCCTCCAAAAATAGTATTTCATGCTGATTTAAAAGGCAATGTAGCTAGTAAGGAATAAATTATGATTTTGAATAACAATATCAAGAATGTTCATTCTTCTAATGTGCTAGCTTCTAGAAAAGCTACCGGAAGTCAACATTATATGAGAAGCTGACTTTTTCCATAAATATGATGGCATAATAAATTCAGAATTGAATTTATAACTATGGATCAAATATCCAAATTTCCCTAGCAATGACTACAAACACCATATTAAATAAAATATATAAATGTTATATAATATAAAGCTTTGTTAAGGTTATGTGTAAACTAACCTATTAATTTACTAACTAGGGCAACACAGTAACACATCATGTGACTTTAGATTTCCTAGAGTATCATTATGTTTTATAAACATTTCCCATTGTCATTTCTTCCTATTTTAAATGAAGTAAATTAAAATGTGAAGGAACACATTTATCAAGGTCATAAATTGCAGAAGGGCTTCTTTGGAGTGTTGGTTTAGAGCAAGGGCTTAGAGTAGAGGTTTTGGAGTAAGGCATACTGGGGTACAAAGCCTGGTTCTGCCCGTCATTCATTTAAAAGCATTTCGTGGCCAGGTGTGGTGGTCACACCTGTAATCCCAGCACTTTGAGAGGTCAAGATGGGAGAATCACTTGAGGCCAGGAGTTTGAGACCAGCCCGGGCAACATAATGAGGCTCTGTCTCTACAAAAAAATTTTTAAAAATTAGCTGGGCATGATGGAATGCACCTATGGTCACAGCTACTTGTAGGCTAAGGCGGGAGGATTCTTGAGCTTGAGAGGTTGAGGTTGCAGTGACCTGGGTGACAGAGCGAGACCTTGTCTCAAAAAAAAAATGTAGTGAGTTATAGATGCTGGGGATATAACAATACACAAAACAGAAAATATCCCTGATCTCATGGAGTTTACATTTTAGTACCATTTATTAGTCACTATGTTTAGAAAGACTTTTTTTTATATCTAGGAGCTTCAACTTCCTCATTTGTAAAGTGAGAATAATAGTATTTGCCTCATAGAATCATTTTAAAAATGAAATGAGACAACGTATGTAAAGCATCTAGCTCATGTAAGAACTCAATAACTGGTAGCTGGTTTTTGTATTTTAAACATCTGCTTTTTAGAAAAATTGTTAGAGATACTCATGGTAGAAAAGGATAACATTTAAATAATTTATAATCTTATTATCTAGAGATAACTGCTATCTTATTAGTATTTTAATATTTACTTCTAGATTTTCTACTATGCATATATTTTTAAAGAGACAATCCTATATCCATTTCACTCAATTGCCCTTTAGGAGGGTTGAACCAGTGTATACTCCCACCAGTCATATGTGGAAGTGCCTGTCTCTCTCTGGGGAGATTTAACATCAATTGAAAACTTTTTGAAAGAATGCTGCCCTTATTATACCATGCAAATTTTGCTATAGCTATTGACTATCACTTCCAAGTAAAAAAGACCACCAGGTCTATGCATAAGTAGAGAACTTGACATAGTGTCCTCCTCCTCCTTTTCCTCTTTCTTCCTCCTCCTCCTCCTTCTTTCTTCTTCTTCTTTTAAGAGAGATAAAGTCTGTATCTCTCTGTCACCCAGGTTGGAGTACAGTGGCATGATCATAGCTCACTGCAGCCTCAAACTCCTGGGCTCAAGCGATCCTAAAAACAGAGTGTCTTCTAAAGCTATGTATGGACTAGAATCATAACCAGAGCCAGAAAACCATCAGGGCACCAAGAAATTATTCTCTCTGCCTCCCTCTCACAACCCTCATCAGCAGACTCATGGCATTTCTGCTTCTCTCAGTGCACCTGCTGACCCCATCTTCCAGAGCCTGGTTTCCAGCTTGCACAAGGCCTGTAGTGGCCGCTTCATGACATTTCAGTCCAGCTCTTATGGTTATTTAACCTCACTTCAGTTTTTTCAATTCCAAATTCCTGAACAAGGAGTGTAATTGACCCAGCCTATCTTCTTCTGAATTAGTACATCCAAGTCTGGAGTCACTGAACAGCCTCGGCTCAAGTGCCTATCCTTTAATCTGATCAGCTGTGGCCAGGGGACAGAGTCATGTGATATAGAGCATGACCATTAGAGCATCTGGGGGTGTGGGCAGGGAAGGGCATATGAGAAGTGAGGCATATCTGGAACATTCTAACCAAGGATCTTTGCCAGGATAAGGGGTAGTCTAATAGAAATAATTTTGATGGTCAAATATTTGGAGGATATTTTAATGGTTTCTTCAGGTAATATTTAGAATATTTGATATGTAAACTGCCCCCTCAAATTGAGAATGTATAATCACCATTTCTAGAGTAAGCAAGGTGTACTAGAAAAAATCATAGACTCTTAAATCAGATGATTTTATAGTAACGTATAGCAAATACTCAATAAGTATTACATACAAATGATAGAAGGTTTAAAGATCAGGTTATCTGTCATTCTGCTGCCTTGAAAATAGATTTTCTGCTTTCTTGAACTACCCATTTCATCAGCAGTAAGAGCTTTCCTTTGTAATCTGAAGTTATGGAGATGACATTTGTCTTTAAAATGTAGGAACTAATCCTAACTAGTGGTGATTTTTCATCTTTTGATTCTGCTTAGCGTACTGGGTCATCACTGTATC
This sequence comes from Homo sapiens, assembly GCF_000001405.40. Taxonomy (NCBI): domain Eukaryota; kingdom Metazoa; phylum Chordata; class Mammalia; order Primates; family Hominidae; genus Homo; species Homo sapiens. The sequence continues at coordinate 62,604,101 of NC_000002.12, forward strand.
AAAGAGCTTCTGAATGTGGGCTAAAATAATGGCTAAACTCAAAGTCACATAGCCTTGAATATAATCCTCTATCTACAAAATCAAATATCTTCTTATCTCAGGGCCTAGTTCTGATTTTTGTCTTATACAAATGAATTGGTGGGAGAAAATTATTTGCAAACCACATATTCAGTAAAGGCTTTACGTCAAGAATATATATAAATAGCTCAAAACTCAACAGTAAAAACCAAACAGTTCAATTTTTAAATGAGCAAAAAGCATAGAGAAAAATTTCACAGAAGACAGTGTAGGAGAGGCAAATAAGCACATCCCAACACGATCAAGATCATTAGTCATTAGAGAAGTGCAAACTGAAACCACAACAAGGCATCACTACACACATTTTGGAATGGATAAAGGGAAAACATAGTGATAATAACGGAAACTGGCAAGGATCCAGAGAAGATGGGTCATACATTGCAGGTGAGATTGTAAAATGGTACAGCCTCTCTGGAAAGGAGACATTTTCTAACAAAACTAAACATGTGACTCAGCAGTTGAGCACTCTTGGGCATGTATTCCAGAAAAATGAAAACTTATGTTCACACAAAAATCTGAATGTGGATGTTTACTACAGCATTATTTGTGCTAGCAAAATACTCAGAATAACCCAAATGCCCTTTAATGGTTGAATGATTGAACAAACCCTGGTACATTCATACCATGGAATACCACTCAGCAATCAAAAGGAATGAATTATTGATACATGAAACAACCTGCATAAACCTCAGAGGTGTTATGCTTAGTGAAAAAAGTCAATCTCAAAAGGTTCCATGCAGTAAGACTCCATGTAAATAACGTGTTTGAAGTAAAAGCAATTAGAGATTGAGAACAGATTAGCAGTTGCCAAGTGACAAGGAGACAGGTTAGGTAGGGGGTACAAATACAGGCAGATAGCATGAAAGATTTCTTTTGCAATGATTGAACAGCTGTATCTTGATTGTAATGGTGGTTATACAAATTTATATAGGGGATAAAATTGCATAGAATTAGGCACACATGCACACACCCATGTACATGCAAATGAATGCAGGTTAAACAATGGTGACAACTGAGTAACATAGCAACTGTGATGGGTACATTAACAGTAATGTGCCTGGGGTGGAGCCAAGATGGCCGAATAGGAACAGCTCCAGTCTACAGCTCCCATCGTGAGCAACGCAGAAGATGGGTGATTTCTGCATTTCCAACTAAGGTACCGGGCTCATCTCACTGGGGAGTGTCAAAAAGTAGGTGCAGGACAGTGGGTGCAGTGCACCGAGCGTGAGCCAAAGCAGGGCAAGGCATCGCTTCACCTGGGAAGCTCAAGAGGTCAGGGAATTCCCTTTCCTAGTCAAAGAAAGGGGTGACAGATGGCACCTGGAAAATCGGGTCACTCCCACGCTAATACTGCTCTTTTCCAATGGTCTTAGCAAACGGCACACCAGGAGATTATATCCCGCACCTGGCTCAGAGGGTCCCACGCCCGCGGAGCCTCGCTCATTGCTAGCACAGCAGTCTGAGATCACACTGCAAGGTGGCAGCAAGGCTGGGGGAGGGGCGCCCGCCACTGCCGAGGCTTGAGTAGGTAAACAAAGCTGCCAGGAAGCTCGAACTGGGTGGAGCCCACCGCAGCTCAAGGAGGCCTGCCTGCCTCTGTAGACTCCACCTCTGGGGGCAGGGAATAGCCAAACAAAAGGGAGCAGAATCCTCTGCAGACTTAAATGTCCCTGTCTGACAGCTTTGAAGAGAGTAGTGGTTCTCCCAGCATGCAGCTGGAGATCTGAGAACAGACAGACTGCCTCCTCAAGTGGGTCCCTGACCCCCGAGTTGCCTATCTGGGAGGCAGCCCCCAGAAGGGGCAGACTGACACCTCACACGGCCAGGTACCCCTCTGAGACGAAGCTTCCAGAAGAATGATCAGGCAGCAACATTTGCTGTTCAGCAATATTCACTGTTCTGCAGCCTCCGCTGCTGATACCCAGGCAAACAGGGTCTGGAGTGGACCTCCAGCAAACTCCAACACACCTGCAGCTGAGGGTCCTGTCTGTTAGAAGGAAAACTAACAAACAGAAAGGACATCCACACCAAAACCCCATCTGTACGTCACCATCATCAAAGACCAAAGGTAGATAAAACCACAAAGATGGGGAAAAAACAGAGCAGAAAAACTGGAAACTCTAAAAATCAGAGTGCATCTCCTCCTCCAAAGGAATGCAGCTCCTCACCAGCAATGGAACAAAGCTGGATGGAGAGTGACTTTGACGAGTTGAGAGAAGAAGGCTTCAGACGATCAAACTACTCCGAGCTAAAGGAGGAAGTTCGAACCCCTAGCAAAGAAGTTAAAAACATTGAAAAAAAAATTAGATGAATGGCTAACTAGAATAACCAATGCAGAGAAGTCCTTAAAGGACCTGATGGAGCTGAAAACCATGGCACCAGAACTATGTGACGAATGCACAAGCCTCAGTAGCTGATTCAATCAACTGGAAGAAAGGGTATCAGTGATGGAAGATCAAATGAATGAAATAAAATGAGAGGAGAAGTTTAGAGAAAAAAGAATAAAAAGAAACGAACAAAGCCTCCAAGAAATATGGGACTATGTGAAAAGGCCAAATCTACATCTGATTGGTGTACCTGAAAGTGACGGGGAGAATGGAACCAAGTTGGAAAACACTCTGCAGGATATTATCCAGGAGAACTTCCCCAATCTAGCAAGGCAGGCCAACATTCAAATTCAGGAAAAACAGAGAAAGCCACAAAGATACTCCTTGAGAAGAGCAACTCCAAGACACATAATTGTCAGATTCACCAAAGTTGAAATGAAGGAAAAAGTGTTAAGGGCAGCTAGAGACAAAGGTCGGGTTACTCACAAAGGGAAGCCCATCAGACTAACAGCGGATCCCTCGGCAGAAACTACAAGCCAGAAGAGAGTGGGGGCCAATATTCAACATTCTTAAAGGAAAGAATTTTCAACCCAGAATTTCATATCCAGCCAAACTAAGCTTCATAAGTGAAGGAGAAATAAAATACTTTACAGAAAAGCAAACGTTGAGAGATTTTGTCACCACCAGGACTGCCCTAAAAGAGCTCCTGAAGGAAGCACTGAACATGGAAAGGAACAACCGGTACCAGCCACTGCAAAAACATGCCAAATCGTAAAGACCATCGATGCTAGGAAGAAACTGCATCTACTAACGAGCAACATAACCAGCTAACATCATAATGACAGGATCAAATTCACACATAACAATATTAACCTTAAATGTAAATGGGCTAAAGGTGCCAATTAAAAGACACAGACTGGCAAATTGGATAAAGAATCAAGAACCATCAGTGTGCTGTATTCAGGAAACCCATCTCACGTGCAGAGACACAGATAGGCTCAAAATAAAGGGATGCAGGAAGATCTACCAAGCAAATGGAAAACAAAAAATGGCAGGGGTTGCAATCCTAGTCTCTGATAAAACAGACTTTAAACCAACAATGATCAAAAGAGACAAAGAAGGTCATTACATAATGGTAAAGGGATCAATTCAACAAGAAGAGCTAACCTAAATATACATGCACCCAATGCAGGAGCATCCAGATTCATAAAGCAAGTCCTTAGAGACCTAGAAAGAGACTTAGACTGCCACCCAATAATAATGGGAGACTTTAACACCCCACTGTCAACATTAGACAGATCAATGAGACAGAAAGTCAACAAGGATACCCAGGAATTGAACTCAGCTCTGCACCAAGCGGACCTAATAGACATCTACAGAACTCTCCATCCCAAATCAACAGAATATACATTCTTCTCAGCACCACACCGCACTTATTCCAAAATTGACCACATAGTTGGAAGTAAAGCACTTCTCAGCAAATGTAAAAGAACAGAAATTATAGCAAACTATCTCTCAGACCACAGTGCAATCAAACTAGAACTCAGGATTAAGAATCTCACTCAAAACCGCTCAACTACATGGAAACTGAACAACCTGCTCCTGAATGACTACTGGATACATAACGAAATGAAGGCAGAAATAAAGATGTTCTTTGAAACCAACGAGAACAAAGACACAACATACCAGAATCTCTGGGACACATTCAAAGCAGTGTGTAGAGGGAAATTTATAGCACTAAATGCCCACAAGAGAAAGCAGGAAAGATCTAAAATTGACACCCTAACATCACAATTAGAAGAACTAGAGAAGCAAGAGCAAACACATTCAAAAGCTAGCAGAAGGCAAGAAATAACAAAGATCAGAGCAGAACTGAAGGAGATAGAGACACAAAAAGCCCTTCAAAAATCCAATGAATCCAGGAGCTGGTTTTTTGAAAGGATCATCAAAATTGATAGACTGCTAGCAAGACCAATAAAGAAGAAAAGAGAGAAGAATCAAATAGATGCAATAAAAAATGATAAAGGAGATATTACCACTGATTCCACAGAAATACAAACTACCATCAGAGAATACTATAAACACCTCTACGCAAATAAACTAGAAAATCTACAAGAAATGGATAAATTCCTCGACACATACACTCTCCCAAAACTAAACCAGGAAGAAGTTGAATCTCTGAATAGACCAATAACAGGCTCTGAAATTGAGGCAATAATTAATAGCTTACCAACCAAAAAAAGTCCAGGACCAGATGGATTCACAGCCGATTTCTACCAGAGGTAGAAGGAGGAGCTGGTACCATTCCTTCTGAAACTATTCCAATCAATAGAAAAGGAGGGATTCCTCCCTAACTCATTTTATGAGGCCAGCATCATCCTGATACCAAAGCCTGGCAGAGACACAACAAAAAAAGAGAATTTTAGACCAATATCCCTGATGAACATCGATGCAAAAATCCTCAGTAAAATACTGGCAAACTGAATCCAGTAGCACATCAAAAAGCTTATCCACCATGATCAAGTGGGCTTCATCCCTGGGATGCAAGGCTGGTTCAACATATGCAAATCAATAAACGTAGTGCAGCATGTAAACAGAACCAAAGACAAAAACCGCATGATTATCTCAATAGATGCAGAAAAGACCTTTGACAAAATTCAGCAACACTTCATACTAAAAACTCTCAATAAATTAGGTATTGATGGGACGTATCTCAAAATAATAAGAGCTATCTATGACAAACCCACAACCAATATCATACTGAATGGGCAAAAACTGGAAGCATTCCCTTTGAAAACTGGCACAAGACAGGGATGCCCTCTCTCACCACTCCTATTCAACATAGTGTTGGAAGTTCTGGCCAGGGCAATCAGGCAGGAGAAGGAAATAAAGGGCATTGAATTAGGAAAAGAGGAAGTCAAATTGTCCCTGTTTGCAGATGACATGATTGTATATCTAGAAAACCCCATCGTCTCAGCCCAAAATCTCCTTAAGCTGATAGGCGACTTCAGCAACGTCTCAGGATACAAAATCAATATGCAAAAATCAAAGCATTCTTATACACCAATAACAGACAGAAAGCCAAATCATGAGTGAACTCCCATTCACAATTGCTCCAAAGAGAATAAAATACCTAGGAATACAGCTTACAAGGGACATGAAGGACCTCTTCAAGGAGAACTACAAACCACTGCTCAGTAAAGTAAAAGAGGATACAAACAAATGGAAAAACATTCCATGCTCATGGGTGGGAAGAATCAATATCATGAAAATGGCCATACTGCCCAAGGTAATTTATAGATTGAATGCCATCCCCATGAAGCTACCAATGACTTTCTTCACAGAATTGGAAAAGACTACTTTAAAGTTCTTATGGAACCAAACAAGAGCCCACATTGTAAAGTCAATCCTAAGCCAAAAGAACAAAGCTAGAGGCATCACGCTACCTGACTTCAAACTATACTACAAGGCTACAGTAACCAAAACAGCATGGTACTGGTACCAAAACAGAGATATAGATCAATGGAACAGAACAGAGCCCTCAGAAATAATGCTGTGTATCTACAACTATCTGATCTTTGACAAACCTGAGAAAAACAAGCAATGGGGAAAGGATTCCCTGTTTAATAAATGTTGCTGGGAAAACTGGCTAGCCATATGTAGAAAGCTGAAACTGGATCCCTTCCTTACACCTTGTACAAAAATTAATTCAAGATGGATTAAAGACTTAAATGTTAGACCTGAAAACATAAAAACCCTAGAAGAAAACCTAGGCAATACCATTCAGGACATAGGCATGGGCAAGGACTTCATGTCTAAAACACTGAAAGCAATGGCAACAAAAGCCAAAATTGACAAATGGGATCTAATTAAACTAAAGAGCTTCTGCACAGCAAAAGAAGCTACCATCAGAGTGAACAGGCAACCTACAGAATGGGAGAAAATTTTTGCAATCTACTCATCTGACAAAGGGCTAATATCCAGAATCTACAATGAACTCAAACAAATTTACAAGAAAAAAACAAACAACCCCATCAAAAAGTGGGCGAAGGATATGAACAGACACTTCTCAAGAGAAGACATTTATGCAGCCAGCAGACACATGAAAATATGCTCATCATCACTGGCCATCAGAGAAATGCAAATCAAAACCACAATGAGATACCATCTCACACCAGTTAGAATGGCAATCATTAAAAAGTCAGGAAACAACAGGTGCTGGAAAAGATGTGGAGAAATAGGAACACTTTTACACTGTTGGTGGGACTGTAAACTCGTTCAACCATTGTGGAATTCAGTGTGGCGATTCCTCAGGGATCTAGAACTAGAAATACCATTTGACCCAGCCGTCCCATTACTGGGTATATACCCAAAGCATTATAAATCATGCTGCTATAAAGACACATGCACATGTATGTTTATTGTGGCACTATTCACAATAGCAAAGACTTGGAACCAAGCCAAATGTCCAACAATGATAGACTGGATTAAGAAAATGTGGCACATATACCCCATGGAATACTATGCAGCCATAAAAAATGATGAGTTCATGTCCTTTGTAGGGACATGGATGAAGCTGGAAACCATCATTCTCAGCAAACTATCGCAAGGACAAAAAAACCAAACACCGCATGTTCTCACTCATAGGTGGGAATTGAACAATGAGAACACATGGACACAGGAAGGGGAACATCACACACTGGGGCCTGTTGTGGGGTGGGGGGAGGGGGGAGGGATAGCATTAGGAGATATACCTAATATTAAATGACGAGTTAATGGGTGCAGCACACCAGCATGGCACATGTATGCATATGTAAGAAACCTGCACGTTGTGCACACGTACTCTAAAACTTAAAGTATAATAAAAAAATAACAGTAATGTGCCAATGTCAATTTCTTGGTTTTGATATTATACTATCCCTTTATAAGATGTCATCATGTAGGGCACATGGGACTCCTTATACTATATTTGCAACTTTCTGTGATTCTAAAATTATTTCAAAATAAGAGGTTTTAAAAAATGCAGTGCAACCATTATATAGTTCTGATACCTTCTTTCTTTTATCAACTATTTTAAAGGATATTTAAGAATTGGATTTGCCAAAGTTAATGATGCTGCTATTTTAAAAACAAGCTTGTCCAAAAGGAGTATTATATTTTTAAGTTGTCATCTTGAAAGTTTGACCACTTATGCAAATGTCTGGGCCATTGCATATAAAATGTTTCAGAAATCCTCTTTTGTAACCACCTTCAGAGATTAGCTATAGGCAAGTATGAAACCTTTTATTTTATAGGACACTCTTTTAAGCTAAGATGTTTTCTTCCCACCTCCCTTTACACAAATCGGGCACTATAAGAAAAAGGAGAAGAAAGTCCATCTGTTTATTCAAATCCAAAGAAGGTCTTTCCTTTCTTTCAGTAACCAGAAATCTGTGCTGTGAACTTTTCAAATGTGGGACATTGTTCGATGTGATGAAAGATTGTAAATTTTCTTCATGTTAATTCCTTTCGTTGTTGCCAAGATGTGGGGTATTTGAAAGAACTTGAAGCAGCATTCATTCATTTTAAAGCAGTTAAATAGCTAAGTCATGGAAACATTTGATTTTTTTAAATTGACATTCTCTTTGCTCTTTGGTCTCTTGGGAATCAAATGCCCCTAAGAGATGCAGCTCCATCATTGCTCATAAGACTGTATTTTCTTACTAATGGGATCAGAAGCTGAGAAAGGAAAAAGAAATACATCATTTATTTGTTCAAGGAAGTACAGATATTGAGACTTAAACTGACCATGTGGATTTTACAGCATTTACCTGAAGCACTCATTCATTTCCTGTTGAAGAGCTACTCTTGGCTTCATGGAATCACAGATTTTGAAGTATCATATGACTGTAGTAGAAATAAAGTCACAACTTCAAAAGAGATTTACAAATTTTGATGACATGATTCATACTATGAGTTTCTTCAATTGCGCTTATATTATAAACTCTAAATTAATAAGTTTTCTCTAGCCAAGTTGCTCAATTTTAAGAGAAACTCATTAAACTAACAGCAATACCAAATCTCTGAAATTTTAGAGGCAAGCATATGAATCCGAGTATTATACTAAATTTTATGGCTATGGGACCAATTCTGGCTAACATTTGGATTTATCTGATTGTAAAAAAGTATATCTTTTTTTAAAAAAAACTACTGAAATAAAAGGAAAAAAGTGGCCAGGCACGGTGGCTCATGCCTGTAATCCCAGCACTTTGGGAGGCTGAGGCAGGCGGATCACCTGAGGTCAGGAGTTCGAGACTAGCTTGGACAACGTGATGAAATCATGTCTCTACCAAAAATACAAAAATTAGCCAGGTGTAGTGGTGTGTGCCTGTAATCCTAGCTACTACGGAGGTTGAGGTAGGAGTATCTCCTGAACCTGGGCAGCGGAGGTTGCAGTGAGCTGAGATCCTGCCACTGCGTTCCAGCCTGGGCGACAAGAGTGAAACTCCATCTCAAAAAAAAAAAAAAAAAGCTTGATGTTAATCTGGAATCCAAATTGAAACCAAATATACTTGTAATTTTAGACTAGATCTGTAGGCTTATACCTGTGTACTTTGGAAGAATAAATTGTTATTCGGATTTAGAACTATGTTTATATTACTGGTCAAAACTCTTCTTTATTCTCTTCTTCCTTCTCTTTCTCCTCGTCCTCCTCCTTTTCCTCCTTTTTCTTATAGCTGTAATCCCAGCACTTTCTTATAGCTAGTGAGAAGCTCAGATACCCTTGGATAAGATGATTGATCTCTATGCATTCTTCTAATTTGAAAGTTTTAAATTCTGGACCACAGACTGATATATTTCAAAGTCAACTAAGCAAACCAGATCAGGAACATTTATTAACCAATGATTCAAGAGTAGAGATTTGGAAATTGCAATTTTCCATTGGAATATGTCACATCACAACTTTTAAATGTTTAAAACTGGTCAAAAAACGATATAGTTTAAGCAGCAAATGATGTTTGTACTGTAATTATTCATAAGGTAGTGCTGGGTTATACTGGTTTCTTAAACAAAGTTTATGCTCTCTTCAAGAGTTTCATGCTTAAGTAAGAGAACTCTACCATGGACCCATATATGAAGTCAGGTGAAGAGAATCATGTGCTTTTCTGTCATTAGGTCACAGAGAGAGATGAGGTAGCTGAGGGCAGGTCCAGCTGGCTGGAGGGAAAAAAATACCAGAAGTGTTATCCTGGAAGAGGTCACAGAAAAGAAAACATGAACATTGATTCAGAAGAAGAGATGAATGGTTGGGAACCAAGACAGGGTGAAATCAAGGATGGCTGAGGAAACAGGTAAGCTGAGAATGAGAAGTAACTTTCTTGGAGTGAAAAGGTGGATGAACTCCAGGAAAGGCACTGATGTCTGTGGTGTTGTCCATTTGTGTGGGTGGGCCCAGATCCAAAACAGAATGTGCATCATATCTGAAGTCTCCACTGTTGTTTTGTTCTAGAAAATATACAGCTTTGGCTCTGGTACCAATTAAATCCCTACATTTTGTAACTTTTTTTGCAGTTCACACAAATCCATAAACAAAGTTAGGGTTCAAAATTCCTTGTTTAAGATATGGGGGAGTCACAGTTTATTTCAGTTCTGCTCAGCTTTAAATGGCAAATTCCCATAAAATATATTTTGTACAATTGACCTAGTCTGTTATATTCCTTTGTATATGTTCATTTTATTTTTGTTGCAAACTAACTCTGTGAATATGGAATTATTTATAGAATATATACATAAACAATTTATAAAGTAGAAAGTGAAAATCTTCAACTACTCACATACATCCCACACCCCACTACAATTTACATACCCATTCTCAAAAGGTAGGCACCGTCAAAGTTTTGACATCTTTCTAGACATTTTTCAAAGAACATTCAGGCACATACGTTATTTCTTTTCACAAAAATAAAATCATATTTTACATATTGATCCATAACTTTATACTTAATAATTCATCAGACTTACCTTTAATCTTTAAACCTCTATAGAAGTTTTCATTTTATGACTATTTCAGCATCCATTAAATCATTGCCCTATTGTTGGACATTTAGAT